>NC_000002.12:95150149-95477216 GCF_000001405.40 Homo sapiens
TTCGAGAACTGCAGCACATCTTGAATGTGTTTTTCCACTGATACTACCTGGAATAATTCTTCTTTGGAAATTCCCCAACTTGGCATTGATTCCTTGGATTTAGACCTTCTCTTCCAGTCTGTTAAAAAAAAAAAAAAAAAAAGAAGACATTCTAGTATGTAGAATGTCCTATGTAGCAAGAAAAGCAAGCTCCTATAATGAATGTGAAATAATTAAGCTTTAAAATAACACCTAAAAGGGACGTACAGATTTTTTCAATAATGGCTTATGTCTGAAGATGGTTTTGGAGTATCAAGAATGAGTGATGAGCAGATGACTGGAGATTAAGAAAATCTGAGAGATATGTGTTTAGATTCCAGTACACAAGGTAAGTCCAAAGACTAAAGATGAGAGGAGGGTAGGAAGGGTGACAAGGAAATAGACTAAGTGTAAAGGATGGAGACAAAAATCAATAAACCAAGTATAGGATCGTAAGTCACCCAGGTACAGATTCTATATTCTCACAATTTCTTCAAGCCTACATAATTGTAACAGAATTCTACCCAGTCTTCCTACCTCCAGGTTTCCTGAAACCCTTCACTTTCTTCTTTTCCAAATGCCCATTTCCTTAAGTTTCTTCCCAGTCTTAATCTTCCAAAGGCTCTCCAGTGCCTACAGGATAAACCCTTTATCTTCCACTATAGCTCTATAATACTTTACCAGGTCCTGTCCTCTTTTTCAGCAAGTGCCTTGAGCACAGAAACTGGCTGCCTTCCTGTTTCCCATATATCCACTGCCCCTCTCACCACTCTCTTTCTTTAAGACTTTGCGTACCTTTCAGGGACAAGCTCATGTCCTCCACGAAGTATTCTTTTAACACCTTAGTGCACACCCTATATTATTATATATTATGCACATATACATATAACATGTATCATATTACTCTATATGATAGGAAGAGAAACTCTCCCCTAAAGATGCCCATGCCCTAATCACAAGAACCTGTGAGTGGGTTACCTTATATGACAAAAGGGACTTTGCAGATGTGATTAAGAGCACAGACCTGGAGATGGGGAGATTATCCTGGATTATTTAAATAGGTCAAATCTAATCATGAGTGCTTAAAATCGGAGAGCATTTCCTGGCTGGGCAGAAAGATGTGTAAACCATTGTTGGCTTTGAAGATGGACGAGGGGCACTTTCAGTCAAGTAATCTGGCAGTCTCTAGAAGCTGGGAACACCCATCTGTTTATAGCCAGCAAGAAAACAAGGACCTCGGTTTTATAACTGCAAGGTATTGGTTCTGCCAACAACCCAAATGAAAAGAAAAAAGGTGCCCAGCCACTCCAGAAAGGTGTGCAGCCCTGTGGACATCTTGGTTGGAACCATGTGATACACATGCCAGACTTCTGACCTATGAACTATGACATGAGTTTGTGTTGTTTAAAGCCACCAAGTTTGTGCTACTCTGTTTCAGCCACAGTGGAAAATTAATAAAATAATAATAACAAGCACACTTCTGAAGAAGGAAATGACTGGTAATGCCTAACCAGTGGTCCCAGAGGCCAGTCAGAGAGTTTCTGAGTCAATAGGTCTTGTGTGGCTCCTGGGAACCTGAATGTTTAACAAGCTCCCTGGGACATTCTGAAACACAGCCATGCTCATATACCACTGTTAAATAAACAGATGACTAGATCCAGATGTCAGACCCTTGATCTCATTTTGGAAGGAAAAAAGATCAAGTAAGTACCAGTACAGAGGATATCAGCATCTTCCCTCTCTGCCATAACCTAGTTCCCTTTCATAAAGCCCAGCCTATCCTCTCAGGAATTTAGCACCACTTTCCTGAGCTTCAGCTCTGGCCACAGGTAAGGTTCTGGCTCATGGAAATGAACTGGCATAGACTGTCACGTGCCTCCAGTGTGCTTGGGTTACACACAGCAGTCAGGAAAGCTTTGAGTCAAGAATTCTGCTCCAAGGCATATAGCCTACCAGGTACTCTCAAGTCACCTGAGAATCAAAGGTCTCAAAGGGATGCTGTTAACAGCTGTCAAGGAGTAGTCTTTGTTCCTGGAACCACTTTTTTTGAGACTCACCTTAATCAAGCTTGAAGTGTCCTCACCTGGATCTTCGTGACATCTTCTGTCTGTCCTTGCCTGTAACCCCTTCATTTCTGGGGTGCTCAACTTTTTTGTTTGATCCCTCACTAACTCCCTTAACTCTGCTGATCTAGGATTGCCTGGCCCTATACGATTGTTGATCCATCTAACATTGACTGTGAGACATCTAGTGATGCTGCATGGCACCAATAACCCAGAAGGCATGGGCAGAGATGGGAACCAAACAAAGCATAAAGACTAGAAAAGCAAAGGAACATCTCCTCTCCTGACACCAGAAATAATTACAAAATTCAACATACCAGAGTTGAGGGCTCCTGCCAAGTGATCTCATCTTCTGAAAGGACAGCACACTGACCAAAGGCTCTGGGCTACCTCCCACCCCAGCTGGGCCTTATCATATGCAATGCTTTCACTCACTCACTCACCTGAGTGGGCTCCTGTTGAGATTTCTCTCTCCACCATGAAGGGCTCACCCCCTTCCTCCAACTGGCAGATCACATATGGTTTGGATACTAGAAGGCCTGATGGTAGAGAAGGAAAAGGATTTTGGTTGTGTGTGCCAGTGGCCAAGTCTTTGGATATTCATCTTCAAGGTGGAGAAATACTGTAGGCATGGAAAGCCTCCAGAGAACAGGCATTGTGAAAAGTTAGGAACACAGCCAGGTAACTTCCTATTTCAACTCCATAAGTAGCTGGATGTTTCCTAGAACTAGGAACAGAAATACTGTATCACTGGGCCCCAAAGAGAATGTAAATGTCTGATTCCAGACTTCCCAAGGAAACCCAGGGCCAAACTTAGCCAACCAGCCCAGACACCACTAGCTCTTAAACATCAAGGAAATCAAGAAGTCCTGCTGGGTGGGCTTTGGAGGGCTTGTGCTCACCCAGAATGGCCAAGTTCCTGAAGTTCTCCAGCATCACCTCCCTGTAGAGGTCCTTCTGAGCAGGGTTCAGCTGCCCCCACTCCCACTGGCTGAATTCCACAGCCACATCTTCAAATGTCATCAGGTCCTGAAACACAGAAGACACTCCAGTGTCCACTTATATGCTTATCAATATGAAACTGCTAGGAAATATAATCAGGGTCTCAGGTGAATCAGGCCTACAGAGACATTCTTCTCAGGTGGAGGTAAATGTAATACATTTCCTCATTTGTCAAAAGGTTTTATTCTCAATCTAGTTACATTTAATTGGAATCAATTAGAATTAACAAATGAATATGCTTTGCATTCTCAAATACACAAGGATCAACAGTTTTCTAATAAAGTATTTTTGAAACTTGTGACCTATGATTCTGACAACAATAAGGCCAAATCAAGTAATCTGGGGCTTATGATAATTTATCCTCCACCTGCCTGCCAGCACACAGTTCAGCAAAAGTAAATCACAAGTGGCTTTATGATGAAACAATAAGTTTTGTGCGTTTGACTAGCATGATCCTTTCCCCCAAAGCCTACTCATTATTCAGTTCCTAAGTTTATAAAGCTGAGCATGAGACCCTGGATCCCAGGTCACCATTATAAAGCATAATTATTCTACAGGTCCTGGCCAGAACTATCCTGTCACCTTCAATCTCAGTAATTAGAACACCTCCCATTTAGCTTATATTGTATGGCAATCCACTAAAGAGCAAAATAGGTGAAA
Organism: Homo sapiens; assembly: GCF_000001405.40. NCBI lineage: Eukaryota > Metazoa > Chordata > Mammalia > Primates > Hominidae > Homo > Homo sapiens. The sequence goes on from NC_000002.12 coordinate 95,153,893, forward strand.
GTAAGTACTACAAATTCCTGTTACTTTTACACCAAAGTATTTAAAAATCAAATCCCATTTAGATACTGATTCCACAGAAAAGCTGAAGTAACAATTTTATAATATAAAATCATCCAAAATAATCAAACATGAAAAATTCACTACTATAGTGACCTCTTTTGATAGGTTATATTATTTGTCCAAAATATCCACTGACCCTCCCTAAAGAATTGAGCTTCTGCCTCACCCTGCCCCAGGTGGGGCGATGTCATCTGCTTTCTCAAACTGAACGTGAAAGACACGAGCTACAGGTGAGCAAAAGCCTTCAGAGCCAGTGGGGGTTCTGCAATTGTCCTTTCCTGTCTGCCTTGCAAATGGCAAATGATCTGAGTGAAGATGTGGGCAAAGCCACAGCTGTCACGTAACATGGGCAAGAGGGAACCTTTCATGGTGTAAGTCTCTGAGGGTTTGCTGTTGCTATCATGGCATAACTAGCCTATACTGACTCCTTAAAAAACTGGTACTCACAGTGGAGTTCTGCCATAACAAAAAGCCAAAAATAGATGACACTGGCATCCAGGCCAGGCAGTGAAGAAACTTATTGGCAAGGTGGCAACCCATGTAATTTGGTGGTGAACTGTTTGGTGAAACTATTGCCTTCAGTAACTTGAAAGATGAACAATGAAAGCATGAGCTTGTGATGTTATGAGAAGAGGCTGGAAACATAACATTAGTAGTGTGAGCTGGTTGTTATTGGCTGAGTTTGACAAAGTATTACAAGAAAAAATGAGCTCAAGAGTTTGTGGTTTGCAAAACAAAAATGGAAGGCAATAGGAAATGTCCAGAAATGCTAGGGCTTGCAGGGTTGGAGACAACCAATTCTCATTTCCAACTGGCCAAAGACAATATACATCAGCTTCTGCGTGACAACAGCTAATTAAAACTCAGCCCATTATCAGGGACCAAATCATGGATGTGGTTGTCAAACCTTTTTGTTTAAACCTCTGAGTAATTTCAAAAGGCTCCCAGTAAATCTCCCAGTAATTTCAAAAGGCTCCCAATAAAGGCTTTCAGTGGGACCAAATTGTTCAGAGTGAAAAAAGTATAGATTTCCCAAGGAAATCCAAAAACTCCACAATTAAGGCTAAAGAAGGGGGCATATTTCAAAAAGAACTGTGGGTCAAACCACTGACACATGGAGCCAACTGGAAACAAATTCATAAAAAGCTGATTAAGTTTTTTAGAGTTGCACTTAAAACAATCCTGGGCCACCAACCTACTCCAGCAGGATGAAAAAGCTGCTTTGCCCCCAAGAAAGCTTATTCTCCAGTATCATCTTCATATGACACCAAGGAGGTATCAAAACGAAGGAACTTCCCAATGGCAAAGCCAACAGCCAAGGAAAACACTAGGCCAGGGAGCTCCACCCAGGGAGCAGAACCAGGGTGTAACCTACAGACTTTCCCACTCCCAAGACCAAGGGTCCTCACAGTGTCTGTCCAGTGGAATTTCACGACTGTTATGGACCCGGGACTGACTCTTCCCATGCTTCCCTCTTCTGCAAAGGAGTGTCTACCATGGCCATCCTGTCCCCATTGCTCATTGTATATTGGATATATGGATTCAGGTAATTGTCCTTTTAGTTTATAGGTATCCAGACCCACAGGATCTCCATCCAGACTATCGCGCCATCCAGGACTTTGATCATGATGCTCTGACTGGATGCAGCTCTTGGGTTATTTCTCTTGGAGGGCATTTTGTGTGCAGGAGAGAGGGAAGTGAACATCTATGGGTAAGAAAATATACAGTGATAGATGAATTATTCGCTTAACATAATCCCTGCCCTTCCCTTTAGGATCCTCACTCTAGGAAGCTAATACTTCCCACTTCATTAACATTAGGCTTGGCCACAGGACCTGCAGCAGCCAGTGGGTTGTGAGCAGAAGCCACATGTGCCGCTTCTGAGTGGAAACCCAAAGAGCCATCCCCGGGTTCTCACACTGCTCTTTCCCTCTGATACAAGAAGAGCATATCCCAGAGGGAACTGACCCTTCAGCCTGAAGCTCAGAGAGAAGAGGGTGTGGAGCAGAGTCACAGTCAGCCCACTACTGACAAAGACAGCAGAAAGAAGAAAGGCACTCTTTCTAACTGCGAGCCATTGAGATGTGGGGCTGTCATTACCACACTGAACCCACCTAAGTGCTCTGATAAACCTCTGAATGATGTACATCAGGGCCAAAAATATTTAACTGCTATTTATGACTTTACTGATTAAATTCCTTACTAGGGGGGTTCCCCCTTTTGGCTTGAAAGTTAAATGTCAGTGTCTATCATCAAACCTGAATCCCATGCCTATCCTGGATGCTGGGAAACCCCGGAGGCTGGCATTTGTACCCCTCCACATCCAGCTCACTAGAGACAAACCTGAATCCCCCCTGAGGGCCAGTCACCATGATCCCTGATGCCAACAAGGATTAGGCAGTTACCATCTGCCAGCGGAACTGCCAGCGGACTCTAACAACAACATGAGGCGGCTCTATGATTGAGTGGTTAAGATCTCAGAGCCAGACAGCCTGGATGTAAAATTGGGGTCCCTTCCTCACTAACTAGATAACCATGAACAAGTTACTTTCTCTCTCTGTGCCTTGACTTCTTCTGTTAACCTCTCCACACTTTGGTTACCATTCTTCAAAATGGTAACCATTTATGGGAATGTTTTAGAGACAAAATGAATTAGTATGTGTAAATTGTAGAGAATAGTTCCTGATACAGGTTTTGTTCTCCATAAATAATAACTATTTTCATCATCATTAACATTATTATAGTCTTCATGTTACTGCTGCCTGCTTAACATGTTACTGGTGGCAAACCAATGCATAGAGAGGTTAGGTGACTCATCCAAGGCCACACAGCCTGTAAGTAGTAAAGTTAAGTGTGCCTCCTCCCTTATCCAGGGAGATAACATCTGAACAGGGACCCAGCTTCAAATAGCCTGCCCACCTGTCCATACCCTCAGAACCTGCTTGTCCCCAATTCTCCATGAGCTTTCCCAACCTCTCCAGAACAGGCCGATTCCCCTTTTCGTGAACCTCGATGGAAAGGCCTGTCTGTGCCACTCCATTTGGCATCAAACCATTCACATCCTGTTACTGGTGGCTGCGTCCTGGGTGTCAGGGTCCTCTTCCACTGTGGCTGTGACACTCTTTCAAGGCCAGGGCTGTCACATTACCTGGTGGTCACCACAGTGCCCTTTCTAGAAATATGTCAGAGTAAGCCCAAACGATCTGAGTGGGTGCACAGCAAGAAGAGAACACCCCGGACAGGTCAGGGAGCCATCATTCACTTGGATGGGCTCAGCCTCCTGCAGAGACAGCATTGGGTCAGTTCCCTTAGTGAAAAAAGAGGCTACTTTTTGGTGAAAAGTAGGCAAAGCTAACCATCGTTCAGGCATTTGAGGAAAAATTAAGAATACAACTCACCCGAGGCCTGGCTTTCAGGAATGAATTGGTTGTTCCCTCTTCTCCTGGGAATCTCTCTGGAGGAAGAGCAGGATTCTGAGAAGGGGAAGCTGGGAAGGTAGAAGGAGACATAAGGGAAGCTGACCCAGCCAGCACACACAGCTCTCAGACTTCCCAAGCCTGAGACCCAGAACAGCTCTGAATGTCACCTCCGTTGTTCTGAGGACACCAGTGGATCAAAAGGATCTGAGAGGCAGCTTCTAGCCTTCAAACATTGAGAGAAGTGCCCCTGTACACAGCTGCATGAGGCTCCCACCTGTCCACAGCCCACATCAGTCTACAAGTGAGTGAAGTGTGACCAGTCTGGCCATACCACTGAAGTTATTTACTGGGCATACTGTATGCAGGTCATCTCCTAGGACTTTTGGAAATATAAATATGGAAAAGAACTTCAAGGAACTTTAAATCTAGCCTACAGGTTAACAATTACACAAGACCCAAGGCAAGGCCATGCAGGATTATGAGGCTTTAAGGGGAGGAAGTTACACCTCTCCCCTCATCCTTGGGAACCCAGCTCAGAGGCCACCTCTTTCTGAGAAGCTGCCCCTGGTGTTCCCAAGCTCTGTTAGGTCTCTGCAACACACTTGAGAGCTCCTTCATTATAAAGCTTTGCATCATACTGTTCATAAAAGCCTTAAAACAAACAAAAAAACTAACCCAAACCATGCCAGAGAAGTAGTTAAGGCTAACAACATGGGTGTAAGCATAGCACAGTTAGGCATTCCTCAAGCTTCATGTGTGTGTGGATCCCTGAGGATCTTGTTAAACTCTGGCTCAAGACTTGCTAAGACACTGTTTGAGGATGTGTGGGGCCCCAGAGTCTGCAATTCTAGAGAACTTCTGGGCAATGCCTCTGCTGTTCCCAGAGCCACACTGATTAACAAGGGTATAAAGGAAAAAAGAGGGGGTGGGAAGCCCACGGACTGGGCCCAGTTCTTCCACTGGCCAGTTATGTGTCCTTGAGCATGTGCACTGAAGGATGAACAGTCGGATTAAAATGCCCACCTGGTTAGAGATAGGACGTTCTAAACTTAGGACTGGCTTAAAACCTCCTGGGTCACCTGGATTGCCCTGCCCCCAACGCTATTGGGGGAAGGGGCTCAGAGGAGATACCCACCATGTACACTGCTGACCTTATACACCGCTGAGCTAGAACGACTGGAAGAACCTTATTAGTGAGGTGATTAAGGAGGTGGATGACAAGGCTCCAAATGGCCCTATCGTCCTCTGATCCCTGGCCAAGGGCCACTCCCTCTTGGGTTTGCTTGCCCTCTCCCTGCCGCAGCAGGAAGAGATCAGATCCTCTTCTGCTCTCCTCTGGCCATTGGGACAATTTTCCATGGCCATCCCCTCCACCTCCGCCACGGTCATCTAGAGACCCCTGCCAGACCCAGGAGACTGCGGCTTCAGCCTTCTGGGTCTGGAAGGTTAGATGTCGCCACACGGAAGGCAGATGAAGTACAGCCTCACCCTTCAGTGGGATTCCCCGGCCTCTTCCTGGGGTCCTCCTGATATCGGGCTCGGTACTAGCTCCCCAAGAGGGCTCCTGGCCCTCTGCACGCTCCAGAGCCAAACCTGATGCTGTGGAGTCCATAGCTGGGGCTAAGGAGCGGCGTCCTTTCACTAGGTCCAAATCTCTGTCTTTCGGCCACAGCCCTGTGGTCCTCCCGAGGGTTCAGGGAGCGGGACGCAGGCTGGGGCTGCCTGGGGGACACGGGGCATCCCCACTAGGCGCGGCGGGGCCAGCGGACCTGCAGGGCCCAGAGCAGGGCCGGCAAACCCCGGTGCGCCCAGCGCGGCGCACTGCTGCCCGGGGTCGTGCTCTTCCCTCGCCAAGTCCGGCCTCCTACCCCCGGCTCGGCTCCTCCTCAGGACCAGGCTCTGGAACCCAGCTCCCACGTGGATCCACACGCACAGTGGGCTCAGACTACCAGGAGACACGGCCACAGCCACGCCCGCGACGCGAGGGCCCAGCGCTCTTCAGCTGCCCGGAAACAGCAGGGATTCGGTGAGAGCCTCACAGGAGCAGGGACCGACTCTATCAGCCCGGTTCGCCCCGCTGTCCCTGCCTAGCTCCGGCCTGCACAGTCCCTAGCGGGGGGCACTCGGAGGGACACACCCAGCTCTGTAAGGGGCCGGGGCGCGGGCCCAGTACAGGTCTGCGCGCCCGCAGTCTCCGAACGCTCACAGGACCAGGCCCCGCCCGCCACCCCGCGCCAGCCCCCGCCCGCCACCCCGCGCCAGCCCCCGCCCGCCACCCCGCGCCAGCCCCCGCCCGCCACCCCGCGCCAGCCCCCGCGTCCGCCCCGCGCCAGCCCCCGCGTCCGCCCCGCGCCAGCCCCCGCGTCCGCCCCGCGCCAGCCCCGCCTCCCGAGGCCGTCCCGAGCTTGCGCAGACGCGGCCGCCGCCGGGGCCCTTCAGAGCCAGCGCCGGTGGCGGGGTGCTGGCGCGGCGAAGCTGGAGAGGCGGGGCTCGCGGGCGCCTGTAGGACCTCCGCTGGGAGGGGCCGTGCTCGCCGGCCACGCGCCGGTTTTCACTCCGCTCTCCCCCAAGGGCAGGGACCTACAAGCATTTCCCTTCTCGCGCGTGACTTTGGTAGCTGAGCCTCATATCTCTCTCGTTTTTTGGGGGGAGGGGGGAGACAGCCTCACTCTGTCGCCCAGGTGGGAGTGCAGGGGCGCGCTCTCGGCTCACCGCAACCTGTCTTCTGGGTACAAGTAATTCTCGTGTCTCAGCCTCCGTAGGAGCTGGGATTACAGGTTCCCGCCACCACGCCCAGCTAATTTGTTGTATTTTTAGTGGAGACGGGGTTTCACTATGTTAGCCACGCTGGTCTCGAATTCTGACCTCAGATGATCCTCCCGCCTCAGCCTCCCAAAGTGCTGTGATTACAGGTGTGAGCCACCGCCCCCAACCTGCATATCTCGATGTAAGGCTATTCAACAGAAGCCGCGTTCCTACCCTGGATCTGCTGAGTGAGGATTTCCAGGAGGCTCTCCTGGCGTGCCTAGGGGATACTGGGGACTCAGTGCTAGATACTGCTTCTACAGGCTGCCCCGTGCCTCTTGCCTTTCTCCATCTGCCCCTGAATTCAGCGAAGGGTGCTGAAGAACAAAAGAGGACTTTGAACGCCCTCCTACTCCAGAAACAAATATCATTTAGGACCCAAAAGAAATGGAAAAACGGCCTGCTATGGTCTGAATGTATGTGTCCCCCTCAAATTCATATGTTGAAACCTAACTCCCAAGGTGATAGTATTAAGAAGTGGAGCCTTTGGAAGACTCTGCCCTCATGAATGAGATTAGTGCCCTTTAAAAACAGCCCTTAGACCGGTCGTGGTGGCTCACATCTGTAATCCCAGCACTTTGGGAGGCCAAGGCGGGCGGATCACTTGAGGTCAGAAGTTTGAGACCAGCCTGGCCAACATGGTGAAACCCTGTCTCTACCAAAAATATATTTAAAAATTAGCTGGGCGTGGTGGTGCACGCCTGTAATCCTAGCTACTCAGGAGGCTGAGACAGGAGAATTGCTTGAACCCGGGAGGCAGAGGTTGTGAGCCAAGATCGTGCCACTGCACTCCAGCCTGGGCGACAGAGCAAGACTCCGTCTCAAAAAATAAATTAAATAAATAAATAAAAATAAAAACGGGCCTTAAGCCCCCTTTGCTCCTCCTGCCATGTGAGGACACAGAAGGTGCCATCTATGAGAAACGTACCCTCACCAGCCCCTGAACTGGCTGGCACGTTGATATTGCATTTCCCAGCATCCAGAACTGTGAACAACAAATTTGTGTTGTTTACAAATTCCCCAGTTTAAGACACTCTGTTATAGCAGCGCCAATGCCTAAGACACAGTCTGAGTATTAAAACGGTGGTTTTCTGGAGGCAGTCCTCAGCCAGAGAAGGGCCACTTGTGAGGACAGAGAGATTGGTTTATCAACCCTATTTAGGAGTTCAGGACAAAATAACTTACAAAATCAAGGCAAAGACAAAATAACACGAAATCAAGGCAAAGAGACCATTCTCCTTTCCTGCTTTTGCAGTCTCTGTTTCACTTTTCTGCCAGCACTTCCAGTGGCACAGATGGCCAGGATGGCGCAGCAAGCAAGCCCTTTTCCACGCAGGGGGACATTGTCTGGGAACCATGGCTGATATAGGAGCTTTTCCATCTTCGGTGCTCCGAACCAAAAAGGTGAGGGGATGGACAAATGAGAAAAGATTTTCATCTCATTGATGGCTCAACAGAACTAGAAATGGAACTACTTCAGAAGAACTTGAGGGCCACTGCCTTTCCCTGATGCCCATTCTGTAGGCCTGCTGCAGTGTCTGAAATTCCCCACTCTTACATTGTGTCCTTTGGGACAGATCTTGATCCAGAGGCCCTTGTTTGTTACAATGCACATTCATTACCCCAGGAATATTCTCTCTCCTGCTCAGTGCTCTAGTGCACCATTTGATCTCAAAGCACTGTTGGTGGGGCTCCAGTCCTCACCAGCCTATACACTCTCCATCACCTTCAATATTCCTTTTACTGCTCCTTTGCAGTCAAATGCCTCTTCCACCCCAACCCGTGACCACTGCTCTGTTACCTTCCCTATAGTTTTGCCTTTTCCTGAATGTCACATAAATGGAATCATACAGTTTGTAAATTTTTAAGACTGGCGGCCGGGCGCAGTGGCTCACACCTGTCTCTACTAAACCCCGTCTCTACTAAAAATACAAAAATTAGCCGCGTGTGGTGGCGTGCGCCTGTAATCCCAGCTACCTAGGAGGCTGAGGCACGAAAATCTCTGGAACCCGGGAGGCAGAGGCTGCAGTGGGCCGAGGTTGCAACACTGCACTCCAGCCTGGGTGACAGAGCAAGACTCCATCTCAAAAAAAAAAAAAAAAAAGAAACGAAAACTGGCTTCTTGGCCGGGCGCAGTGGCTCATGCCTGTAATCCCAGCACTTTGGGAGGCCGAGGTGGGCGGATCACCTGAGCTCAGGAGACCAACCTGACCAAAATGGAGAAAACCTGTCTCTACTAAAAATACACAATTAGCTGGGCATGGTGGCACACGCCTGTAATCCCAGGTACTCGGGAGGCTGAGGCAGAAGAATCACTTGAACTCGGGATGCGGAGGTTGTGGTGAGCCAAGATCGTGCCATTGCACTCCAGCTCAGGCAACAAGAGCGAAACCGTCTCCAAAATAAATAAATAAATAAATAAAGCCATGCAGCTTCTGTCTTGCTCACTGGGACCCTCTTAGAGCCCTGAAATGAGGTGCAAGAAGCCTGATTGCCCCGAGGCCACCATGTTGTGAGGAAGTCCAAGCACAAAGAGAGGCTACATGCGGGGACACTGGCGAACAGTCCCAGCTGAGCCTAGCCACGGGTGCCAATCTGGGTGCCAGATATAGTCCTCCCAATTGAGGATCCAGAAATTGTGAAGCAGAAACGAGCTGTGTTAGGCCATTTTGCACTGCTATAAAGAAATACCTGAAACTGGGTAATTTATAAAGAAAAGAGGTTTCCTTGGCTCTTGGTTCTGCTGGCTGTACAGGAAGCATGGCAACGGCATCTGTTTGGCTACTGGGGAGGCCTCAGGGAGCTTTCACTCACTGTGGAAGGTGAAGTGGGAGTTTGCACTTTGCATGGTGAAAGCAGGAACAAAACAGAGTTGGGGAGGGCAGGAAGGTGTCACACACGTAAACAACCAGATCTCAGGAGTACTCACTATTGCAAGGACGGCACCAAGCCATGAGGGATCTGCCCCCATCACCCAAATACCTCCCACCAGGCCCCATCTCCAACACTGGGGTTTACATCTCAACATGAGATTTGGAGAGGATATCCAAATGATATCCCTGTGTGCCCATCCCTGTTGTGCCCATCCAAGTTCCCGACCCACAGAACATGTTGGCCTAATAAAATTGTTGTTTTCAGCCACTAAGTTTGGAGTGGTTAAACAGCATCAGACGGCCATAACATCCTGCAATTTGGCAGAGCCTACAAGCTTCTGGGCCCAAGAGATACCTGTTTTACTCTAAAAAGATGGATGTATGTCACTTCTTGGCTGCTTAGCTTCCATATGCTCCTCCTAACTCTTTTGAGAATATCAGTTAAAATTCTCTTAATCTTCCCAGTAACATGGCCGATTAGATGGCCTAAACAGCCCTCTTAATAAAAAAACTAAAAATGCTGAAAAATTGCAAACATCTTTATAAACACACTGATGAGCAGGCATGAAAGTGAGGAATTTGTAAACATTTAAAAAAATAAAGTGAAATGGGCCAGGTGCAGTGGCTCATGCCTATAATCCTAGCACTCTGGGAGGCCGAAGAGGGTGGATTGCTTGAGCCCGAGTTTGAAACCAGCCTGGGCAACATGGTAAAACCCCATGTCTACAAAAAAATACAAAAAGTAGCCAGACATGGTGGTGCATGCCTGTAGTCCCAGCTACTCTTGAGGCTGAGATGGGAGGACTACGTGAGCCCAGGAGGTGGAGGTTGCAGTGAGCTGAGAGCATGCCACTGCATTCTGGCCTGGCTGACACAGCCAGAGCCTGTCTCAAAAAATAAATAAAGTGAGAGCTAGAATTCTGAGAATCGAGCAACAAACCTGACTTTTAGACTGCTAAATCCTAGAGCACATAAACTTCCACTTTGGCAGCTACCTGGAAGCGGTAAAGACAAAGCCTAGGGCCTGCCAGTGGGTGGGGAATATTCTAGAAGGAAACACTTTCAGGACCCCAGTTTCCACCCTCAGTATAAGGCTAAATAATAAAAACCACCACACAGAAGGGAACAAAAAAAAAAAAGTATTTCTCTTATGGATGTTGTGACTTTAATCAAGCTCTAATCTCCTAGGAAGGTCCAAACCCCTTAGTACAACACAAAGGCAGCCACAACCTGGCCTTACCTCAAGATAGTTATTGGCCCCTAAACCTCATCCACAAGGCATTCATTTTGCTACTAATTATTTTCACTTTTATCCTCTAGACTATGCCTTTGCATGTACTATTCACTGTTTAGATCACACTTTTTTTTTCTTAAGTATTTAAGTATACCAGTGAAAGGAATCCTTTCCCACCTTTCCCGGCCATAGTTAATAGCTTCCTCCATTGTACTCTCATAGTATGTTGAATGTGACATAATTATAGAACATACTGCCTCTATTGTGATTTTACATTCTGATTTTTTCCATTGGACCAAGAGTTCATTTGGGGCAGTAACTTACTCATATTTGTAACTGTGCCTTGCTTATGGTGAGCAATTTGGATTTTTTGAATGAAAGTGTAGTCTTATGGAGATGGAGAGTAGAAGGATGGTTAACAGACTGGGAAGGGTTGGCGGGGTGGGGAAGTGGGGATAGTTAATGGGTACAAAAAATAGAATAAGAAATAGTATAACTAGTATTTGATAGCACATCAGAGTAATTACAGCCAATAATATTGTATATTTTAAAGTAACTAAAAGAATATAACTGGATCGTTTGTAACACAAAGGACAAATGCTTGAGGTGATGGATATCCCATTTGTCCTGATGAGATTATTACTTATTGCATGCCTGTGTCAAAATATCTCAGGTGGCCCATAAATGTTCACACCTACTGTGTACCCACAAAAACTTAAAAAAAACCCAAACCACTAATAAATTAACCTGGAAAAACGTAGCTTTGTTCCTGAAGTAAGATTTTATCATATTCTTTGTAATTTTCAGTCTTCCCTGAGATGTAGCTCAGTGGTTCCTAGCTTTAGCTGCACATTAGAGTCACCTGCAGCTCTTTTCAAACTGTCGCTCCACAGCTGGGCCTCAGGCATCAATGTCGAAAGCTCTCCGGGTGATTCCAGCTTGCAGCCAGGGCCGTTCCAGCAACTCCAAGGCTGGCTGGTGTGCGCTGAAGCTGTCGGGAGTCGGACCAGCTGCACAGTTAATACATATGTGTCCTAGGCTCCTCTCTCCTTCCAACGCAAATATGTGTACAAACCCTGCCTGGAACCGCAGCCCTGCTCTCAGAATCAAATTCCTGAAAGTGGGCAAGCGGAAGCGGAAATAAGCCCTCTCCCAACGCCAGCTGACTCGATTTCGTCTCGGTCTTCCCCAGAGCTGGACACGAGGCACCATGATCAGAGAGACACATTCCCTGCGGACGGCGCTCCCATCGGATACTGGAGGGACGCGACACTAGAGGCAGGCAGTACTTCAGGGTGACCATAAGTCTCCCAAACAGCCACAACGGCTCGCTCTCCCAGCTAAGGCGACAGCGCTGCCATTTTGGATCCTGTTCAGCCACGGGAAGCCGGCGTTTGCACACATTTTCGGACGTCATATTAAAGCGCACCGGACGCCGAGACTTCTGGGAGATGAAGTCCTTGCGAAGGCCCCGCATTGATTGGGAGCGCAGTCGCCAGGACCCTGTGCGCAGGCGCGTTGGTTTCCCGACCTGAAGAGGCGCCGTCTTCCCGGGTCCCGAGCACTCTGTGCCGGAGGTGAGGGTTGTGGGTGTGTGTCTTCAAGGAGCGGAGTGAGCGCAGCAGCCGAGAGAGGGGACATGAGAACTTTGGGGAGGTGCTGTGGGAGCAAAACGGGGTGACACGGGCGAGGCCAGCCTGCAGAGCGTGTGTCGCGACGTCTCGGTGCGGACGGAAAGTTGTGCATCCACCCCCGTGTGTGCGTGTGTCCCGTGGGGTCTGGGCACCCATTGTATGTCGGTCCCGGACTTTAAGGTTGGAGGTTTGGAGTCTTCCTCCGCCTCTCCCGTTTCTTCTTCCCATAATGGGTGCTTAATGAACGTGGGTGGAATTGACACCAAATCTAGGATGCTGCCGCTCCGTCTTTGCCAGACAGCGCCTCAGATTGCCTCATTTAGCTCCCTGCCCTGGGCCTCCGCACGAGTGCTGGAGGGCTTCATGGAGGAGGTGGGATTTGACGTGAAAGAAAAACAACAACAACAAAACAAAAACCACGAAAGAAGCAGCTAAGCGTTAGGCAGATTTGAGCTGGAGATAGTTTTTACAGAAATGCAGGAACAGTGGTAGACAAGGTTGAAGAAAAGGTACGCTGGGAGCCAGGGCCCGGGACTCAGAGAATCAGGACAAGACTCAGTAGGCAAGGTGGCTTATATAGGTGTGATCCAGGGACTGACACGAATGAAACTATTTGGAGACAGTTATTCTAGAGGTCACATTCAGGACTAGAGAGGGGAAAGGACCAGTAGCAGAGAGCTACTTAGGAATGTATGGTAGTTTTGGAGTAAGATGTTGTGGACTTGAATTATGGTGGTGGTAGTGAAAGGGAAGGATACAGATGACACTGCAAAAGAAGAGTCAAAAGGGCCTGGTGACTAGATTTGGGAGGAAAGAGAGTGAGGTAAGAGTTTGAATTTGGGACACCTGGGAGAACAATAAAACATCTGATACAAATGTAAAGCCAGGAAGAGGCGTTGATGTGTGGAATTGCCTAAAGGAAGATAGTTTTGAGGTGATGGTGGAACGCCTGATTTAAGGTTTGCAGTCATTTGGAAATGCAGGATGAGTCTGGAAGAATGCAATACAGTTGTATTGTAAAATTACAATACAATTACAGGACATGGACATCTGTAGAGTTTGAAAATGGAGCCCTGAATGTGGATGGACTTTCTGAGGGATGGCAAAAACGAAGAAAGTACAAAGACTGAGCTATGGGCAGCATCCATGTTTCCAGGGCAAAAGTGGGGAAAAAGAGTCACAGAAAGACAGCAATTTTAGTGGTTGGAAGAAAAGCTAGTGCAGTATCATAGCAGTTACAGTAACCACTTGAATAAGCAGAAGCTTGTCCGAACAGTGAAAAGCTACAGAGAAATAGATAATATGGCCGGGCACAGTGGCTCACGCCTGTAAGTCCCAGCACTTTGGGAGTCTGAGGCGGGCGGATCACGAGGTCAGGAGATCGAGACCATCCTGGCTAACACGGTGAAACCCCGTCTCTACTAAAAAAATACAAAAAATTAGCCGGGCGTGGTGGCGGGCGCCTGTAGTCCCGGCTACTCGGGAGGCTGAGGCAGGAGAATGGCATGAACCCGGCAGGCGGAGCTTGCAGTGAGCCAAGATTGCGCCACTGCACTCCAGCCTGGGTGACAGAGCGAGACTCAGTCTCAAAAAAAAAAAAAAAAAAAAAGAAAGAAATAGAGATAATAGGATCAGAAATGCATTGGTAGGCCAGGTGCGGTAGCTCATGCCTGTAATCCCAGCACTTTGGGAAGCCGAGGTGGGCAGATCACTTGACGTCAGGAGTTCAAGACCAGCCTGGCCAACATGGTGAAACCCCGTCTCTACAAAAATACAAAAATTAGCAGGGCATGATGGCGGGTGCCTGTAATCCCAGCTACTTGGGAGGCTGAGGTGGGAGAATCACTTGAGCCCGAGAGGTGGAGGTTGCAGTGAGCCGAGATGATGCCATTGCTCTTCAGCCTGGGCGACAAGAGTGAAATTCCGTCTCAAAAAAAAAAAAAAAAAGTAGTTTTCAAGCATGCCATTTCAGGTGTGTGAGGGGCAAAAGCTGAAAAACAGGGACTGGAGAAGAGTAAGTGGTAACAGTGTGGAGTCAGTAGGTTATTATTCTCCAAAAAGTTTGATCATGAAAGGACAACCTAAATGAGAACTGCTTTGCTAGAAGGAGGTCATGGGATTCAGTGAAAATAGTTTCAGGTAGAGGAGGCTTGTATGTCTTTGAAGATGTTGAAAGAAAGTGCTACTGGGGTGGAAAATGCTGGAAGAAAAAAAAAAAAAGACTGGGGTCTGGGCGCTGTGGCTCATGCCTGTAATCCCAGCACTGTGGGAGGCTGAGGCAGGCAGATCATGAGGTCAAGAGATTGAAACCATCCTGGCCAAAATGGTGAAACTCTGTCTCTACTAAAAATACAAAAATTAGCTGGGCATGGTGGCCCGCGCCTGTAGTCCCAGCTACTCAGGAGGCTGAGGCAGGAGAATCGCTTGAACCTGGGAGGCAGAGGTTGCAGTGAGCCAAGATCGTGCCATTGCACTCCAGCCTGGGCGACAGAGCCAGACTCCGTCTCAAAAAAAAAAAAAAAAAATACTGGGAAGTGCAGGGACAAATTCTGAGAGGAAGCAATGTGAAAAACAGTGGAACCCAGGGTATAGGACACAAAGGTAAAGTCCTGGAGACAGACATTTCTGTCTTGTTGACCTCACACATCTCGCTGCCCTAGCACATAACAGCTACTTGGTACATATTCATCAAATAGTGGGATGAGTGGATGGATTGCATTGGGCAGTAGAAAGGAAGAGAACTTTATTTGTTGAATGAACTGTATGATAAATGCTTTATATTAATGGTCTCACCATTTATAACTATGCTGTGAGTTAGGTGGTAAACAACTGTTGGCTTAAGTAACTCATCCAAGGCTTCATGGTTAATAATTCCATGCTTGTGGAATGCTTTCTACCATATAACCCTGCTTCCCTTGAAACTCATTCCTGGGAATCTTTGGTGTGGTAGAAGACAAAAGTTATGCGGAAATTGAATGGTACCCATGGAGGTTTGGAATAGCCATGTAGCTAAGATGGGAGCAGTAAAAGCTTTCTGGACGATGTCAAGGGCTCGTTTGAAGATATAGACTGAATTTAGGGGACATTTTCTCCAGTGATACTCTGAGATGCAGGGATAGGAAAAGAGAACACAGAAGTGGAGGTGGTTCTTGGCTAGCAGTAACTCCCTGTGAGTTTGGTGGATTTGAGAAGTCTTCAGTGTCAGTGAGCTTACTGAAGTGACTGCTGGTGGAGTCTAAACCTAATGGGGAGAGAAGTCTACGGATGAGGAGCACTTTGGGAGTATCCACTGGTTGTTTAATAACTGGGGAGCTTATATGTTCACCACCATTTGTAATTCGTTCAGTGCTCAGTTTAATTAAAGTTGTAATCTAATAAACAAAACTTTGAAAATTGTCTTTAAACATTTAACACTGAGCAGTTTCGACTGCAGTTTTGGATATGGTTTGATTTGTTCAAAAAGCTCCAGTGCTTTAGACAAACATATACAAATACTTTGACTCCAAAGTTATTACTGCACTTACATTTAAACCTACTCTAAAATAGCAGCAACTCGGCCAGGCGCAGTGGCTCATGCCTATAATCTCAGCACTTTGGGATGCCAAGGTGGGGAGATCACCTGAGGTCAGGAGTTCAAGACCCGCCCGGCCAAGATGGTGAAACCCTCTACAAAAATACAAAAATTAGCCAGGCATGGTGGCAGGCACCTATAATCCCAGCTACTCAGGAGGCTGAGGCAGGAGAATCGCTTGAACCGGGGAGGCAGAGGTTGCAGTGAGCCGAGATAATGTCATTGCACTCCAGCCCGGGAGACAGAGCGAGACCCTGTCTCAAAAAAAACAAACAAAAAAATGCAACAACTCAGTGTAATTAATATTTTCAGTGTGTCTACCTTCCTAGAATTATAACATTACTTATTACATTACATTAGCTTATACTAACTTTACTTAGCACATTATTCTAAATGTGTTACATGTGTTACCCTATTTAAGCATCAAGATAACTGCAAGAGATATTACTTCCGTTATTCCAGTTTTGCAAACAGGCAGACTGAGACAGGTTAAGAAACTTTCCTGAGGTAGCACCGGTAGGAAGAGGCAGAGGTGGATTTTGATTTCAGGCAGTCTGTCTCCAGAGCCTGTACTCCCAATGACTACACTTTCCTGTATCTCTAAATGCTAATTTTGACTTATTTCTAGGGCCTAAGGGTAATATTTGGATACCCTCTTGTGATGGACGAATCTTAACAGACCAAAAAGGAAAAGAATACTTTTAGACAATACACGTTGCATGCTCTGGTTATCAATTGACATGTCTTTGTTTCTGTTTGTGTTTATATCTGCCTCCTCCCAGCAAGATTCAAACCCTAATCTCTCCCCGTTAGGTTGGGGGTGTTTTTTGTTTATTAGTTTTTGCTTATACTTAGCTAAACTTGTTTTTCCAATAAGTTTTTGCTTTTCACGTAGTTTTTGCAAACTGGTATTCACCCTCAAGGTAATATTCTTTTAAAATTTTGCTTGGCCAGTGTGAACCCATTGTTAAATAACCCTGAGCTGTCTGGCAACTTTTAACTCTAAGCTATAATGATTTATTTTCATGAAAAGATAGCATAGGTAACAGACCAATAGACTAGAACAGAAAATCCCCGAATATCCAAGAATATGATAGACCTGTTATAGAATAGAGTTAAATGCTACCAAACAGACCAGTAAATATCTATTGATCTGGTCTTTTGACATTTTTGAAAACTTAGTTGTTCCTTATTTTTGTGTTTGATTCATAAGTCTAGCTGTAGGGAGACATATCCTAAGGGAGAAAGGATGAAGTCTGCACAGTTACTATGCTTCTTTGGAAGCAGAGGTTGGTTCATTGTTAGTAGAGCCCATTTCTCTTTCTACTTGATACTTACGTGTGGCCCCAGTACTGATTAGTCCTCCCTGTTTGGGGTATGTAGTTCTGTATCTAGAATTACCTGGTTTATTCCCATTCCAAATTTCTTTTTACATACTTATATGAGTAGATACAAGTATCTATCCTGAGGGTACATCTATAGTCATACAATTAATAGAAAAAAGTACCTTTTTATGTAAGTAAAGTTTTAAACATTGCCTTCCTTGTATTACAACTTTTATGGCATATTTTATATTAACTTTTCTATTTTGAATATGAAACTCATAGTCCTTCAAAGTTCAAATTATTTTATTTAGCGCTAGTGATTTTTATTATTTATCTGGCCAGTGGGAGCCAGAGTCATCTGAGTTTTCTTATTCAAAGATGTGGGGTCGGCTCAAATTCTGAATGTCCAAAACTGTACTCATTGGTTTTCCCTTCAGTCCTTCTCTGTACCTTATCTCCATGAACGGCATCGTTATCCATGCCGCATTGGTAACCCGGGCGTCATCTTTGCCCTCATCACCTTCAGCCTCTTCTTCCAGCCAGTGTATTGTCTGTTTTTCTTCTTCTTCTTTTTTTTTTTTTTCCCCGACTCAGAGTCTTGCTCTGTCACCCAGGCTAGAGTGCAGTGGTGTGATCTCGGCTCACTGCAACCTTTGCCTCCCGGGTTTGAGCGATTCTCCTGCCTCAGCCTCCCAAGTAGCTGGGATTACAGGTGCCTGCCACGGTGCCTGGCTAATTTTTGTATTTTTAGTAGAAACAGGGTTTCACCATCTTGGCCAGGCTGGTCTTGAACTCCTGACCTCGTGATCCACCCGCCTCGGCCTCCCAAAGTGCTGAGATTACAGGCGTGAGCCACCGCACCCAGCCTGTCTGTTCTTAATAGCTTGACAGCAGTTTCCAACATTTCTGCTTTCACAGCTTTCATTCAGTTTGTCATCTTTCTTATTTAATTATAACACTCTCCTCAATGGTCTACTCACCTCCATTCTTTCCTTCCTGTAATCCCATCACACCACAGCCACTCAGTGTGGCGTGGCCACCTGTGTTGGGGTCCCCAGGATCACCCCAGGTTCAGGGATTCACTAGAAGGACTCAAGACTCGACCCATAGTTGTACTTCTGGCTAAGAGTATGATGATGACCCTGCAAGGATAGGCAGCCAGATCATAAGGGGAAAAGACAAGCCGGGTAGAGGAATCCGTATATAGGCTTGCTTCTATTCTCTTTCTCCCATGTGGGTGTCACATGGAGCACACTCCTTCCCCCAGCAACGAAAATGCAGCAACAAGTGTGATGTCTCTGCTCAAGGAAGCTCATTGGAGACTCAGAGCCCATGTTTTTTATTGAGGGCTAAGTCACATAGGCACCGTCTGCCTAACACATACCAAAATTCCAGACCCTCCAATAGGAGAGCACATGTTCACCATAAACGACATTGTTTGCACAAATAGTTTAGGCATAGTAGACCACCGTTATCTCTTAGGGAACTGGGGAACCCTCTCAAAATCGAAGTTTCCAGCTGCCAGCGAAGGGCCAGCATGCAAGCAGAACTTTCTAGGAATAGCAGTCTCAGGTCTGCTGTGACTTTTCTGCACACCACCCTTCTTTCCTTCCTGTTATTTTTTTCTGTACACCAAAATAAGGACTTACTCTTGTTGAAAAAAATATATGAAGAATGGTAAGAAAATAAAAATAACTTATAACTCACCACTCAAATTTCATTTACATTTTATTATGTGTTTTTCCTTTTTCTATACATAATGTGCATGTACAAATATGTAATTTTAAAAGTGTGCATTCTTCAAGTGTTTTGAATTTCTTTGTGGTTTTTTTTTTTTTTTTTAGATGGAGTCTCACTCTGTCACCCAGGCTGGAGTGCAGTGGCGTGAGCTCAGCTCACTGCAACCTCTGCCTTCTGGGTTCAAGCAATTCTCCTGCCTCAGCCTCCAGGGTAGCTGGCACTACAGCCACGTGCCATCATGCCTGGCTAATTTTTGTATTTTTAGTAGAGACGGGATTTCACCATGTTGGCCAAGCTGGTCTTGAACTCCTAACCTCAAGTGATCCACACGCCTCGGTCTCCCAAAGTGCTGGGATTACAGGTGTGAGCCACTGCACCTGGCCGTTCTTTGTGGTTTTTTTTCAGTTGTTGATTTTTTTTTTTTTTGTAAGAAACAAAGCATTACAGATAAAGCTGAAGTATCCTGGGTATCCTTCCCCAGTCTTATTTCCCTTTCTTCTCAGATATGTACACATTTGCTGCTTATTGTCCCATGTGTTAATAGATTTTTGTAGGTATTATTTACCTGTTTTTAAATTTTATGTAAATATTATACAGTAAGTCATTCTATAACTTATTTTTTGCCCAGTAATTATGTTTTTGTAATTTATCTCTGTTAACATGAGATAATGTATAATATTCATATATAATGTATAATACACATATTCATATATAATATTCATATATGAGATAATGTATATATATTCACAAATCCTTTATCTGATTAATGGACATTGAAGTTGTTTGCAGTTTATCACTAGTGATCTTCTCCCCAGTGACTTGTAATGCCACCTCAGTCATACATCAGGCTTCCCTAATGTTTGGATATGTTTTGGGATTTTCTGTTCTAGTCTATTGGTCTGTAATTGATGTGGCTATCTTTTCATGAAAATAAATCATGGTAGCATGAAAGTTAAAACCTCCCAGGCAGACATGGTTTCAAGTTCTACCTCAGATTCTTACAAAGCCTTAATTTCCTAATCTGTAAAATAGTGCCTACCTTATTGATTTATGAGGATGGAGTTAAATTAGCCTTATAAAAAGCACTTAGCACAGTACCTGGCAAATAGAAAATACTCAATAATGCTAGTTGTTATTAAGATGATGGGTTTTTTTGTTTTGGTTTGGTTTGTTTGAGATGGAGTCTTGCTCTGTCGCCAGGCTGGAGTGCAGTGGCACGATCTTGGCTCACTGCAACCTCCGCCTCCCAGGGTCAACCAATTCTCCTGCCTCAGCCTCCCAAGTAGCTGGGACTAAAGGCACACGCCACCACGCCCAGCTAATTTTTTTGTATTGTTAGTAGAGACTGGGTTTCACCATTTTGGCCAGGATGGTCTCCATCTCTTGACCTCATGATCCGCATGTCTTGGCCTCCCAAAGTGCTGGGATTACAGGCGTGAGCCACCGTGCCAGGCCAAGATGATGTTTAATAGTGTTCCATTATATGTATGGACTGGGCCATAAATTATTTAACCAAGTCTCCAGATGTTTAAGGTATTTCAAATTTTTGCTGCCTTATTGAAAAGATTAAATGAGATAATACATATAAAGTGCTTAGGAAGTGCCCTGGAACATAGCTGTCAATAAGGGTTAGTGTTAATGATGAGTCATAAAAAGCTGTGTATATATCATATATCATTACTTATTTCCTAGTATAAATTCCTAGGAGAGAATTGCTGGGTCAAACAGTATGTTTCAAGGCCCTTGCTATAAGTCACAGTGATTTTTTAAAGCACGGATGTGATGACATGTCCACACCCAAATCCTTCAGTAATCTCCATGCCTGTGGAGAAAGGGCCATGCAAAGCTCTCCTCGATGAAACTGGCCTCTGCCTACCTCTTTTCCCTCATCTTCCCCACAGCACTGCTCACAGCCTAGACTTCTACCATTCTAAGCTAATTTTTGTTGTTAATCCTTTCCATGTAAAGACCTGCCTCCTTCTTTTTGAAAAACTTGAGGTTTTTTTCTCAAGATTTAGAATGTTCTAGCTCCTCCCACAAATGAAAACTTAGCTTAGATCCCACTCCTGTCAAGAAAGCTGCAGAGTTCCTCCTTCCATCCCTCCCTGCTGGGTTAGGTGAGCCTCTGAGGTGCTCTCATGGATTGCTGTGCATATCGCTTTGCTGCTCTTAATGCATCCTGGAGTGAAATATTATCTCATTTACTTGTTTGTTCTCTGTGCTAAGCTATAGCTTCTGGAGGACAAAGACAGTGTCTGACAGTTTTTCTGTGCTTGATGTAAGTAGTTGGTGCTGAATAAATGCTGGTTGAATAGAAGGATGAATGAATGAGTCACAAGAAGCAGTGACCATATCCCCTTGACTGTTGGAGAATGGTCAGTGCACCGCAAATATGCCTTTTCCTCCTCCTCACCAGGACCACACCATCTCCCAGCCACCATAAATCCCAGAAATGTGGGATTTAATGCTCTTGTTTTATTTTTATATTTTTTTATTTTTATAGAGACAGAGGTCTTGCTATGTTGCCCAGGCTGGTCTTGAGAACTCCTGGCCTCAAGTGATCCTTCCACCTCGGCTTCCCAAAGTGCTGGGATTACAGACATGTGCCACCGTGCCTGGTCTGTTGTTTTAATTAGACTCTTGATTGTGAAAAACTGAGACTTAGCTAATCCCAGTAAAGGGAATTAGTGATAAGATCTTGCACAGAGCCCAAGAGAGTTAGAGTATTATGGCAATCTATGAATAAATAAGGATGGTTTGCATGGAAATTGGAGCCCATGGGTGGTGCTAGGCGAGGTGAGGGCTTCCCCAGGAATTCTTAGGTCTTTGCGTCAGTGTTTCACCGCTGATGGGACTGCGCTGGGCTTCCCCCTGCCTGCCTCTGGTCCCGTGGTCTATTATGACCTTTTCTCTACCTTGTACCTCCCATGTGCCCATGGGTTCTGCTGCTGGTAACTTTGGTTCCCCGATCCTTGTGGCTGCTTCAGGACGTCCTTTCATGATATCCTTTCAGCTCGTCACCCACTTGTCCTGACATTTCTTAGTTCACATTCCCAAGGAAGGATGTCATCTTTTCAAGCCAGATCACATCTCAATCTACTAGTCATGTGTGCATTACCCACCTGTGGCCTAATCAGTGTGGCTCCGGGAATAAGACACAGGGTCACATGGTACAAAACCTGGCTGCCCAAGGGATGCTCCTTTAGCAAGGGCTATGAGTGGGGTATTTTTCCTTTGAAGAGACTGGATTGTCTTTGATATGTCTTGTCCATGTAGTCATTTATAAAATTGCTAATGGCTTTTGCCCAGTAATCATTCAGGGCAATATTGAATGTGAATTTTTACGTACTGTGTGAATCTTACACAGTTCTTGACTCTCAGGAACAGAACTCTGCCTCTAGCATCGTGGTAAAAACCACCACCACATTGTGGTCTAATTCGCAGTTCCATGGTTGTTGGCTCTAATTCTGGGGTGGTCTGGGATTGTTCCTGGCTTTGCTTTACTTAGACCCCCTTTTGTAAGGTATTGAGGATGACATATCCCCCTGGTATGTGCTTCATGGGTCAAAAGACTATGCGACAGGACTGGTCTTTCTCCTACCTTCTTTCTCACCCCCCACTTCTGCCTCATTAGGACTCTGCCCTTGTCCACAAGGAGAGCACACAGGAGAGAATGGCTGCTGTGTCTCCGACCACCAGATGCCAGGTGAGGTGGACTTTTGTGTTCCCGAAATACTCCATTCATCTCCAGAATGTAACCACTTTTCTTTCTCTATCCTGGAGCCTCTTTGAGCAGACCCAGCCAGGCAGATGAAGGACTCCACAGGGAGTATTTCTTTCCTATTTGACTTGAGGTATCCTTTAGTGACCTTTTCTTGCTGTGAGCATGTGCCCATTAGCTTGTCACCAGGCTTAACAACTCCTGGAGCCTTCACTGTGAGTGATTTTGCCTAGAAGCCAATGGTAGGGTCTGATTGGAAGGTTTGGGGAATAGTGGGCTGGTTCTGGTCCTGACAGTCCCTTTGGTACATTCATGTGTGGACTGAGAGGAGGCTCCAGTGTTCCAGGGAGTGTGGGGCTAGGCTGGGGCGTGTGATACACACTGTAGAGCACCTCTGTGGGGTGCTAAGAGCCCTGAAGAGAGTCTCCTGTGCTAGAGACTGTGTGGCTTGCTCCATTCCTGCCCGAGGGCAGAGTCTTAAATTCTGCATCCTGGCCTAGAACTTTTGCAGACACACTGGAGACTCATCTGAGGTTTTAGAACTGAAGGTAAAGAGATGCAATCTTACAGAATCACAGAGCATTAGAATGAAATGAGAGGGATCCTACAGATGATCTAATCAACACCATTATTCTAAGGATTTGTAAAAAAAAAAAGACAATTGGTGAAATTTGAGTAAGATTGTAGATTAGATAATAGTATAAGATCAATGCTATTTTCTCCATTTTTTATAGTTATACTGTGATTATAACAACAGTACATCCTTGTTTTTACAAAATACACACTGAAATATTTAGGATTAAAGACACATGATGTTGACAAGTTAGTCAAGAGGCCTAACAAAAAGATAGGAGAATGTGTATCTAGAGAGAGACAGAAAAATAAAGTAAATGTGGAAAATGTTGACAGTTGAGGAAGCCAGGTGAAGGGTACACAGGAATTTTTTTGTGCTGTTTTTAGAAGTCTGAAAAAAGAGTCTGATATTCAGAAGCTCAGCTG
Source organism: Homo sapiens (assembly GCF_000001405.40). NCBI lineage: Eukaryota > Metazoa > Chordata > Mammalia > Primates > Hominidae > Homo > Homo sapiens. The sequence continues at coordinate 95,177,274 of NC_000002.12, forward strand.
TAAGTATAGTGGTGTGAGATTCTGACCAAGAACTTCATGTCTTGGGTGATGAGGCCACTTTTCCCAAATGCTTTAAAGTTCTACTCAGTCAGAACTGTTTTTCTTTCCTCCCACCATGCGTCCTCCAGGGCTGTCATCTTTGACATTTTTGGTCTGGTCCAAGTAAAGAGAAGGATTAAGAGTAAGGGAGAATGTGATTGTATTTTCAGGAATCAGTGACATTCGAAGACGTTGCCGTGGTTTTCACAGATGAAGAGTGGAGTCGTCTGGTCCCCATACAGAGGGACCTCTACAAGGAGGTGATGCTGGAGAACTATAACAGCATTGTGTCATTGGGTAAGGGGAGCCTCCATGAGGAGGTACAGTCTGTACTATGCTAATGTGGGGCTGAGAGGGCTGAGGAATTAATACCGTTCTCCTCCCCGCTGAGTTCTGAGCCACCTGAGAGATAAAGTAAGAGTCGAAAGATGTGGCATCAGAGTACAGCAACGGCGGGCTCAATACTGAACCCCAGCATTGGGCAGACATGCCTCCCCAGCCATGGGCAGTGCTGGATGACCATAGGCTCTCTCGCTCAGCAGCCTGCCCGGCAAAATTCAGGGAGGGCCAGCGAGGGCTGAGGGACAGAGCGGAATGTGTGTTAGAGGCAGGGAGCTGGCGCTCCAGAGGGGCAGGCAGAAGACGCTGAGTTTCATATGCCCAGTTCTCCCAGTTCGCCAGTTAGGTAACTCAGCTCACCCAGAGGAGTGTGCGCTGGGGTAGGGGGCCATCTTGTCGGAATTCAGGGTTGTGCCTCTGAGGTCACCAGATATATGTTTGATTTTGAATATTTGTCTTAGGTACAGTCTTAGATGCTCACAGAAGACACTTTGTAATTATAGAGACTTGTGTGACAAAGAGAAAGTTAAGAGTCACTGCTGATTCTGGTGTTAGTGAAAAGTAAAGTTGGGCTCCTGGAGGTTATGAGAACCTTTCAGGAGCTTCACGAGAGGCTGAGAGAGTGCCCAGATTGAGAAACCGGCTTAAAATAAGCAGCAGATGGCAGTAAAAGGAGTCACATTGCAGATTTCCTACGAGGCAGGTCAAAAAGTAAGTGCTAACACCCCCCAGATTAACTTAATCAGGCCAATTGTCTCCCAAACAGAATGGAATATTCAGGAGGCATCAAAGGAGCATTTGTTACAGGCTTTAGTAGATGGCATATTGAGGAAAATAGAACCCCTGAGGTCAGGGACAGAGAGCCACAGGGAGATGCTGGGTGTGGCCGTTTTGTCAACAGAGAATCCACAGAAAACCCGGTAGACAATCCTTGGGCCCAATAAGAAAGTGCCTCTTTCCCAAGTTGGGGCCTCAGCAAAAGGGAAGTTTAGAGCCCAAGCCTATTTCCAGGATCTATTTTTTAATATAACCAAAAATGGATAGATTTGCTTCAGGGAATTTATCCTAAGGAAATAATAGGACTAGTAGTCCATGGTGTATGCAGATGTTCATCACACTATTGTTTGTTAATAGCAAAACGTTAAAAATGGTCTAAATTTCTATCATAAGGGAATTCATTAAATAAATTATGTTATCCATACAATGTCATATCCCGTAGCCATTACAATGGTGAGGTAGATCAGTACTGATATAAATAAAATGGTATTTTAAATTTATTGTGTGAAAAAAAATCAGCTTTACAAATCAGCGTCATTTCATTATCCAGGTTTGGTTTTTTTTGTTTTTTTTTTTTTTTTGAGACAGAGTCTCACTCTGTTGCCTAGGTTGGAGTGCAGTGATGCAATCTCGGCTCACTGCAACCTCTGTCTCCAGGGTTCAAGCAATTCTCGTGCCTCAGTCTCCCAAGTAGCTGGGATTACAGCCATGGGCCACCATGCCCTGCTAATTTTTGTATTTTTAGTAGAGACAGGGTTTCACCATGTTGGCCAGGCTGGTCTTGAACTCCTGACCTCAGGTGATCCACCCATCTCGGCCTCCCAAAGTGCTGGGATTACTGGCAGGAGCCACTGTGCCCAGCCTCATTATCCAGTTTTTAACAGAATGTATTTATGGGTGTCTTTGGATATCTGAATAGAAAGAAAGAAAATACACTGTAGGCAAGGTGATTTTTTCTTTTTGCTTGTATACACTTCTAATTTTCCTAGAATGCACCGGACAGACTTGTTTCAATGAAAGCACAATGTTCAAGGCAAACAAATAAACAAAAATGGGCAGTTTGGATACACTTTTTACTCAAGGTGACTTAATTTCATTCTCATCTCTCCTAAGCCAACGACCTTCATCCTACCAGTGCTAACACTGGGAACTTCCCATTCACTTCACAGGGAAGAATAAACACGTGAATCTACACGGGTTCTCTCAACCTTCTGACCTTGTGCCACTTGCTCCTTTTATAGCCTCAGTCCTGGCCTCCGTCCAGAGGTTCCTCTGCTTTGGACTCTGCATTCTTGGCTTGTGCGTTCTGCCTTTTGCATTTTCTCTCTAAAAGACTTAGATGCTGTGGCCAGGCTCAGTGGCTCATGCCTGTAATCCCAGCTCTTTGGGAGGCCGCGGCAGGTGGATCACCTGAGGTCAGGAGTTCGAAACCAGCGTGGCCATGATGGCAAAGCCCCATCTCTACTAAAAATACAAAAATTAGCCAGGTGTGGTGGCACCCGCCTATAATTCCAGCTACTTGGGAGGCTGAGGCAGGAGAATCACTTGAACCTGGGAGATGGAGGTTGCAGTGAGCCGAGATCAGGCCACAGCATTCCAGCCTGGGCGACAGAGTGAGATGCTGTCTCAACAACAACAAAAAAATCTTAGAGGCTGGGATTGAGCTTTGGGAGAGTGATATTATTTTCATCACACACAGCCACCTGCTTTGTTTCTTTCTCTTTGAGCAGGCCTTCCAGTTCCTCAACCTGATGTGATTTTCCAATTGAAGAGAGGGGACAAGCCGTGGATGGTAGATCTTCATGGGTCTGAGGAGAGAGAATGGCCAGAGAGTGTCTCTCTAGGTAACTGAGTGTGAACAAGACAGAATGGAATTTTGTTTGGCTTTTTGTTATTTGGGTGATGGGGGAAATAACAGGTATCATCTTTCTCTCAAATTCAAGTCTTCTGCTTTATTATTTATTGTATATCACCCAATAGCTTTTATTTTTTTCCCTCTACACCTTAACGTGTTATTCATCTATATTCACCAAGTGTTACTTTCTCACGTCTGTAACGTTGTGCACTCACACTTTGCTATTTCTTTTTTTTTTTTTTTTGAGACAGAGTCTCGCTCTGTTGCCCAGGCTGGAGTGCAATGGCGCTATCTCAGCTCACTGTAACCTCCACCTCCCAGGTTCAAGCGATTCTGCCTGCCTCAGCCTCCCAAGTAGCTGGGATTACAGGCACCCGCTACCACGCCTGGATAATTTTTGTATTTTAGTAGAGATGGGGTTTCGCCATGATGGCCATGCTGGTCTCGAACTCCTGACCTCAGGTGATCCGCCCACCTTGGCCTCCCAAAGTGCTAGGATTACAGGTGTGAGCCACCATGCCCAGCCACACTTTGCTATTGCTATTGAGTGCCATCCTGTCTATTCGGCATGCTCTCCTGATTGTCCTGGCCATGCTCCCACTGGACATTCTCCTGTTTTCTGAGGTGTCCACCATCCATTCTGTTCCCTGCCACCTTCTTCACTCCCAGGTCTTAGTCCCTCCCTGCCGTGTAAGACTATCTATGGGAGCAAGCAATGCAGTGACCATACATTACTTTCAGACTCATCGGAGCATCTCTTCTTTCTGTAATATTTCCTAGCCCAGGAAAAAAACTGCATCTGTTTTCTGTTTGTTCCAGACTGGGAAACTAAGCCTGAGATTCACGATGCTTCAGACAAAAAATCAGAAGGATCATTGAGGGAATGCCTTGGAAGGCAAAGTCCTCTGTGTCCTAAATTTGAAGTTCATACACCCAATGGCAGGATGGGAACAGAAAAGCAAAGCCCTTCAGGGGAGACTCGTAAGAAATCCCTCTCCCGGGACAAAGGCTTGCGGCGACGGTCAGCCCTGTCCAGGGAAATTCTCACTAAAGAGAGACACCAGGAATGCAGTGACTGTGGGAAGACCTTTTTTGACCACTCATCCCTCACCCGCCATCAGAGGACTCACACTGGGGAGAAGCCCTACGACTGCCGCGAGTGTGGGAAAGCCTTCAGCCACAGGAGCAGCCTCAGCAGACATCTGATGTCACACACTGGGGAGAGCCCCTACGAGTGCAGTGTGTGCTCAAAAGCCTTCTTTGACCGTTCGTCCCTAACTGTCCATCAGCGAATTCACACTGGAGAGAAACCCTTTCAGTGCAACGAGTGTGGAAAAGCCTTTTTTGACCGTTCATCCCTTACTCGACACCAGAGAATTCACACTGGAGAAAGTCCTTATGAATGTCATCAGTGTGGGAAAGCCTTTAGCCAGAAAAGTATTCTTACTCGCCATCAGCTAATCCACACTGGCAGGAAGCCTTATGAGTGTAACGAGTGCGGGAAAGCTTTCTATGGTGTCTCGTCTCTGAATAGACATCAGAAAGCTCATGCTGGGGACCCTCGCTATCAGTGTAACGAGTGTGGCAAAGCTTTCTTTGACCGCTCATCCCTTACACAGCATCAGAAGATCCACACTGGAGACAAGCCATATGAATGCAGCGAATGCGGGAAAGCCTTTAGCCAGCGGTGCCGGCTCACGCGGCATCAGCGTGTCCACACGGGAGAGAAGCCCTTTGAATGCACTGTGTGTGGGAAAGTTTTCAGTTCAAAATCTTCTGTTATTCAACATCAACGGCGTTACGCCAAACAGGGAATAGACTGAGTTGGGCAAAAGCTTGGGTAGGACAAGAACTTCCATACAAATTTGAGATAGATCTCGCCTGTCTTAAAGCTGCCATTTGCTCATTCTACCCACTCTGGCTGCCGTTGTCCTGTCCTGCTTCTGCGCCAGAGTGTTTAATAAGCACTCCCTTCCTGCTGTGTTATAGAACTGTAGGGGAGGCCATGGAAATGACTCTAAAGATACAAAATTTTGAAGAGGTTTGTCAGACAATAGGATAGATGTTAGGAGGAGACACACCTCTTGTCTGAGAACCTAGGCCCCAGGTATCACTGCACTTTAAGAAACTGGAGGCTGCAACAGGAGGGAAAGGCAGAATGATATCACAGCAGTACTATTTTTTTTTTTCAGAACATTTGTTTTGATGGCTGTTAGTCCCCCTCTCTTGGAGCATTTTGGGGCACTAATCTTGTTCTCTTGTGTCCCAGCTTTTAGACCTCTTACTTCCACTGCTAGTAGCTAGCACTTACTGAGCACCTGCGATGAGGTAAAGACTCAGCTAAGGGTTTTACAGGAAGTAGATTAATTGATCCTGTCACCAACCATATGAAGTAGGCACTGTTACCATCTGCATCTCCAGATGAGCACCCTGAGGTTTAGAGAGATTAAATCACTTGCCCAAGGTGAACCAGCTGGTAAAAGGTGATGCCAGGTCTTGAAGACAGGTCCACCTTCAAAATCTATTCTCTTTACCATTATGCTCGATGGTTTGTTTGTTTTATAATTTATGTATATGTATTATCCTCTCAACTAGATTGTAAGCACTTGGAGGTGTGACTTACAGGTCTTTGTATCTCACACAGTGCCTTGCTAATAGGTGCTCAATAAATATTTATATGAGTGAATGACTTTTCTACTTACCAAATTCTCTCCATTCAGAACACCTCTTGGATTTGCATACTTTCTCTGAATTCACAGCCCAGCCTATACTTTTATCATCCCCAGCTCCCACTCCTGGCAGCAGTAGCTTTCTAATTCCAGTTCTTCCTGCTTTATTGAAGAGGGATGTGCTAAGCTGTGGTACAGTAACAAGCCCGCAGAGAGCTATGTCTCCCTTAAAACCTGACGGGAACCATTCTGTCTTATTCTATCCTCATTATTTGGAACATCTGGCTTCCAAAGTCACCACAAGGGCGGAAGAGAAAGCTAGAGGAATTTGTAGGATATTTTCTTAGACCCAGGCTTACATCACTTCTGTCCACATCTAATAAGCCAGAACCCAGCACCTAGAAGCTAGGAAAGTAAACAAGCACCTCGAAAGTTGGTTAATACCAAGAACCTCTCTCACAGTTATATTTTGCATACTACTGTTAAGCCAGTCTTTGCAAATGACCCCTTCCTGCCCATCACTGCCTTCCTCAAGACCTAAAATAGCTCCCTATTTAGTGAAAAATTATCTGAATATTTAAGGTCTGCCTTAACGTGATCCCCATTGCTGAATTTTACCTCCTGACTCCAAAAACTCTTCTCTTCCCTGGGCCCAGTCCTATTTTTTTTTTTTTTTTTTTTTTTGTGAGACAGAGTCTCACTCTGTCACCCAGGTTGGAATGCAATGGCACAATCTCCGCTCACTGCAAGCTCCGCCTCCCGGGTTCACGCCATTCTCCTGCCTCAGCCTCCCGAATAGCTGGGACTACAGGTGCCCGCCAACACGCCCGGCTAATTTTTTGTATTTTTAGTAGAGACGGGGTTTCACCGTGTTAGCCAGGATGGTCTCAATCTCCTGACCTCGTGATCCGCCCGCCTCGGCCTCCCAAAGTGCTGGGATTACAGACGTAAGTCACCGTGCCCGGCCTATATTTTTATTTTATTAAAGGTTAGGCACTAGATGACCTTGACTCTAGGCATCTGCATTCTCTTGATCTTTGCTTAGGGTGAAGCTCAGAAAAGGACTTGGTTCTGAAAGGCTGTCTGGAATTAGATTGTCCTACGTGATTCCCAGTGAATTGAGATGAATTTCCTCTGGAAGTTCAAGTCGGATTCGAGAAGCTGAATTACCAAACAGACCCTCCCCAACCTACTAACGACCCTATTACTCTGTTCACCCTAGAGCAGACGAACGGCAGGGAAGACTTGATCTGTGGACTTTTGAAAGCAACTTGAGGAAAAACACATAACAGAATCTATAGGTGTGGACAATATGTGATATTGCTAAATAATGTCAAGTAGGAAATAAAAGAGACTATTGACAAACTTTTGGCTGATGACTGTCCCTGGGAGTTCTGAATTTTTACTGCCTTGTTAAAAGTAAATTGAGGGTCAGGTATTTCTCTAATACATTCTACCATTTTCAGCAAGATGAGATTGGAACAAATTTAGGATTCCAATGGACATCTTTTTTACTCTATTATCCTTAGAAAAGATACCAATGGACTTTTGAGCACAGTAGTAATGGAGACAGAGTGGGGATATGGATTTGATAGTTTTCTCTTTGTTTCCCATTTAAATTTGGTTATCAGAGCTTTTTTTTTTTAATGTGGATACTGTTCCACTTCCTTCTAAAAACAGGAAATGGCCATTTTACCTTTTAATTAATATCTCCCAATATGGCATGTAGTAGTGGAGACCTTAAATTTTGAGGTATTGGCTTCACCTAATGGCCATTAGTAGGATGAAACCTTGGAATTAGAAATTGATCAAATTGGAAGAATATCAGCATTCTTAAGGTATAAAGCAAAAATGACTGGATAGTGTTTGCAGGGGTTTGAGCCTCAAAGAAATGAAGTAATATCACTGATGTCAAGCTTTAAAAGGAGTTTCAAAGAAATAATATTACTGATGACAAGTTTTTGTTTTTTGTTTGTTTCATTTGAGACAGAGTCTCGCACTGTCGCCCAGGCTGGAGTGCAGTGGAGTGATCTCGGCTACTGCAACCTCCGCCTCCCAGGTTCAAGCAATTCTCCCACCTCAGCCTCCCAAGTAGCTGGGAATACAGGTGCCCGCCACCATGCCCGGCTAATTTTTTGTATTTTTAGTAGAGACGGGGTTTCACTATGTTGGTCAGGTTGGTTTTGAACGCCTGACCTCATGATCCACCCGCCACCACCTCCCAAAGTGCTGGGGTTACAGGTGTGAGCCACTGCGCCCAGCCAAACTCTAAGTTTTAAGAGAGAATTGAGTGCTTGCCACACAAAGGCACAGAAGCATTCCATGAATCAAAAGAAAGGTTGGCAATGATAGAGAATCTTGCGATGGAAAGAATATGGCAGATGGCAGAAAGCTGGGCACCGCAGCCTGGCACAGACAGTTGGCAGGCCCACCAATCCCAGAAATGCATCTGGGGTGTCATGATGCCAGGGGGCCAGTGGGAGGGTTGGCCAGCTTCTGGGCTCAGGCACACCCACCCCCTCCTCCTCAGGCCTGCATTTCTAAGAATAACCCCCTCTGCAAGTCTTACATAATAAATCACACAGAGCTGAAGAAGGAAGCAAAGATACCAGGTGCCAGCCATTAGACAAGATAAATATGTTCATTTTCAATAACCAGCTATAACCGATTCCTCAGGAAGTCTAAGAGATTGACTGCAGTGGATGTCAAGTTCCTAAGTGGTCTATGTTATTGAGGCAAGACTCCTGTGGTAAAAAGAAAGTTAAAGTAGGTATGTTGAGTTGGGTGATGGGGATCCTAGTGAGGGGGCTTCTCTGAAATGCTTTTACGAGGGTTTGAGTGGATTGGGAAATGTATAAACAGAGTGACCATTATAATTTGAAATCCGAAATGCTCCAAAATGTGAAGTTTTTGAGTGCTGAGCTAAAGTCACAAGTGGAAAATTCCACATCTGATCTCATGTGATGGGTCACAGGAAGATCAAGATTTAACGGGCGTGAAGACAGGACGAGACTTCAAAGGAGAAGGAGTAGATGGAGATAGAGAGGTCAGAGAAATGCCAGGGGACAGCCGTGTCACAGAAGTCAAAAGATTTTCAAGAAAGAGGGAATGGTCAAAAAGCACTCAAAGTTGCCAAGTAATCAAGGAAGACAAAGCCTGAGAAAGCTCCACTGGAGTTTATCAGTGACATTTAGCAGTGATATTTACAGAGTTAGAAAGATGATGATATATTGCGAAATGATAAAAGCAGGTTACAAAATGTTTGGAACTTGAATACATTTACAATATAGTTCCATATATATGCATGGAAAAAGAAGGACCAACACCAAGATATTACCCCTAATTATCTTTGACTAGAAAGCTTATATACTTTTTCTTTTTCTTTTTTTCTTTTTCCTTTTTTTGTTTTTTGAGATGGAGTCTTGCTCTGTCGCCCAGACTGGAGTGCAGTGGCACGATCTTGGCTCACTGCAACCTTCGCCACTCAGGTTCAAGCAATTCTCCTGTCTCAGCCTTCCCAGTAGCTGGGATTACAGGCATGTGCCACTACACTCAGCTAATTTTTGGTATTGTTTTTCGTAGAGACGGGGTTTCACCATGTTGACCAGGATGGTCATGAACTCCTGACCTCAGGTGATCCACCCGCCTTAGCCTCCCTAAATGCTGGGATTATAGGCATGAAGCACCATGCCAGGCCAGTTTATAACTTTTCTTTATCTCTCTTTTTTAAAAATTTTATTATTATTATACTTTAAGTTTTAGGGTACATGTGCACAACGTGCAGGTTTGTTACATATGTATACGTGCCATGTTGGTGTGCTGCACCCATTAACTCGTCATTTAGCATGAGGTATATCTCCTAATGCTACCCCTTCCGCCTCCCCCTGCCCCACAGCAGGCCCCGGTATGTGATGTTCCCCTTCCTGTGTCCATGTGTTCTCATTGTTCAATTCCCACCTATGAGTGAGAACATGCGGTGTTTGGTTTGGTTTTTTGTCCTTGCGATAGTTTGCTGAGAATGATGGTTTCCAGCTTCATCCATGTCCCTACAAAGGACATGAACTCATCATTTTTTATGGCTTCATAGTATTCCATCTCTTTTTTTTTTTTTTTTTTTTTGAGACATAGTCGCACTCTGTCACCAGGCTGGAGTGCAGTGGTGCAATCTCAGCTCAATGCAACCTCCACCTCCCAGGTTCAAGTGATTCTCCTGCCTCAGCCTCCCAAGTAGCTGGGACTACAGATGTGTGCCACCACGCCCAGCTAATTTTTTGTGTTTTTAGTAGAGGCAGGGCTTCACCATGTTGGCCAGGATAGTCTCAATGTCTTGACCTCATGATCCGCCCGCCTCGGCCTCCCAAAGTGCTGGGATTACAGTGTGAGCCACCGTGCACGGCCTATCTCCTTTTTATACTTCCTAGTTGTCTCCAGTGAACATGGAATGTTTTAAAATATTTTTAAAACTGCAAATAAAATGAGGAAGCACATTTTAAAATATATGGAGTAATGAACACCAAATTTAGTACAGTGGTTACCTCATGGAGGGGAAGAGAGGAGATGAGGGAGGGGCTTCAATCTTAGTGTTAATGTTTATTTCTTAAATTAGGTGGTGGGTCCATAGGTGTTTGCTTGTCTTTATGCTTCTTGTATGTCTTATGCATTTCATAATGCATTTAGAAACTAAATACAGAAAATGAAGACTTTATAAATTTCACTGTTACTTTTCTTTTTTTTTTTTTTTTTTGAGACAAAGTCTCGCTCTTGTCCCCCAGGCTGGAGTGCAGTGGTGCAATCTCGGCTCACTGCAACCTCTGCCTCCTGGATTCAAGCGATTTTCTTGTCTCAACCTCTGGGATAGCTGGGATTACAGGCGCCCGCCACCACGCCCAGCTAATTTTTGTATTTTTAATAGAGACAGGTTTTCACCATGTTGGCCAGGCTGGTCTTGAACTCCTGACCTCAGATGATCTGCCCACCTCAGCCTCCCAAAGTGCTGGGATTACAAGTGTGAGCCACTGCGCCCAGCCTATTTTACATTTTTAAAAGCCAAAGCCATCATAATTTATCTTTTTAAGGATTTCTAAAAAACTGTTCATTGATGTTTATAGTTGTGTTTTATATTATCTAAAACTCTTCCAGTTGAATTTGTATTTTCATCAAAATCAACAAAATTGCACAGAAATATAATTAACGGATACAAATTCATTATTTTTAAAGCTATAAAAGAAAATGGCTTCATGGGGTTGTTCCTGAGGTGTGGAACCTTCTCCATATTCCACTGCTCTAAGCCAAGAACTTTCCCTCAACCCACAAGAACACCAGGTCCACATGGGGGACATTCCCAGATATTCATCAGGGAAAGAACACGTGAACCACTTCAAAGAGACCTAACTCAGATTTTCTAGAAAGTTGCCCTGACTTCCCTTTAGAGAGCTGTGTATGTGATTCTGGAAAGTAGCATATGCTTTCTGGACAGTTTCATGTTCCCCCCTAGAAAGTAAGGCACTGCTACTAGACCCTGAGGTGGCCATGGGTTTCTATCCTAAACAGCCATTTCTCATTCTGTTCTTTGTGAACAGGACTTTTATTTCCTAAACCTGATGTGATTTTCCAGTTGAATGGAGGTGGAGAGCCATGGAAACTTGATATACAGGAAGGTGAAGTGAGAGAGGGTGCAGGAAGTACTTCTGTAGGCATGTGTGGATGGGCAGATGGGATTTAGTGGAAGGTTCACATAGAGACCCCTCCTTGGGGTCTCATAGGCCTATGGAGATGGTCATGGCCATACTGGGCCTTTGCTGCAAAAACTTGTGCTCCAGATAGCCACGTGGCTCTCTTGTCACCTTTTCCAAGTCTTTGCTCAGATGTGCCCCTTTCTCAGCCAGGCTTTCGCTGGCCATCCTGTCTAAAAACAGAACTCTCAGCCAGGCACGGTGGCTCACACCTGTAATCCCAGCACTTTGGGAGGCCGAGGCAGGTGGATCACTTGAGATCAGGAGTTCAAGACCAGCCTGGCCAACATGGTGAAACTCTGTCTCTACTAAAAAAATACAAAATTGGCTGGGCATAGTGGCTCATGCCTGTAATCCCAGCTACTTGGGAGGCTGAAGCAGGAGAATCACTTGAAGCTGGGAGCTGAGATCATGCCATTGCACTCTAGCCTGGGCGACAGAGTGAGACTCCATCTCAAAAATTAAAAAATAAAATAAAATAAAACATAACTCTCGCCATCCCTTCCACAACTCCCAGCCCCTGCACTCCCAGCTGTCTTCCCAGCTCTGTCTTCCTGACATTTTTGCTTTTTAATTTTGTTTACTGTCTGTACATACCTACCCCTAATTAAAATGTCAACACCACCAGAGATGTTTTGTTTTATGTTCTCGCCTACTGTCTCAAAACACTACCTGGTACACAGCACACACACAGATACTGTCAGATGAGTGAGAAAGTGGAGCTGTCTACAGCAAGGCCCTTCCTGTTTATTTTTCTTGGGGGTGGTAGTGGTGAGGGGTGAGGGTGGGAGAGGAGAGGGTTGAGACACACCTTTATTTCAACTCTGATAACACTTTCTCATCTTTCCTGCTTATTTATTTATTTATTTATTTATTTATTTATTTATTTATTTTGAGATGAAGTCTCACTCTGTCACCCAGGCTGGAGTGCAGTGGCATGATCTTGGCTCACTGCAACCTCCACCTCTTGGGTTCAAGCGATTCTCCTGCCTCAGCCTCCCAAGTAACTGGGATTACAGGCACCTGCCACCACGCTCGGCTAATTTTTGTATTTTTAGTAGACAGGGTTTCACTGTGTTGACCAGGCTGGTCTTGAACTCCTGACCTCAGGTGATCCGCCAGCCTCAGCCTCCCAAAGTGCTGGGATTACAGGTGTCAGCCACCATGCCTGGCTTCTCCTGCTTGTCTTTTACCATATGACCTTCCTTTTCCTTTTAGATCCACTCAGTAGTCACAGGCAGCTACTTTCCTAGGAGCTATCCTGTCTCCCTGCTTATTCCCTGAGTTTACACTCCTCTACCTGTAGCAAGCTGCCCTGGTCATTCCCTCTTCTATAGTTCTGTGCATATCTCCTATTTTTCTTCATATACCTCTTTTCGAAATGGCTGTTCACATGATTAACTTCTTTTGGCTGTTCACATGATTAACTTCTTTCTTTCAGATCTTAGTTTAAACATCAATTCTAGATGACCACTCTTAAGGATCTCTCTGAAGCCCCTACTCCAACTCCTACTCATTATTTCCTTCACTACACTCATCACCATCTGTTATAGTTTGTTTGTTTCTTTGCCATCTGTGTAGTAGAATATAAGCATCATGAGGGCAGGGACTCTGGCTGTCTTAGGCATTCGTGTTTCAGTGACTTACTGTGCCCAGCACTTAACAGGCACACTAAATGATAAATAGCTAATGCATGAATAACTGAAACGTGTTTAGTGGGCTAAATGCCCACTTTCCACTTCTAATCTCTATTTCTCTTTTCCTTTGCTATTTTTCACTCTGTCCCTGTTGTTTTTCTTTTAAGGAGCTACCAATCAATCAGCCAGTATTTTGTATTTGTTCTTAACACATACAATACTTTCTTCTTAACTAGCACTCAAAGCTTTGATCTCTATTTGCTATTTATTTTAGACCAGAAGACTAGATCTAAGAGCCAGGACTCCACTCAAAGGCAGGATGTTTCTAAAAAAATAAAATCACTAAATACATTAATGAAAAACTCTGAAAAGATTTTCCACTGGGTCCTGCACTTATCCCTGAAAAGCCTGAGCGCAGAAAGAAGAAAAACCATTCAGGGAAACGCTGAAGAAATCTGCGCCCAAGGAGAAGGACTGAGGCAAAGATCTACTCTTGCCAAGAAAACTAACAGTAAGGGGAGGAACTTTGAATGCAGCATGTATGGGAAGACCCCATATAACCACGTAGTCGTCACCCACCATCAGAGGACTCACAGTGGAGGAAAGCCCCATGACTGTCAGGAATGCAGAAAAGCCTTTAGCTGTAGGAGTCTTAAGAAAAACCTGATGTCAGCCAGTGGTTCATGCCTGTAATCCCAGAATTTGGGAGGATCACTTGCGCCTACGAGTTTGAGACCAGCTTGAGCAACATAGTGAGACCTTGTCTCTATAACATTAGTTAAAATCGAAAAAAGAAACACCTGATGTCACACACTGGGAAGAGCCCCTTTGAATGCAATGAAAACTTTCTACAACTGATTAACCCTTACTGGGCATCAGTGAACTCATACTGGAGAAAGTCCTTATGAATGCACAGAGTGTGGGGAATCCTTCAGTGGGAAAGTTATTCTGACTGGCCACAGCAAACCCGCCCTGGAGAGTGGCCCTAGGAATGCAGGGGTAGGGTAGAGCTCTGTTGTGTAGGGAAAAGAAAGAGAGATCAGACTGTCACTGTGTCTACGTAGAAAGGAAAGACATAAGAGACTCCATTTTGAAAAAGACCTGTACTTTAAACAGTTGCTTTGCTGAGATGTTGTTAATTTGTAGCTTTGCCCCAGCCACTTTGACCCAGCAACTTTGACCCAACTTGGAGCTCACAAAAACATGTGTTGTATAAAATCAAGGTGTAAGGGACCTAGGGCTGTGCAGGACGTGCCTTGTTAACAAAATGTTTACAAGCAGTATACTTGGTAAAGGTCATCGCCATTCTCTAGTCTCAATAAACCAGGGGCACAATGCACTGTGGAAAGCCGCAGGGACCTCTGCCCTTGAAAGCGGGGTATTGTCCAAGGTTTCTCCCCATGTGATAGTCTGAAATATGGCCTCGTGGGATGAGAAAGACCTGACTGTCCCCCAGCCTGACACCCGTAAAGGGTCTGTGCTGAGGTGAATTAGTAAAAGAGGAAAGCCTCTTGCAGGTGAGATGGAGGAAGGCCACTGTCTCCTGCCTGCCCCTGGGAACTGAATGTCTCGGTGTAAAACCCGATTGTACATTTGTTCAACTCTGAGATAGGAGAAAAGCTGCCCTGTGACGGGAGGCAAGACATGTTTACAGTAATACTGCCTTGTTATTCTTTACTCCACTGAGATGTTTGGGTGGAGAGAAACATAAATCTGGCCTACGTGCACGTCCAGGCATAGTAATTTCCCTTGAACTTAATTATGATATAGATACTTTTGCTCACATGTTTTCTGTTGACCTTCTCCTTATTATCACCCTGCTCTCCTACTACATTCCTTTTTGCTGAAATAATGAAAATAATAATCAGTAAAAACTAAGGGAACTCAGAGGCCGGTGCCGGTGCAGGTCCTTGGTGTACTGAGTGCCGGTCCCCTGGGCCCACTATTGTTTCTCTATACTTTGTCTCTGTGTCTTATTTCTTTTCTCAGTCTCTTGTCCCACCCGACTAGAAATACCCACAGGTGTGGAGGGGCAGGCCACCCCTTCATGTTGGACCATTCATCCCTCATTCGACACAGGACAGTGCACACTGTAGAGATGCATCCCGAAGATAATGAGGGTGGGAAGGTTTTCTTTATGGCTCGTCCCTTAATCAGCAACAGAAAATTCATAGTGGAGACAAGCCCTATGAATGCATTGAATGTAGGAAATCCTTCCTCCAGAAAAGATGGCTCATTCACCATCAGAGAGTGCACCCTGGAGAGAAGCTCCACGAGTGCAGCATGTGTGGGAAAGTTCTCAGTCGCAAGTCCTCTATCATCCAACATCAGTGATGTTTATGCCAAACAGGCTTCGGGGTACCATGGAGGTGCTTCAGCCAGACAAGCAGTCCCCAGAGAGACTTAGCATGTTTTTGTTCAAGGTAATGACGATTTATGTTTGAGCACCTTCTATCAACTGTGTGGGTGGCAAGCCACCCAGGCACCGAGGCAAGAGACAGAAGACACGAGCTGTTCCAGTATAATAAAATATAAAACAAGAATTGTTATACCAGATATAGATCTTAGATATGATTATATATGAGTATCATTAATCATTAGTTGGTAGCAATTACTTTTTATTCCAATATTATGATAATCCTCACTCAATAATCATAGCCTAGGAAAAACCAGGCCATACAGAGATAGGAGCTGAGGGGACATAGTGAGAAGTGACCAGAAGACGAGAGTGCGAGCCTTCTGTTATGCCCGGACAGGGCCACCAGAGGGCTCCTTAGTCTAGCGGTGACGCCAGCGTCTGGGAAGACGCCCGTCACCAAGCGGATCATGGTCCAGCAGTAGCAAAAGGTGTCAAGAAACAACACCCGCTACTTAGCAGACCGGGAAAGGTGGGGGGGGGGGGGGCGTCTCCCTTTCCCTGGGGGAGTTTAGAGAAGACTCTGCTCCTCCACCTCTTGTGGAGGGCCTGACATCAGTCAGTCTCGCCCGCAGTTATCCAGAGGCCTAACCGTCTCCCTGTGATGCTGTGCTTCAGTGGTCACGCTCCTAGTCCACCTTCATGTTCCATCCTGTACACCTGGCTCTGCCTTCCAGATAGCAGTAGTCAATTAGTGAAAATACTAATAGTCCCTGATATGCAGAAATAATGGTGTAAGCTGTCTTTCTCTTTGTCTCCTCTCCCTGTCTGCCTCGGCTGCCAGGCAGGGAAGGGCCCCCTATCCAGTGGACACGTGACCCACGTGACCTTACCTATCATTGGAGGTGACTCACATTCTTTACCCTGCCCCTTCTGCCTTGTATCCAATAAATAACAGCGCAGCCCGACATTCGGGGCCACTACCGGTCTCCGCGCATTGGTGGTAGTGGTCCCCCGGGCCCAGCTGCCTTTTCTCTTATCTCTTTGTCTTGTGTCTTTATTTCTACACTCTCTCGTCGCAGCACACAGGGAGAGACCCACCGACCCTGTGGGGCTGGTCCCTACACAACTGCTTATCCTTATGCCTCCATTTGGTACCACAGTCTTAATAAATAGTCTCAATTAACCATCCCATACACTTCATTGGGATATCTCAAATTTGAGATGATGCCTGGAGGATCCCCAAATTGGTCAGAAGCTCTCCAATCAATATGCTTTGCAGGTGTTTGAAGGAGACCCTAAGATAGGGAACAGACATATTATGTATTTATTTATCGCAAGGCTGAATGCTGCAGGAGAGCAAGAACTCCTTCATATCTGTGCATTGCTGTGTTCCCAGTGTGGGGCCTGGCACTCATCACGTATTTTCTTTCTTTCTTTCTTTTTTTTTTTTTTTGAGTTGGAGTCTTGCTCTGTCGCCCAGGCTGGAGTGCAGTGGCGCGATCTCAACTCACTGCAACCTCCCCCTCCTGGGTTCAAGAGATTCTCCCTGTCTCAGCCTCCTGAGTAGCTGGGACTACAGGCGCCCACCATCACGCCTGGTTAACTTTTGTGTTTTTACTAGAGATGAGGTTTCACCATATTGGCCAGGCTGGTCTCAAACTCCTGACCTCATGATCCACCCGCCTCAGCCTCCCAAAGTGCTGGGATTATAGGCGTGAACCACCGTGCCCGGCCTCATCATGCATTTTCTAAACGAATGAATACCTGAGAACTTGAGCCAAAAATCAAATGCACTTATACAACTAGAAACTTTAGTAAGAAAATAAACATCAAAGAAAATGTGGTACTTATACACAATGGAGTAGTATTCAGCCATAAAAAAGAATGAGATCCTGTCATTTGCAACAACATGGATAGAACTGGAGGTTATTATGCTAAGTGAAATAAGTCAGGCACAGAAAGACAAACATCACCTGCTCTCACTTATTTGTGGGATCTAAAAAACAATTGGACTCATGGACATAGAGAGTAGAAGGATGGTTACCAAAGGCTGGGAAGAGTAGTGGGGGGTGGGAGGGAAGTGGGGATGGTTAATGGGTAGAAAAAAATAAATGAATGGGCCAGGCGCAGTGGCTCACGCCTGTAATCCCAGCACTTTGGGAGGCTGAGGCGGGCGGATCACGAGGTCAGGAGATCAAGACCATCCTGGCTAACATGGTGAAACCCTGTCTCTACTAAAAATAAAAAAAACTAAAAAATAAAAAAAAAATTAGCCAGGCACAACAGGGTGGCTGTAGTCAATAATAATTTAACTGTAGATTTTAAAATAACTAAAATAGTATAACTAGATAGTTTGTGACACAAAGGATAAATGCTTGAGGGGACAGGTACCTCATTTTCCATGATGCAATTGTTACACATTGCAATGCCATATCAAAGCATCTTATGTACTCTATACACACCTACTATGTATCCACGACAATTAAAAATAATTTTTTTTTGAGATGGAGTCTCACTCTGTCACCCAGGCTGGAGTGCAATGGCGCAATCTCAGCTCACTGCAACCTCCGCCTCCCGGGTCCAAGTGATTCTCCTGTCTCAGTCTCCCGAGTAGCTGGGATTACAGGTGCCCGCCACCACGACCGGTTAATTTTTGTATTTTTTTAGTAGAGATGGGGTTTCACCACATTGGTCAGGCTGGTCTTGAATTCCTGACCTCAGGCAATCCACCCGCCTTGGCCTCCCAAAGTGCTGGGATTACAGGCGTGAGCCACCATGCCTCGCCAAAAATAAATTGTTTTTTAAAAAAGATAAGAAACATCGGCCGGGCGTGGTGGCTCTCGCCTGTAATCCCAGCACTTTGGGAGGCCGAGGCGGGCGGATCATGAGGTCAGGAGATTGAGACCATCCTGGCTAACACGGTGAAACCCCGTCTCTACTAAAAATACAAAAAATTAGCCGGGTGTGGTGGCGGGTGCCTGTAGTCCCAGCTACTCAGGAGGCTGAGGCAGGAGAATGGTGTGAACCCAGGAGGTGGAGCTTGCAGTGAGCCGAGATCGCGCCACTGCACTCCAACCTGGGCGACAGAGCAAGACTCCGTCTCAAAAAAAAATAATAAAAAAAAAAGATAAGAAACATCAAGCTTCTATGTGCTTATGGCTGCCAATGCCTTCACTACAGCTGTGCTGTGAGCTCTTCATCCGCTCCTCTTGTCTCTTCCTGGAGCTCTGATTCTGGTTATGTGCTACTGTTCTTCACTCGGCTCAGGAGCCTGTGTTTCCCTTTACTTGTGGTCTTCTGGCCCCAGACCTGACCTCTGGATTCTGGAAGACAAACCCATCACCCAACTATCCTTGTTTCTACAGTGGTGGTAGTTGTTTCATCTTTGTTTAATTTTATTGATAACCAAGCTTCCTTAGTCTGGCTCTGCCATTCCACAGCACCCTGGATATAGCCCCTTCCCTTTCTCTCTTTTTTTTTTTCTTGAGATGGAGTCTTGCTCTGTCACCCAGGCTGGAGTGCAATGGCACGATCTCAGCTCATCGCAACCTCCACCTCCCGGGTTCAAGCGATTCTCCTGCCTCGGCCTCCTGAGTAGCTGGGACTACAGGCGTGTGCCACCACATCCAGCTAATATTAGTAGAGGCGGGGTTTCACCATGTTGGCCAGCATGGTCTCGATCTCTTGACCTCATGATCCACCTGCCTTGTCCTCCCAAAGTGCTGGGATTATAGGCATGAGCCACCGTGCCGGGCCTTTCCCTTTCTCATCATATACTCACTTGTAGCTGTGGAAGGGAAACATGTTCATCCCAAAAAGTTCGGAGTCCTTTGCAGCATCCAGGCGCAGCCGTGGCAGCTGGGTGGGGTCCCAGGCTGAAGAGGTTAGCCACTGTGAAAATGGCTACAGGAAATGGGGCTGTGTCTAATCTCAAAGAATACCACAAAGCCAAAGTTAACTCCAGACACTGCTCGTCCACAAATGGTCATCCCTCAGTACCAAAGCAGCAGACATGAGGATGTGACTGAAGGCCAGGCCTATGAGACATGGTGTCCTCCTTCTTGCCCTCAACATCAGTACCCATGAAGCCAAAACACAGACTGTCCTGTCCACACCTACACAATAGAGACTTAGATCAGCTTCCTCACATCTATGGCTTTAAGAATTCCTGCTTAGTAGTAAAGCAGTAATTTCAGACAGCAGCTGAGAGAGCGTCAGCACCAGGATGAGGAGGAGGATAGGCTCTTGCTATCCAGGCATTAAAAAGCTTAATTATTTTAATTTCTTATCCCATATTGGCACTCCTGTGGATGAAGGATAGAGAATTAGCATGGCCCTCCCTTCTTTCATCCTGTAAATGGGCAGGAATGTGGAACTTCAGGCAGGATAAATGGAGTGATGGTGAACCCCAGTAGCAGAGGCCTCAAAAAAATCAGTCCTCATAATGATCAACTATCTGGCCCCTGGTGTGGTACCCAGACTGTTGAACATGCCAGAGGTGCCATATAAAGATGTGGATTCTTCTCCATCACACTTGTGTACAAAACCTGTGCAGAGTCTGCAGAAGATGCAAAAGACCATCTACTCTAAGATCAGAGGTTCAGTGTTTCGAGCCACTTTATAGATGCTCATGATAAAGTAACTTGCAAGAGCTAAAGTGTTGACAATGAGCATTGAGTAATGCTTACTGCGGCAGAAGCTGTTCGTTGTCTAGCCAGAAGTCATTCTTCACCTCCTTAATGATAGGAACTCTGGTTCTATTCTGAGCAGCAGAGCACCCAACTATATTTCTTGGCTTCTTTTGCAGCTAGATATAGCTAATCAGGCCAATGAAATATTGATATATCAAATATCAGGTGAATGCTATGCTGATAAAATTCAAATTTTTTGGATAGGACTTCTGGAAGGGTACTTAAAAGAGTGACAACTAGGACACTCCCTTTTGGCCTTGCCTTTTCCTTCTTTCTACCTGGAATGTGGATTTAATGGCTGGAACCCCAACAGCCACCTTGTGACTTTGAGGACATAAGCCATGCCTTAAGGATGGCAGAGGAGAAAAACAGAAGATGCCTGATTCCCCGATAATCTTACGGAGGCTTCATATCAGCCCTGGACTGCCTACTTCTGGACTTGAATGTGAGAGAATAAAACCTGATGTAATTAACCATTGTACTTACAGCCAAAGAAAGTTCCTGTTAAACTTTCCAAAACAATACATAGAATCCACAGAAAAAGAGCTAACTCTTCCATCCTCATGTTGGGACCAGAAGGGAGGTGAGCTGTACCTCACTGTGCGGCTGGCCTGACCTCAGAAGCTTTACGGTCAGCTCCAGAGCACTGACACCTCCAGGATTGTAGCTCATAAGGGCAGAATAATAGTCACAGAGGAGGTGTGGACCTTCCCTGTCCCCATAGCCCAGCATCATTCTTTGCAAATCCCTCATAAGTATCTGATAGTTCAATCCCAGCATCTTTCAAACATCCTTTGGCTGGTTCTCTTCAGGCCAACTTCTCTGCCACTCTTACTAAAAATATATCCATTCATCCATATAAAACTGTCTTTTCAAAGTACACACAGAATGAATTATAAACAAAATATACAACCACACTATTCACAGTTGGCTAACTGGTTGCCAAGAGTCACTTCAATATGGAGTTCTTGACTATTATTACACCTGGCTGTGGAGATGCCTGATGAACTTCCAGGTCTACTACTTATCTCATTTTGTTGTTTGGAGGTGGTGAAAGGGACATCCCAAGCATCCTCTTGGTGCAAGAGAATGACATGATATAGGCTGGAAGGTGCTTCTCATCTAAAGGTCTACTTGCTTTCCTCACAACATGTGTGGCCATTCCTGCTATTTCTTTCCTAATAACCCCCAACAGCTACCCTGCTAGGAAATGGGAGTTTTCTGTAACTTCCTTGAAAAGGCATATCAGTAAGTCTATCTGATGGAAGCATGGATGGAAATAAGATCTCCTCTATTCATTATGACTTTATGAGTTTCAAAGAATCCATAATACTCCTTTAGCTATTGTTGGGGAACAAGCCAAGCAGATATCAGCAAACCAAAGACAAGCTAAAACCAACCCTGAATGTCCTGTGTCTGGGCAAAGCGGATGTGGACCACTGTATCACTTGGCTTGACAGAAACTGCCCAGATAGACCTCCATGTCCCAGATACCTTTGCATTCTTCAGTCGTCATGGTTGCTCCTTTCAAATACCAGATAAAATGCCAGATCAACATTTATCAGGTCCCAGAAGTCCATCTGGTTATTGCTTGTGATGTCAGCAGCTGTCTTGGCCTCATTCTGTGGCTCTTTCCTGGACTGCTGTTTGCAACAGCTCCTCTACCATCAGCGCAACTTCATCAGTCAGAGATGGTCAGAAATTTCACAAGTAAATTCCTGCTATACTAGAGTTCTTTAAGGATCTGGCCACGACACTAAGGCTCCTTGAGCAACTCTAAGACAGTAAGGGATTTGCTTCCTTGAAGTTCCTGGTGCTAGGATCAGAGCCCCTCTGTCATTCTCCCCCAGGGGCTTGTCTCCAGGTTCCTCCTTCCTCGATCCAGGCCTGTGCCTCTGCCTTCATCACTTGATCCTAGCCACTGCTCCTGCTCCACCATGAATCATCGCTCCTCGCCCACAGTTGTCCCTTTCAAAAATGCTGCCATTAGAGGGACCAGGGGTCATAGGCAGCCATGCTCCCAGTCTTAGCCCAAATTCCCTAGGAAATAGAGCTTGAGGCAAGGATTAAGAGCTGGTGCTTTATGAGGTGCAAACCTAGGGCAACATGAGTGAGGAAAAGGAAGTGAAATAGGAAAGGATGGGAAGAAATGCAAGACGATCCGTTTGCCTGTCGACTTCTACTTCACCAGCTGGGAAGGAGAGATTATTCAGCATGTGCATCTGCTTGGCTCTGTAAGAAGTCCACATTCCAGTGTACGTGGAGCAACCATGCCTCGAAGCAATAATGGGTAAAGGGAAGCCAAAGGAATTAATCTGATCAGCTTCCTCCATCTCTCAGATGCCCCCGCCCTTCAGATGGCATCACCCAGCCACTCCTAGGGAAGCCAGCCCCCACAACCCACTGTATAGCCCTTCAATAAGGCTGGAAGTGGTGTGAGGGGTCCGAAACCTGAGTGTGCAGCTCTTTGGCCTTCGGCTGGCAGGAGGAGAGCCTGGCACTCCCAGGTAGGTAACCGTCCAGCTGCAGGTGGTGCAAATGGAAGAGCTGAGTGGGTTCACAGGCCCTGGCAGCTGAGGTGGAGCAAATGGCCGAGGGTCTGTGCAGAGGGCTAAGGGATGTGATGAGGCACAAGACACATGCCCAATGAACTCCCTCTGCTGCTTCACTCCAAGCCTGACTTCCTGCCTCAGGTCTGCCTGCCTCTCACACTATCTGAGGCCTTTGGCACCTCTCTCTGTTATGTTGAATCTCATGTACCCCAAATCTTCACCTGTTTGCCACCCAAATCCTTCCTTCACATTTTTGGCTTTGCCCTCTTCCATGATGATGAACAGATTCCATATTCATTTCTCTTAACATCAGCTTTCACATCAAAGTAAATGGCCTTTTATGGCACTACTGCTGCTTAAGAAAGGCAAGGATGCTTTCCTGACAGGATGTCAGACCTATTAGAAGGAAATAGATGTTCTCATAAGTTTTGAAGAACTCAGGGTTAATCTACCTGTAAGAGACAATGAGGACTCATGGGTTTTTATTACAAGGTGTTCCAATTCCACCCTACTGCTGTGTGACACCAATTTATGTGCTGCAGTGGGAGAGAGGTGCCACTGCTGTTCAAGGCCACATTATTCTAAAGTAGTGCCTGTGTCCGTGTGTGAAGAAAGTCTGAATTTTCCAGAAGCACACAAATTAAAGCCAAGAAAAGCAATGAGAACCATATTAGCTTCAGGTACTTTTACCTTCTCTGCATCATACAGAGAAGAGTATACTCTCCTTCAGTTACTGATCATGTAAGTACCAGTAAATACTCTGGGGATATTCCTTCCCCATGGAGCCTGATCCCTGGTGCATGCACAGTGGGGGACACTAAAGAAATAAAATTAATAATTATAATATTAGAAAGAGATAGCTGCTATGGAAAAGAAATAAAGTAATGAAGGACAAAAAGGCTTCACAGAGACGGTGAACAGAGGCTTGGCGCTGGTGAAAGAACAAGCCTGGTGGCCATGTGGGGGAAGGATTATGCAGGCTGAGGAAGAGGCAGAGGGCTCCAGAGTGGAAGCTTCACCTGACTGAAGAAGGACAAGAAGGTCAGCGTGGCTGCAACAAAGCAAGCAAGGGGCAAGTCGTAGAAGAGATCAGAGAGCTAGTGGAGGTGGGTGGTGCAGGTTATGAAGGGGCTGTGGGCCATCGTAAAGACTTTTGGCTTTTATTCTGAGATGAGGGAGCCACTGTGTTGAGAATAGAATGTGCAGGACAAGAGTAGAAGGGGTGGGACTAGTTAGCAGGCATTTGCAGTGATCCACGCAAAAGATGATGATTTGAACCAGGGGGGTGGTGGTGGTCATGGTGGTGGTGGTGAAATGTCATTAGATTCTGCATGTATTTTGAGAGTAGAGCTGGTCAGGCACGGTGGCTCACGCTTATAATCTCAGCACTTTGGGAGGCCGAGACAGGTGGATCAGGAGGTCGGGAGATCAAGACCATCCTGGCTAGCGTGATGAAACCCCGTCTCTACTAAAAATACAAAAAATTAGCCACGCGTGGTGGTATGCGCCTGTAGTGCCAGCTACTTGGAAGGCTTGAGGCAGGAGAATCTCTTAAACCCAGGAGGCAGAGGTTGCAGTGAGCCGAGATCGCACCATTGCACTCCTGCCTGAGCAACAGAGCGAGACTCCGTCTCAAAAAAAAAAAAAAAAAAAAAGAGAGTAGAGCCAAAGCAACTGGATATGTGGCATGAGATAAAGAAAATGATGACTCCAAGGTATCTGAACTGAGCAACCAAAGGATCAGGTTGCCATTTACTGAGGTGGGGAAACTGCAGGGGGAAGAGATTTGGCAGTGGAGGAGGGGGAACAGCAGAGTTCACTTTCGAATATGCTACGTTAAAGATGTTTATGAAACATCAAGTCAAGAGGTGGAGAAGACAGCTCAAGGTCAGGGGAAAAGCCCAGGCTGGAGATATAAATTGGGAGCTGACCACATTTGGGTGGTATTTAGAGCATGTGGGTGGAACAAGATCATCTAAGAGTAGGCACTGCTATCCTAGTGTTGACAGAAGAAGAGAGGCCCAAGGCCTGAGCTCTGGGGCATTTCAACATTTGGTTGATTCTTAGATGAGCAGCTTTGGCATCTTCTGGGAAGTTGGTGGAAACACAAATTCTCAGAATCACCTCGGACCACCCGAATGGGGGTGGAGTTCAGCACTGCATTTTAACAAGACTTTCAGATGATTCTGATTACCATATAATTGTGTGCCACAAAATAGCATTTCAGTCAATGGCCGACCACATATGTGATGGTGGTTCCAAACAATTACAATAAAGCTGAAAAATTCCTATTGCCTAGTAATGTTGTAGCCATTAGGGCAATACGTTACTCGTGCTTGTGGCGATGCTGGTGTAAACAGGCCTACTGCGCTGTCAGTTGTATAGAAGTACAGCAATACAATTATGTACAGTATGTAATACTTGCTAATGATAATAAACGACTATGTTACTGGTTTATGTACCTACGATACTATACCTTTTATCGTTATTTTAGAGTATACTCAGTATACTCCTACTTCTAAGAAAAAAAGTTAACTGTAAAACAGCCTCAGAGAGGTCCTTTGGGAGGTATCACGGAAGCAGGCATTGCTATCCTAGAAGATGACAGCTCCGTGCCTGTTATTGCCCTTGAAGACCTTCCACTGGGACAAGATGTGAAGATGGAAGACAGTGATATTGATGACCCTGACCTTGCATAGGCCTAGGCTAATGTGTTTGTGTCTTAGTTCTTAGTTTTCTTTTCTTCTTCTTTTTTTTTTTTCAGACGGAGGCTTGCTCCATCGCTCAGGCTGGAGCGCAGTGGCGTGATCTCAGCTCACTGCAACCTCCACCTCCTGGGTTCAAGAGATTCTCCTGTTCACAGCCTCCCCAGTAACTGGGATTATAGGTGAGCACCACCACACGTGGCTAATTTTTGTATTTTTAGTAGAGACGGGGTTTCGCCCTGTTGGCCAGGCTGGTCATGAACTCCTGACAGGTTGTCTGCCCGCCACCGCGCCTGGCCAGAAAAGGTAACTTGTTGAAGGACGATTCTTTTTATAAATTTAATGTAGCCTAAGTGTGCAATAGTTATAAAATCTATAGTAGTGTATAGTAATGTCATAGGCCTTCACATTCACTCACCGTTCACTGACACACCCAGAGCTGAAACCGACCCAATAGTCCCACAGACAAGTTTTTTCGATAAACATAGAATGTGTCCCTTCTAGTCTTTTGTTGTTGTTGTTTTGTTTTGTTTTTTGAGATGCGGTCTCGCTCTGTCACCCAGGCTGGAGTGCAGTGGTGCGATCTCGGCTCACTGCAAGCTCTGCCTCCCGGGTTCATGCCATTCTCCTGCCTCAGCCTCCTGAGTAGCTGGGACTACAGGCACCCCTCACCACGCCCGACTAATTTTTTTTTTTTTTTTTAGTAGAGACGGGGTTTCACCATGTTGGCCAGGATGGTCTTGATCTCCTGACCTTGTGATCCGCCCGCCTCAGCCTCCCAATGTGCTGGGATTACAGGCGTGAGCCACCACGCCCAGCCTTCCTTTCTACTCTTAAAGCTTGAAACTTAAATTTATCTGAGTTCCTTCCTCAGGAAAGAACCCCAGGCCTCTCAAAAGTATCAAAGAACGGGCTGGGCACGGTGGCTCATGCCTGTAATCCCTGCACTTTGGGAGGCCGAGGTGGGTGGATCACCTGAGGTCAAGAGTTTGAGACCAGCCTGGCCAACATGATGAAACCCCGTCTCTACTAAAAATACAAAAAAGTAGCTGGGTGTGGTGGCGGGCACCTATAATCCCAGCTACTCAGGAGGCTGAGGCAGGAGAATTGCTAGAACCTGGGAGGCAGAGATTGCAGTGAGCCAAGATCACGCCACTGCACTCTAGCCTGGGCAACAAGAGTAAAACTTCGTTCTGAAAAAAATAAAATAAAATAAAAAAGTATCAAAGAACGGAAACTCACCAGATCACCACATCCAGACAGTGAGACACCAGGCCTCTCATGCATCATGATTGCTAACCTACCCCTCCTGAATTCCTATTTTCCCACACATTGTTACATTTCTTCCCTGCTATATAAACTCCTCACTTTAGTGGGTCGGGGAGATGGATTTGATACTGATCTCCCATCTTCACAGCTGCAGCACCCAATAATCGTCTCAGTCATTGGCTTCCTGTGCAGTGAGATTATGGTCTCAGTCATCGGCTTCCTGTGCTGTGAGTGGCAGGACCTAGACTTACAAGAAAAAAGTTAACTGTAAAACAGCTTCAGAGAGATCCTTCGGGAGGTATCCTGGAAGCAGGCATTGCTATCTTAGGAGATGAAAGTGTTTTGGTAACAGAGTAACTTCTAGTCTTGAAAGCTCCAATCATGGTAAGTGCCCTATACAGGGGTACCATATCTTTTATATTTTGTTTTATCCTTTCTATATTATGTTTAGATACACAAATACCATTGTGTTACAATGACCTGCAGTATTCACCACATAACCTGCTGTACATGTTTATAGCTTTGGAGCAACAGGCTATACCATATAGCCTGGGTGTGCAGTAGGTGGTACAGTCTAGGTTTTCATAAATACATTCTATGACGTTCACACAAGAACAAAATCACCTAAGAATGCATTTCTCCGAGAGTATCCTGGTTGTTAAGTGATGCATGACTGTTGTTTGGAAAACACTGGCTTAGAGGTGAGTAGAAGAGGAAATACCTAATGAGATTGAGAAAGAGTGACCAGTCAAGGAGGAAGAAAACCAGGGAGTATTTCCAGGAGCAGGGAGTAGCCAAGTGTTATCACCTGCTGTTAATAAAGTGAGATGAGGACTGACAATTGATATGGTAACAAAGAAGGGATATCTGTGATGGGGATGGTTAGCAACAAGAAGAAAGGGGTACTCTAGACACGTTGAAACCAGTCAATAGTCCCATAGACTTTATTTTGGATAAACATAGAAAGTGACTCTTTGGTGGTTTTTTTTTTTGTTGTTGTTGTTTGTTTTTTGTTTTTTTTGAGACAGAGTCTTGCTCTGTTGCCCAGGTTGGAGTGCACTGGCACGATCTCTGCTCACTGCAACCTCCCCTCATGGGTTCAAGCGATTCTCCTGTCTCAGCCTCCTGAGTAGCTGGGATTACAGGCGTGCACCACCACGCCCGGCTAATTTTTCTGTTTTTAGTAGAGACGAGGTTTCATCATGTTGGCCAGGCTGGTCTCAAACTCCTGACCTCAAGTGATCCACCCACCTCGGCCTCCCAAAGTGCTGGGTATGATAATAGGCATGATCTACCGCGCCCGGCAGACTCTCTGGTCTTAAAGCTTGAAGCTTATACTTGTTTTATCATAGTTCCTTCCTCAGGAAAGACCCTCAAGCCTCTCAAAAAAGTATGAAAAGATGATTCTGAGGGAGCATTTGATGAAAAAAAAAAAAACAAGTATCAAAGAACTGAAACACCAGATGATGGCACCCAGACAAGGATACACCAGACCCCTCATTCATCATGATTGCTTCCTTATTCCTCCCTAGTTCCTGTTTTCCCCCACACAGTTACATTTCTTCCCTGCTATATAGACCCCTGGTTTTAGTAGGTCAGGGAGATGGATTTACAGCTGGTCTCCCATCTCCTTGGTTGTAGCATTTGATTAAAGCCTTCTTCCTTGGCAATACTCCTCTCAGTGATTGGCTTTTTTTGTGCAGCAAGCTGCAGGGCCTAGACCTTATCCCTGGGGTTTCCGTAGCAACATCAGCGAGTAGTGTCTTTCATATGAAGCATCTTCTGAAGGAAACTGCCCATCCCATATCTCCTGCGGAAGGAAGAGTGGGGAGACTCCCTTTGGCTGTCATTTGAGGTGGCAGGGTTGTGTCTCTACCACAAGTCCTTTATCCCCACCAGCCCTAGCTGCCTGGACCAAATGCAGCCAATCTACGGACCAGTTAGAGGTTAAGTGTGGTTATCTGTGCAGAAGAAACCCAAAATAATACTGGCTTATACAAAATAGAAGTTTGCATCTCTCTCATGCTAAAGCCCAAGCTCTGTTCCAACAAATTACCCGGGGCTCCGTTCCTTCTATCTTGTTGGTTTACCATCCCTAGGGTCTTAACCTAGTTCACACAGCCCATGATGATTTCCTACGTTCCAGTCAGCAAGGGGCTGTGGGTGCTGGGGAGGGCAAAGGGCAGGAATAATGAGAAGCCTTGGGAAGCCTTGAGCCTATCTAAAAATTGGAGATTCTGCTGGAGAAAGGTCAATTGGACATTGTGGCTTGTATCCACAAGGACATAGCTAATTAAATTTTCTCTTGGGAATCTGAACTGGACAGAAACCTGACACTTTATTGTGGGAAGGTAAGTGAAAACACGCACTAGCCTGAAGACCCGCCCACCCCTAGAGCTCCTGGGGAGTCTGCAATGTTGTACCCAGGCGAGTTGGAGAAAAACGCCATACTTTGACACGAATTAAGAGTCCTTTATTAAGCCGGCGGCCAAAGAGACGGCTAAAGCTCAAAATTCTTTCGGCCCCGAGGAAGGGAGTTGATTAACTTTTATATCTAGGTTTAGGAAGGGGAGGGGAACTCAAATGCAATAATTCTACAGAAGTAAAAACATGCCAAAATCAAAAAACAAATGGTTACAAAGTGATAAACAATTTAAAAGACAAACGGTTACAAGAAGAGCAACGGTACCAGGTGCAAGGCTTTAAATCTTTCATTATAATTAGATATACGGGGTATGCCGGACACGAACTCAAGGCTTTATGTTTTCTCTTTGAGAAAAATCCTGGGAACTTCATACATTGTTGGTGCTAATACCTTATCAATTAATTGGGCTCCTTTGAAATGCTGAGGATCTGCTTACACAGGTCAACTCCTTGCGGAAGGGGGTTGGGTAAGGAGCCCTTAGTGTCTTGTAAATTAAGGGGTCAACTGGAGTTTGTCCGGCTTTCCCAGCTAGAGAGAGTCTTATTTACATGAGAAGCAAGGCTAGGTGATTAAAGAGACAAGCAGGATAAAATTCAAAGTAACGAGTTAGAGTAAAAACAAGGTTAGGGATTTCAGCAAGACCTCCAGGCTCCAGCCTCCTTGGGGCAGCAAGACTAGTTTACTGGTTCTTCTTGGAGACGTGGCCGTTTTTGGGGTTGAAGTGATTTCGGGATTGAAATTCCATTTTTCTTTATTCCGAGGTGCAATATGGTACAAACATCCCTGGTTAAAGTAAACTGAGATCACCTCTGTGTTGGCCACGAAGGGCCGATGCATGGAGGCGCAGCAGCGAGGACACCGCCGGGCGCCTCCCCTCCGATGGAGCACCGCAGCCCGGGAAGGATCCTGCGTAGGTCAAGGGCGCCGCCTTCCGCCCTCACAGTAGCGGAGATGCGAAAAGTCCCACGCCGGGCGGGGTTTGGCGCGGCCACCGCCCAGAGTCGGCACCGAGGGAGGAGCGGCCCTTCCAGAGTCGCTGGCAGGGTTCAGCCAGCTGGTCAGCGCTCCTCCAGGTCGGTCAGGAGCGTGCCGCGGCAAGAAACGCAGCCCCGGGAGCAGGTGGCCGCAGGGTCCTCTGGGAAGCGGTGTTGGGAGTGAGGGCCGTCAGCCGCGCCCCGCGGAGGATTCTGGGAGTGGTAGTTCGGCCTCATGGTTGGCCGGCGCTAGGCGTCCCCGCCGGCTGTTAGATGCCTTTGTCGTCGGGCTCGGCTTCCTCAGTGTGTGGCTGGAGGTCGAACCCAGGGTAGAGGAGGGCTGAACGCATCCCCTTTTAATCTGAGTGTCCGGGAGGAGGGTGGCGGGAGGACCCCCGGGTGGGGGCGCCAGGCTGCCCACGCGTGCGTTCCCGGCCTCTTGGGGGACCCGAGCGGCGGACCTCCGGCTCCTTCCCCTGTCGCGGTTGCCTCCAGCGCGGGCCGGAGGAAGGAGTCTCCATGGAACCTGAGGGCAGAGGTGAGGATTTGGGAGTGATGCGGCCTTGGTGCCCGCTGCAGAGGGAGAAAGGGAGAAAGGCTACCTCTGGCTGGCGCAGGCTCAGGAAGGAGTAGCGTCACGAGCCCCTTCCTACTAGCCGGTCTCACTTGGGGTTTTGAGGGATAGCCCGCCACTTCCATTGCCCTCCTGGTCTGTAGGGCGCTGGATGCCTCCCTTGCTCAAGGGAAAATATCAACACATCTGACAATTTGGCTTTTGATAATGACTTCTTTTTTGATCTCAGAGGAGCCCCATAAGGCAGTAGGAAGGAACTATCCGACCCTTTTGGAAGGTAGGGAAAGCAGGGATTTGAGAAGTCACGGAATTTGTTTACAATCCTGTTTTGTTTTTGGTGGTGGTGGTGGTTTTTCCATAAGACGCATCACTTTTCTGAGTCAGGCGGTGTTGTATTAATATCTGAAAAGTCAGTGTTCAAAAAGAATTTAGTCTTCGTTTATCCTGTGAGCCTGGAATACAACACAGATGAATCACTGAGGCGTGGACATACAAAGACTTTGAGTATTATTTTGACTACTTAGCACATGCAATATAAAAATATGTTTAATTTATATGTCCAGATGCTCATAGGAGTTCTACTGGAGTTTAAGGACAGAGAATAGGAGGAGCCTGAGACAGCAATGGTCAAGGTGTCTTGATTAAAAGATATTATGCGATTTTCGTTTGGTTCCCAGTGTTGACTCTTCTTAGATGACAACTAGCTGGTGTGTGGCACTTCCTGCTAGTTTATTGCAAGGACAGAGTAATCATCATGGCTCCTGTCTCCACTTTTAGGATCACTTTTTGAGGACTCAGACCTTCTCCATGCTGGAAACCCAAAAGAAAATGACGTGACTGCTGTGCTGCTGACCCCTGGGTCCCAAGTAAGTTTAGATTTCTTCTTTCTTTTCCTTCTGTTCTCAGAGCAAGGATGTCTTTCCTTCCAGTGCTTATGGAATTGCTCAGCCCTGATGCTTAGACCACTGGGTTCATCCTGATAAACTGATGACTGATGACCCCAAAGGAAGTGTTCTTCAGTTGTGCAGAACTTTCTTCCCAGCGTTGCTTTCTCTCTGCCCACTGAGTGTTTGCTGCACACACATTGAGTACTGTAATTGGCCTTGGTGAGATGCAAAGAAGTAAAAGCCACTTGCTCCTGCATCGTGGAGTTTACTAAGGCAGTGAGAAATACATAAATAAAATAGTTAAACACGAAGAAATAGGTATTTTTTAAACATAGAAATCATTGGTCCAGACAAGTCATGAAAGTCTCTGAAAGAGTTTTTTTTTATCATCTGTTTGGGAGAAGTGTGGGATAAATCTGTACTTTGAAAAACAAGAGAGAGTGGGTAGTTGGAGGGTAGAATAAGGGAATATTACAAGACAGAATAGCTTTGGCCAAAAAATAAAAAAAAAGTCTTCAAATGATGAGGGAGTTGGAGGTCTTCCGAGGATGTGTGGATGTGTGAGTCACTGTGGGTTGACCTAGACTGTGGTGAGGGAAGCTCGGCTGTGTTGTACCCAGACCCCAGGACAGTCTACACTCGGTCTTATTCCAGAGGCAAATGAAGGCCTCATGAAGGTTTTTAGAGGCCCAGCAAGATGAAACATGCCATAGCTGATTGGAGAGAGAGGATTAGTAAAGATGCTTCTGTAAGATCTGGCCAAGACAGTGGGAGATTGGCAGACCCCTTGGTTCAGGTGCTGGGACTCTTTATTTCCGTCACACCAGGCCTAACAGCATACAGGTACTGATGATCCTTATAAAACCATGGGAGAAAATGCCAGTATTGATTTTGATCTGTGAATTGGTAGATCGCTTTCAGAAAGATGAGGGGAGAGAAAGTAGCACCTGCTGACAGTGTCTGATTGGCCTGCCTGTGAGTTGATTACTGAGGTTTTCTTAGGGAACTGAAGTCTGAAAGCAACTGCCTGTTAGTCTGTTAGTGTTAGCATTGTTTGTACAGAACGAAGATGGTGCATGTTATATTACTTGTGCTGATCATTCCTGAGGCATATGACCTTAAGGGGCCATAAACTTAAAAGTGTGGGATTTCTTACTTGAAGTGTTAAAGAGTGTATTTTGGGCAGAGGATTTTCAGAGTAGGTAGTTCTTTTAACTTTATGTCATTATGTGCTTTGTTTTACCAGTCATTTTTGAAAGACTGAAATATGCATTAGAAAGCTGAATATAAACAAAATTAACCGTTCGATTCATATATATATGTATATATGTATATATATGTGTGTATATGTGTGTATATATGTGTGTATATATGTGTATACATGTATATATGTATATATGTGTATATATGTATATATGTGTATATATGTATATGTGTATATATGTATATATGTGTATATATGTATATATATGTGTATATATGTATATATATATGTGTATATATATGTGTGTGTATATATATTCAAGGGGCTCTGGCCCAAGTGGTAGTTTAAAGAGCGGTAAAACTGATTCATTTGCTAACCCAAGGGATGGTTTATTTTACTCTAAGTTAAATTGTAGTTGCATAGAAATTTTAAAAATAGAATTTGAAAAATTATTAGACATTTGTCTTATCAGCACTAACAGATTCAAAAGAGCATTACCTGCCCTACTCCCTTATTTCAGTATTTTAGTAAACAAACTAAACTTTGTGTCTGTCATCTAGATGAAGGTTAGGCTAAATACTCCTGCAGTGTTTTCAATGTTTAATAGGCTTCTGTTCTCCTCCCCACTTCTGTTCCCATGCACACGTTTATAGAACACCCCATTTAAACTTGTTTCTATTAATTCTTGTTCCTTCCTTCCTTTCTTTCATTCAAATATTCAACAAATATTTACAGAGTTTCTGCTCTGTGCCAAGTACTAGGCTGCTTCAGTGAGCAAAAATAGACCTGGCCTCTGCTCCTGTGGAGCTTATGTTAGCCACAAGATCCCCTCTATGTGTGCAACCCAAGGGAATGGAAGGAACATGTGTTCTAACTAGAGAGTCAGGGAAGGCTTCCCTTGAAGTAACACCTGAGCTGAGATCTGAAGGGAGAGAAGGATTCACATTGCTGAAAGGATGGGGCAGAGGGCAGAATATTCAGGAATAGGAAGCAGGATGTGTAAAGGGGCTAACGGGAATAGGACACACACTTCAAGCAGATGAAAGAATGCCACCAACTGGGGGACGCGGGCAGATTGATCAGGGTCGTTGTGAAAAATGACAAGAACACTCTGGGAACTTTCATAATCATTTGGGCTTCAGATACTGTTTTACAAATAAGTCTATATTCTGTGACGTGTAGGAAACATCTTAATTTTTAATATATATGGGACTGATTTCATTCTTAGGAAAACTAGAGAAAAAATACTTCAATTTCTTGAACCCCATATGTTTTAAAAACTATACCATAAGGAAAATACTTAATTCATAATTACATTTTTCTCTCCTTTTTCCTGTATAAGTAGTAGCAAATTCTGTAGTTCTGTAATTTATTGATACATAAACTAAAAAGTTCATACGTTCAAGTTTTACATTGAAGGTGCTTTCCTTCCTACTTGCAGGTAATATGCATTTCTGCTGCCTGGAGGCAGAGAGTGAGTCTGTGGACTACATATTCACCAGAGAATCTTAGTACTGGAAAGGGTGGCCAAGGCCATGTTGTCTGTCCTTTTTTTATCCTTTCTGTCTTCCTCCTCCTGTGCTGTCAGTTTTATTCCTCTTCAGAGGCCTCTGTAAGGAGGCTCATTGGTGAGCACCAATGTGTTTGGTTTTTCAGGAATTGATGATCAGGGATATGGCCGAGGCTCTCACCCAGTGGAGGCAGCTGAACTCTCCTCAGGGAGATGTGCCTGAGAAGCCTAGGAATCTGGTCTTGCTGGGTAAGGATGGCTCCCCCAATGCCTGTGAATTTACCCAGTGTGGTACCTTGTCCTCCTCAGTTCCTAGGAGCTCCAAGGTCCTTATATTCAATGATTCTTAATTCTAGTAGGGCCTGAGACAGGCAATTTCTGCCTTTTGTTTCTGGATATAGTTTTAACACTCCTGGAATTAGACATAAACACCTTTATTTTATGGACTTGTAGCATCCTTCTTCTCAACTCCTTGACCAAGGATGTGGAGACAAAGTGCTAATGAAAACAACTCTTAAGAGAATGGATGCTTATTCTTTAAATAGGGGGAGGTAAAATTGATAAGGGACTCAAACCCCTATCAATCTTCCTACCTCGTGAACACTGTTGAGGAAGAAATGGAGAACTGACCTCACTCTCTCCCTCTCTTACCATGTTCCTAAAGACCAGGGAATGAACACTGAGGTCTTCACCAGACTCCTTTTTCTTTCCCTATGAATAGGGCTTCCAATTTCCACACCTGATGTAATCTCTCAGTTGGAGCATGAGGAAGAGCTGGAGAGAGAAGTCTCAAAGGCAGCCAGTCAAAAGCGTGAGTGTTGGAAACAGTGCAAGTAAAACCCAGATTGTCAATGCAAATGCTTGTGGAGGAGGAGCCTGTCCAGATTTTGCTAGACCCATGGAAAAGTTGAAGTCCCTGTCTCACCCCTATGCCACATCCTAGCTCTGTGGATGGTTATCTGTTTATAAAGTTATAATTTGATTTTTTAGAAAGTAAATACTTTCTACTCTTTCAAACCAATTCTTTTTCCCAAATAAGGTAAAATGAAACCAACATTTTAATGTTTGTTAATAACTTGCTTGGGTTCAAGGCTCTAAAGCAGGATTTTTTACATGTGTTATTTTATCTTTGCTGGATGCCATTTTTTTGAGTCTCAGATCAATGACTGTAAATTCATCTCTGGGTTTTCCCTTGCCACCTTCTCTGTCTAAGCAGAGGCAGCATAGCATGATGGTTAAGACTGCAGACTTTGGAACTAAGCTTCCTTGGTTTAAAGCTGATCTTAGCTACTCATTAGCTTTGTGACCTTTAACAAATGACTTGTGTTCTCTGTGACTTAAATTAAAATGGGGATAATGATAGCACAGAGCTTATACTGTTTTGGTGGTGATCAAAGGAAATAATCCAAGAGAAATGTTTTAAACAGTACCTGGCTATATGCTAAGCAAAGATAGCTATTAAGTCCTAGTAACTTTTTTGAAAGATGTTATGGATTTGACCCTGTTACTTCTGTCAAACTGGATTACTGCAAAAGACTGTTGGCTAATTATACTTTCTTTTACTCTTACCCTTGTAAAATTGAGGCAGCATAATACTGCTAGATTCCCCATTGAGTTGCTTACTCTGCCAGCTCTGTATTCCTCTACCTGCTTTCAAAGCCGTTGTTAGTCTGCCTAACTTTTTTGCCTTCTCTGTTCTTCAACTTGAACTCTTAACATCAGATAGGCAAGTCCCTCACTATCCTCCACTAACTGTGTGTTCATGAACATTTGGGGCTTTAATTTTTTCCACTCCCCTTAGCTGGATGTCCATTTGCTTTTAACCTATTCTACCTATTTGTCCTTTAAAATCCCAGGCACTTCCCTGAATATATCTAGTTGAGAACACTGTATTGTATTAATTTATTTCATGTAGAGACATGATTGGAATGGGTGTTAAAGACCATTTAAGCTTGGAAGTATTTAAACATTTTTAGCAATGAAGCTTTTCCCCCTCAAATTCTTACTAGGAAGCCCAGGAACTTGGGGTAGATATCTTGAGAGGTTGGGGACTCATCTGAACACATGGAGTTTTGACCTTCCCCTCCCAACACACTGCTGTTTTTCTCTTTCTTTCCTTTCTCTCTTTTTTCTTTCTTCTTGGTTCTGTTTTACTCTTTCCAGTTTGCTGGGTCTAGGGTGATGGTAAGCAATCAGAGGTGATTAGTTGCTTTCCAATTAATAAGCTTTGTGGTCATTTGAGTTTGTAGACCTGGACTATGTTGAATGCTAGCTTCTAGAATTTGTGTCTTATCTTGAGACAGTAGAACCAACAGATTTTTGTGAAAGGGAGATGGTTTTGAGCAATTAGTCTTTTAGCAGTGGTTGGGACATATTGGAGTAGGAAAAGATTGGTGGCAAGGAGATTAGCTAAAGATGGTCATTCTTGAGGCATGAAATGATAAGGCTCTGGTCAGATGGGTACAGTGAGTCTTTGGAAGACCATCTTTCTCTGATCCTATCTCCTCTAAAGGATCTATCTCCTCTAGATCCTTTTTTAAAAAAATCTGCTATTTCTCCATATCACCTCTTCTTAGTCTCATTCTGTTATTTTTTGTTATTTCCTATCCTGCTGCATAGAGGAATGTTGAGTACCTGCACACACACTCCTTTTATGCCGTCGTACTTCTTTGTCCAGTCATCTTTTTTTTCTTGTGTTCTCTCAAGATTGCAAGACTATTTTTGAGAGCTTTCAAGTTCATGTGTTCCCTGTAAATATTCCTAACAAAGAATGAAACAAACATGTTTCATTAATTTCCTACCACAGCAGTTATTTTTCTCTCAGTGTAGGAAATGATACACATGTGTGTTTTTGCTTATTTCAGACTGGGAAACAATACCAGAAAGCAAGGAGCTAACTCCAGAGAAGGATATTTCTGAAGAAGAATCGGCTCCTGGGGTGTTAATTGTAAGATTTTCAAAGGAAAGTTCTAGTGAATGTGAGGATTCTTTAGAGAGTCAGCAGGAAAACCATGAGAAACATTTAATACAAGAGGCTGTCACTGAGAAATCTTCTAGGGAGAGAAGCTACCAATCTGATGAATTTAGAAGAAATTGCACTCAGAGGTCCTTACTTGTTCAGCAGCAAGGAGAGAGACTACATCATTGTGATTCATTTAAAAATAACTTAAAACAAAATTCAGATATAATTAGGCATGAGAGAATTTGTGCAGGAAAGAAACCTTGGAAATGCAATGAATGCGAGAAAGCCTTCAGTTACTACTCAGCTTTTGTCTTGCATCAGAGAATTCACACAGGAGAAAAACCCTATGAATGTAACGAATGTGGTAAAGCCTTTAGCCAGAGCATACACCTTACTCTGCACCAGAGAATTCATACTGGGGAGAAACCCTATGAATGTCATGAGTGTGGGAAAGCCTTCAGTCACCGCTCAGCCCTTATTCGGCATCATATAATTCATACTGGAGAAAAACCCTATGAATGCAATGAATGCGGGAAGGCCTTTAATCAGAGTTCATACCTCACTCAACATCAGCGAATTCATACTGGAGAGAAACCTTATGAGTGTAATGAATGTGGGAAGGCCTTCAGCCAAAGCACATTCCTTACCCAGCATCAGGTCATTCACACTGGAGAGAAACCTTATAAGTGTAACGAATGTGGCAAAGCCTTTAGTGATCGGTCAGGTCTTATCCAGCACCAGAGAACTCATACTGGGGAGCGGCCATATGAGTGTAACGAATGTGGGAAAGCCTTTGGCTACTGCTCAGCCCTGACTCAGCACCAGAGGACTCACACTGGGGAGAAACCCTATAAATGCAATGATTGTGCCAAAGCCTTCAGTGACCGCTCAGCCCTTATTCGTCATCAGAGAACACACACTGGAGAGAAACCTTACAAATGTAAAGATTGTGGAAAAGCATTCAGCCAGAGCTCATCTCTTACAAAGCATCAGAAAACTCACACTGGAGAAAAGCCCTACAAGTGTAAGGAATGTGGAAAAGCCTTTAGCCAGAGTTCATCCCTCTCTCAACATCAGAAAACTCATGCTGGAGTGAAAACCAAGAAATATGTCCAAGCTCTTAGTGAGCATTTAACCTTTGGCCAACACAAGAGAATTCATACTGGATAAAGACTATGTAAATGTGGTACATTCAGAGCATAGTTATTGAGCATTTACCATACTTGCTGTGGGGGTCTACAAAGAAATTTAAGACTGTGTTGCAAAAAAGTTATTGACAAGTCATTGCTGATGTGGGAGGTAACATGATTAGACTGTGAAAGTATAGTTTTACATTTTTAAAAGTGTTCTGGCAGAGGACACTGACATTCCCTCAGGAAAGAGGAAAATTATTTGTAACACCCTAACGTGTATGTAAATTGCCATATCCTTGGGAGAGAAATGGGGTGTGCCATGGTGGAAACGGGACATCTTGACTGTGCCAGGTATTTTCATAATACTAACAATATAAGTTTTAAAGAGATAAGTTATCCTTTTAGGGAAGTTGCATGGGTAGAAAAAAGAGATCGAGAATTCACAATGAGTTTGTCCAGAGTCAGGAGTGGTGGTGGAAGGGAAGTTGTCCTTCATTCTTAAGTTTAAGGAGCCAAAGGAAGTAGAGGGAAAGGATAGAAAAAAAGAGCTAGGGGAATGAACCCAAGAAATGTTGATTATGAGAACTACTCAACTGAATATTCACAACCATGAGAAATATAGACTTGCTAGTTGGTCAGTTGAAAAGTTTCTGTGAGGGTAGCCTTACCCTGCAACTAAGGAATGTTGGCTGCAGGGTAATGCAGGGTGTTTGCTTTTGGACTTTTTGTCTTTTAGACCTTGCTTATTGAGACATTGCCTACTAAATCATGTTAATTCCAAGGGTCAAGAACAACAGCTTAGAAAATTGAGTACAGAAGAGACCTTTGATGTGTTCAAACTGTTTTAAGTTATCTGAGTTACCTGAGAATGTGCTTATTTACAAAGATTTACCTCAGTTGTATCTAGTTTGTACCTTAGATTTTTTTATAGCTTATAGTAAAGTTTAGTTGTAGATTTGCACTGACACTGCATATTAGATTATGAAAAACTTGAAAAGATTTTGAAATACCTTTTACCATTTTACTCTTGGGTAGAGGCAGGTGGCATCTTTTTATATTTTTTTCATTGAAACTTTGAAGATTATTGGACATATTATTTTGAGTGCAGTGTTTTTAATTTTAGGAAGTTATACTATGATGTATCTTGGTGTGAATTTCTTTTAGTTTACCCTGTTTGGGGTTTGCTTAGCTCTTCAATCTGTAGGTTTATGTCTTTTGCCAAATTTGGGAGATTTTCAGCCCTCATCTCTTTAAATACATTTTAGCCCCCACCTTCTACTCCTTTTCTTCTGGGACTCTAATGAAAGAAATGTTAGCTCTTTGGTTGTAGTCTCACAAGTTCCTGAGGCTCTGTTCATTTTTTCTTGAGGATTTTTGTCTGAATCTGCTCAATCTGCCATAACAAGATAGCATAGACTGACTGAGTGGCTCAAAAAAATATGTATTTCTAACAGTTCTGGAGGCTGGGACGTCCAAGATCAAGGTGCCTGCTGACTCTGCTTCTAGTGAGGGCTTTCCTCCTGGCTTACAGATAGCTGCCTTCTCACTGTGTCTTCTCATGTCTGTAGTGCATGCAGATGGGGGGCCAGTTGGGAAAGGGAGAGAGAAATAGCTCCCTCTTCTTATCAGTCCACCAGTTCTAGCAGATTAGGACTCTGCCCTTATTACCTCATTTAACCCTAATTACCCCCCTGAAAACCCTGTCTCCACATGAATTCACATTGGGGATTAGGACTTCAACAAAATTTTGGGGAAGAGGGGATACGTTTAGTCCATAAGATTCCACCCCAGCCCCCCACCGAATTTATGTCCTTCTGTGCAGAATACGTTTATTCCATTCCAACAGCCCCCAAAGCCCTAACTCATTCTAGCATTAGCTCTAAAGTCCAGACCTTCAGGTAAATATCACCTAAATCAGATATGGCTAAGACTCAAGATACAATTCATCCTGAGGCAAAATTACTCTGCAGCTGTGAACCTGTGAAACCAAACAAGTTATGTGCTTCCAAAATACATTTGTGATCTGGACATAATGTAGGCATTCCCATTCCACAGGGGGAGAAATAGGAAAGTAGGAGGAGGGATGCATCCTGAGCAAGTCTAAAACTTAGCAAGGCAAATTCCATTAGGCCTTCGTTTCGTCAGATCTTGTGAGAATAACCCTCTTTTGCTCAATGCTCTGCCTTCCAGATCCACTGGGGTAGTGGTCCTATCTCTGTGGTACTGCCAGGTAGCCCCTCTCCTAAGCCTCTGCAGGACAATTCTGCCCCTAAGTCTTCAGTTGGAGGCTTTCTGTTCTGTTGAGACCAGGGTGATGGTTCCACCCTTTGAAACAGGAGGCATCCCCAATGGTCTCTGAATTGCTTTCAGGATCATTCTCTTTTCTTGAAGGATAACACATATTCATAGACAAATGGCTCTCTAGTCTGGTTCTGTAGGATCTAAGAAGTCCTAAAGCCTGCCTTCATTTTATTTTGTTGTTTTTCTGTCCCCTTTAGTGCCAGGTGGCTGTGTTTCTGCTGTTATAATCCCATTTATATTCCTGGCTTCTCCTGGGGCTGCTAAACCCATCTGATCTATTTATCAAATGGTTGTTAAGCCACACTCTTAGTGTTTTCTTCGTAGCAAATTTTCCCATATTTTTGTGATATGGATAGAATTTTCAAATCTCTTTAATTGTGCTTCCTTGTTTCTTAACAGTTCCTTTTTCACTTAATGTCTCTCCTCTCACATTTTACTACAAGCACTAAGGGGACCCAAGCTGCACCTTCAGTGCTTTGCTTAGAAATCTCCTAAATAAACAGTTTCATCACTCTCAAGTTCTGCCTTTCAGAAAACACTAGAACAGTTCAGAGAAGTTCTTTGCCACTTTATAACAAGAACCACCTTTTTTTTTTCCAGTTCTAATAACATGTACCTCATTGCCATCTGAGACCTTGCCAGAGTGGCCTTTAATATCCATATCTCTAGCATGTACCTCAAAACTCTTTTAGCCTCTACCCATCACCCAGTTCCAAAGCTGCCTTCACATTTTGAGGTATTTGTTACAGCAGCATCCCCCTTCTGGGTACCAAAATCTCAATCTGCTTGGTCTGCCATAACAAAAATCCGTAGACTGGGCAGCTCAAACAACAGAAATTTATTTCTCACAGTCCTGGAAGCTGTAAGTCTAAAATCAGGGTCCAACAGCGTTCAGTTCCTGGCTTGTAGATGGTTGCCCTCTCACTGTGTTCTCACATGACCTTTTCTCAGTGCATAGGTGTGGAGAGAAATTGGATTGGGACCCCACCTTTAAGGTCTCTTTTAACCTTAATTACTTCCTCAGAACCTATCTCCAAATATAGTCACATTGAGGGTTAGGGTGTCAACAATGAATTGGGGTCGTGGGGACATAGTTCATAACAGTTTTCTCTCTTCAGATTGAGCATTTTCTTTTTTTTGTTTGTTTGTTTGAGAGGGAGTCTCGCTCTTGTCCAGGCTGGAGTGCAGTGGCGCGATTTCAGCTAACTGCAAGCTCCACCTCCCAGGTTCACGCCATTCTCCTGCCTCAGCCTCCCAAGTAGCTGGGCCTACAGGCGCCTGCTACCATGCCCGGCTAATTTTTTTTTTTTTTGTATTTTTAGTAGAGACGTGGTTTCATCATGTTAGCCAGGGTGGTCTCGATCTCCTGACCTCATGATCCGCCCGCTTCGGCCTCC
This sequence comes from Homo sapiens, assembly GCF_000001405.40. Lineage (NCBI taxonomy): Eukaryota > Metazoa > Chordata > Mammalia > Primates > Hominidae > Homo > Homo sapiens. Next base: position 95,219,265 of record NC_000002.12, read on the forward strand.
CAAAGTGCTGGGATTACAGGCATGAGCCACCGCCCCGGCCAAGTATTTTCTGTTTTTATATCTTCAAGTTCACTAGATCTTCCCTCTGTCCTTTTGATTCTGCTGTTGAGACCATCCTTGAGTTTTATTTCAGTTATTGTATTTTTCAGTTCCATTTGATTCTTTGTTCTGTTTCCTTGCTGAGAGCCTTTCTTTGCTTATTTTGTTTGTATTGAGCATGTTTGTAATTACTCATTGAGGCATTTTTGTGATGGCTGCTTTAAAATCCTTGCAGGTTATCCTAACATCTGTGTCATCTCAGTGTTGACATCTTTGGGTTATCTTCTCATTTAAGTTGAGATTTTCTTGGTTCTTGGTATGATGAGTGATTTTCAGTTGAAGTCTGGACATTTTGAGTATTTTGGTATGAGATTTGGTATCCTATTTAAGTCTTCTGCATTGACAGGCCTCCTCTGATACCACTGTGGTGGAGAAAGTGTTGCAGGGGGTGCTGCCTCATTACTTTAAGTTGGTGTTGGAAGTCCAGGTTCACCATTGACCTCTAATGACTCCTGGGGCAGGTGTCCTTAATACTGCTCGGCAAGGGTGGGATTTATAGCTCCCCACTAGGCCTCTGCTGACACCACACTGGCTGGGGAAGATCAGGAATGCCTTGTTATTGCTACTTACATGGCCTCGATTGACAGCATGCTGTGGGGTTGAGGGTAACATCATTACTATTGGGAATTGGTATAAGTCCTGACCCCCCACTTGGCTTCCACTGAAACCACACCAGTAAGGAAGAAGAGAGATGGCTCTGGGTAGGGGGGACGCTGCCAGGGCAATGTGTGGGGAGGGGTGGGTTTTAGAAATCTGTCTGCTCAGTTGGTCTTCTCTGATACCACCCCAGGGTAAAGGTGGAGGACTGAGGAGCCTTGTTACAGCCTGGTGAGGGTGGAAGTATAGGCGTTTGTTGGCGGGGATAGGACCATAGCTTTCTTCTGTGGTCTTTGAAGTAGGATTGTGGTTTTCTAAACATTTTCTGTCTTGCTAGGCTGCTCCCTTCCCAGTCCTTTGGCTAAAAAAAGCAGATTTTTCTTGGGGCTTTTTTTTTTTTTTTGGTCTGTGCCTGTTGGCGTTTCCGGGTTGCCAGCTTCTCTAGAACCCGATCTGGGATAGATGAGGCAATAAGAAAGCCCAAGAAAGTCACTGCTGTGTTCTTCCTCAGGTTCTGAGGTCCCTGGCCAGTCCATTCTCTCTCCACCTTTTAGAACTTTCTTATGTTTGCTTTGTATATAATATCCCGGATTTTTAGTTGTAGTTAGTGAGAGCGATAGGAGAAAGTAGTGCTCCACCTTTCCCGTGACATCCTGGTGCTTGACACTGAAATCACACATCAAGTTGTGGTATATATAGGGTTTGTGGTATATAACCTAAGGGTTTGTGGTATATACAGGTCATTTGTCCTGAAGATAAGCTGCCAATTTGATAGGTAGAAACTATCAGCCTGCTTCATCTAGCTTTGAAGGAACAATAGTTTATAAATTGAGGAAACACCAGTATTTAATTGTAGGTTATAAACTGGAGAAGAATAGCTATGACTAAGAATATAAACTATAGGGTTACATTTTTTTATTTGTATTTTTGTTTGAAAAACATATGAGAAGCACTGGAGAACTGGACTCAGAATTTTGGATTTTTTTACAATTATATATTATGTACATGTGGCTATCTGTTCACTTTAATTTGCCATATGACATATGATATCATAGAGAATCAACAAAATAAAGAATGAAAATAACTGAGATTTGGGACAAGTCACCTTCATCCTTTGAAATCTGTTTCCTCATAGATATATGTTTTAAAATTTAATGCCTACTTGAGAATGATTGCAAGAGTTAGGTCGAAAATGGATGCAAATGTGGTTTGTAAGCTATCAGGTGCTACGTAACTATTAGGTATTATTCATATAGTCATTTAGAAGACATATCCATCATGTATGCTTCACAGTGGTGTAGCCCAATAAAAACAACTGTGAATATAATGGAATGAGGCTTTTTATCTTTTTAAGTAAGTTTTCTGGGATCCTGTTAAAATCTGCATCTTTTGAGATAATCATATGGTTCCTTTTAATCTATTAATGTGGTAAAGTACATTGATTTTCTGATGTTAAAGAATCCTCGCACTTCTGGGATGCAATTTCGTGATTTTTTTCTCCATCTCTGGGGGAGTTTGTGTCCCTTGAATTTTAGTTGCATTCATCTGTTAAACTGGGATTATTGTGTTTGTAGTGTGTGGTATGGTTGGTTTTAGGGGCTATTTAGATTTACTGTTTCTTCTAGAAAGTTGTAGGTTTTTCTAAAAATGTATCCTTTTTGGTCATCGAGTTGTTTAAAATATTTTTATTTTCAAGTACTTGTTCTATTTGAACTTAGTCCCTTTTTTCTTTCCTGATATTGCTTATTTGTATCCTCTCTTGGTAATGTTTCTAGAGATGTGTCAACTTTACTAGTCTTTTAAAATAACTGACTTTTTGAACTTTTGCAAAAATCAACTTTTATCAAAGTGCACAATAAAATTCACCCACTTAAAGGTGTTTGCTATGTTTGACGAAGATATTACCCTTGTAACTACCACCATAATTGTGTGTGTGGTTATAATAGTTCCTTCTTCTCCTCCTCCCTCCCTCTCTCTTCCTCCTCCCTATCTTCCTCCTTCTCCTTTCACCCCTTTCTCTTTCTTCCTCCCTTCTTCCTTTCTTCCTTCCACAGTTCTGTCTTAAAATGACCTATGTAGACTTGTGTCACCATCACCACAAAGGGTACAGAACAATTCCACTGCACCAACAAATTCCACCTGTGCTGCTTTTTTTTAAGAGTGGCTCCCCACCCCGCATTGAGTATAAAGGCTTTGATTTTCATCAGTGTTGTGTCATTTATTCATTTTTATTGCTGAGTAGTTTTCCATGTTAGGTACCACAATATTCTTAGCCATTAACCCACTGAAGCACATTTAGGTTGTTTATAATTTTTAGTGATTATGAATAAAACTATTAGAAACATTAGGTTTTTGTATGAACATAAATATTCATCTCTGTAGGGTAAATATTGGAGTGAAATGGTTAGGTCATATGGTGAGTGTATGTTTACCTTTGTAACACAGGGCCAACCTTTTCCAGAATGATTAATTTTGTTTTCCCACCAGCAACGTATGAAGATGTGGTTGCTCCATAATTTGCCAACACCAGGTATTCTCATTGTTTTTATTTTATCCATTCTAGTAGATGTGTAGTGGTATCTCAATGTGGCTTCAATTTGCATTTCCTTAGTGACTAATGATGTTGAGCATCTTTTCGTGTGCTTATTGTCCATCTGTGTATCTTTGATGAAGTGTTCAAATCTTTTGCCATTTTAAAAGAATTCTATTGTTTGTTTTCCTAGTTTAGTTTTGTAGTTTGTGGCTTGTCTTTTTATTCTCTTTTATTCAATTTTTATTTCAGTGTCTTTTATAAAGCAAAGGTTTTAAATGTTAATGAAGTCCAGTTTTTCCCTCTATGGACCATACTTTGGTGTCATATTTAAGAACCCCATCCCTAACTAATGTTTAGGAAATTTTTCTTCTAGTAGCTTAATGATAATGTTTTTCACTTACATCCATTTTAGGTAATTTTTATATAAGGTGTTAAATAAAGGCCCAGCTCATTGTTTTTACATGTGGTTATCCAGATGTTTCAGCATCATTTGTGGAAAACATAGTGTTTCTCCATTGAATTGCCTTTGCCCTTTTGTCAACAATTGATTGATCATAGTTAAGCGGGTCTGTTTCTCAGTTTTCTGTTCTATTCCATTGATCTATGTGTCCATCCCTTTGCCAAAGCCACACATTGTCTTGATTACTGTAGCTTTGTAGTAAATCTCAAAATCAGGTAATGTAAGCCCTTCAAATTTATTCTTTTTCTAATTTATATGTTTCCACTGTCATATATTTGTCTATATATTATGTCAAGTTTTACTTTATATATTTTGACACTCAGTTGTTATCCAAATACAGGCTAAGAATTGTCAAATCTCTGGTGATTTGAATGTTTTCCCATTATGTAGCAACTTTCTTTAAACATAAGAATACTTTATAACAGATAATATTGGGGTTTTTTTGGGGGGGAGGAGGTTTGAAACAAGGTCTCACTCTCTCACCCAGGCTGGAGTACAGTGGTGGTGCGATTTTGGCTCTTTGCAACCTCAACCTCCTGGGCTCAAGCAGTCCTTCCACCTCAGTCTCTCGAGTAGCTGGGATTACAGGCATGCACCACCACACCCAGCTAAATTTTTTGCATCTTTTGTAGAAATGGGGTTTCACCATGTTGGCCAGGCTGGTCTTGAAATCATGAGCTCAAGCAATCTGCCCACCTTGGCCTCCCAAAGTGCTGGAAATACAAGCATGAGCCACTCTGCTCCACCACAGACTTATTGAGATATAATTTATATACCATAAAATTCATCCATTTAAAATGTACAATTCAGTGCACAGAGTTGTATGACCATCACCACAATAAATCTTAGAACATTATCACCTCTAAAATAAAACTTTTAGCTATAACTTCTGCTATGGTCTGTATGTTTGTGTACCCTCGAAATTCATAAGTTGCAATCCTAACCCCTAAGGTGATGGCATTAGGAGATGGGGCCTTTGGGAAGTGATTAGGTCAAGAGGGCATAGCCCTCATGAATGAGCTCAGTGCTCCTATGAAAGTGGCCCCAAACAGATCACTCACCCCTTCTCCCTTGTGAGGACACAATGAAAAGACAGTCATCTGTGAGCTAGAAAGTGGGTTCTCACTCACATTTCATTATGCTGGTGCCTTGGACTTCCCAGCCTCCAGAACTGTAAGAAATCATTTATTGTTGTTTATAAGCTACTCAGTCTATGGTGCATTTGTTATGGCAGCTGGAACAGACTAAGGTAACTCCTAACTCCTCTATTCTCCCCAGCACTAGGCAACCATGAATACACTGTCTATGTTTGTAGATTTGCCTGTTCTGGACATTTCATATAAATGGAATCATACAGTCATCATACAGTATATGATCTGGTGTGGTTTGAAGGTGTATTAGCCCATTTTCACGTGCTATAAATAACCGGAAACTAAGTAAGTTATAAGGAAAAGAGGTTTAATTGGCTCACGGTTCCACAGGCTTTACAGGAGGCGTGGCTGGGGAGGCCTCAGGGAGCTTACAATCATGGGGGAAGGCAAAGGGGAAACAGGCTCATCTTACATGGCCAGAGCAGGAGAGGGGGAAAGGTGCCACACACTTTAAAACAACCAGATCTCATGAGAACTCTTATCACAAGAATAGCACCAAAGGGGGAAATCTGCCCTCATGATCCAATCGCCTCCAATCAGGTCCCACCTCCAACATTGAGGATTACAATTTGACATGAGATTTGGGCAGGGCCACAGACCCAAACCATATCAGAATGTGTCCCCTAAAGTTCATGTGTTGGCAGCTTGATCCCCAGTGAGGTGGTTCTGGGAGGTAGGGCCTAATGGGAGGTCAATGGATTATGGGGCCACCACCCTCATGAATGGATTAATACTATTCTCGTGAGAGTGGGTCTGTTATCACAGGAGTGGGTTCCTTACAAAAGAACAAGTTTGGCTCCCTCTTGCTCCTCTATTGCCCTCTCTTTGCCCTTTGGCCATGGAATGATGCAGCAAGAAGGCCCTCAACAGATACTAGCTCCTTGATTTTGGACTTCCTAGGCTCCAGAACGGTGAGGAAATAAATTTCTATTCGCTATAAATTACCCATTATAGCATTCTGTCATAGCAGCACAAAAGGGGCTAAGACATGGTCTTTGTGATTGGCTTCTTTCACTTACCATAATGTTTTCATAAGGTTTATGTTATAGAATATATTAGTGCTTCATTTATTTTAAAAACATTCTTTCCTTTTTTAAAAAAATCTCAAATGTGATAGTACTTTTTTTATGTGGTAAAAAACACATAACATAAAATTTACCCTCTTAACCATTGTCTTAGTTTGTTTTGTGCTGCCATAGCAGAATACCACAGATGGTAGTTTATAAGGGTGGAAAATTTATTGCCTCACAGTTCTGGAGGCAGGGAAGTTCGAGATCAAGGGGCTAGCATCTGATGAGGCCCTCCTTGCAGCATCATCCCATGATGGAACATGGAAGGGTAAGAGAGACAGCAAGAGGAGACTGAACTCACGCTTTTGTAATGGCACCAGTTGCACCCACAAGGGTGAAGCCCTCATGGCTTAATCACCTCTTAAAAGGTCCTGCCTCTTTAAACTCTTAACACCGGCAATTAAATTTCAACATGAGTTTTGGAGGGGGTAAACATTCAAACCATAGCATTCCACCCCAGCTCCCCAAAACTTTAGTCCTTTTCACATACAAAATACATTCATTCCATCCCAATATCCCCAAAAGTCTTAACTGATTTCATAATCAACTTCAGATTCCAAAGCCCAGAGTCTCATCTAAAATCAGATATGGGTGAGACTCAAATCACTATTCATCCTAAGGCAAATTTCCAGCTCTGAGCCTGTGAAATTAAACAAGTTATGTGCTTCTGAAATACAATGGTGAGACAGTCATAGGATAGACATTTGCAATGCAAAAAGGAGACACAGAAAAAAAGAGAGGAGATCCTAAGCAAGTCCACTCTGTGGCTTTCCTGGGCTCAGTTCACACAGAAGCTCTCATGGGTTGAAATCTTGTTCCTGCAGCTCTCCCAGGCTGGTGTTGCACACTGGTAGCTCTACAGTTCTGGGGTCATGGGAATGGCCCTGCCCCCACAGCTCTTCTAGGCCTAGTGGGGGACTTTATGCAGTGGCTCTGATCCCACAGTTCCACTGGGCATTGCCTTAGTGGGGTCTCTTTACAGTGGCTCCACCCCTGTAACAAGCCTCTGCCCCAGGCTGTTCATGACATCCTTGGAAATCTAGGGCTACATTTAAGATCAGGTCATCTGCAGATAATTTTATTTCTTCCTTTCCAATTTATTGCTTAATTACTCTTACTAGGACCTCTAGTACTATGTTGAATAGAAGTTAGTCTGGTGAGGATCGGTAGCTGATAAATTGTCAGTTTCTGTTGACTGATGACATTTCTGTTTCTGTTTGACATTTTTGCCTCAGTTCCTGAAATGTATTTTCACTGGATGTTAAGTTCTAGGCTGCTGTTATTTTTCTCTCATCTCTTTAAAGACAGTGTCCTACTTTGGTTCGACTTAGCTTCTTATGGTTTTATAATCATGAATTGTGAGCTTACGTTTTACTGGCCTTAGTATGTAGGGATTCTGGAAGGCCTGTGTTGTGGGGTGTTTCTCTGAAGAAGAATTAAATAAATTTATTTCTTGAATTGAGATTTCCTGGACTAAGCAGGAAACATTACCTCAAATGCCAAACTCTCCTTGGGACAGGTCTGTGGTTATTGACTCACTAAGGGAAGAACACCCCATTCCCAACTCTCATCACCAAGTGTGGGGTTGCTTAGGCCCACGTGTCCCTGTGGGCCCCCATTTTTAGTGGTTAGATGCATTTTCTACCACCTGTTTCACTAAGGGTCTCAATCCACTGTGGTGTCCTGGATCCAAATCACTGCCCTGTTCATGCCCAGGTTCTGGTCTCCTGGCTTAAGTGGCTCTTGAGTCCCAAAGTCCCAGGGAGTTAAGAGTAGCATGCAAGGCAGGAAATTTCTGGTTTCTTTTGTCCTTATAAATGAAGTATTTTATTAAATGAATTATTTTTCAAGACAATGAAATAATCGCTACCACAATTTATTGATATGGCCCTAGAAAGGAGGGACCTGAGGCTCCTCTCTCCTCCCTCCCCTCCCCTCCCTCCCTCCCTCCCTTCCTTCCTTCCTTCCTCCCTCCCTTCCTTCCTTCTTTCCTTCTCCTTGTTTTTTTCTTTCTAGCACATCTGCTTTATCTTTGTCTATGCATGTTTTCCTTTTGCTGAACTATTTGCGACAGGATTGCCGACATCATGACATTTTACTACTCATGTCCTGTATCTTACAAGAATATGTATCAGCATGTGTATTTTTTTATTTTATTTTATTTTTTGAGGCAGAGTTTCACTCTGTCTCCCAGGCTGGAATGCAGTGGCGCAATCATGGCTCACTGCAGCCTCAACCTTCTGGGCTCAGGTGATTCTCCCACCTCAGCCTCCCAGGTAGCTGGGACTATAAGTGCACACCACCATGCCCAGCTAATTTTTTTTTTTTTTGTAGAGACAGGGTTTTGCCATGTTGCCCAGGCTGGTCTCAAACTCTGGGCTCAAGTGATCACCTGCTTCAGCCTCCCAAAGTGCTGGGATTACAGGCCTGAGCCACTGCGCCCAGATATTTCATTTTCAGAGACAGGGTCTCTGCTCTGTTGCCCAGGCTGAAGTGCAGCAGCATGGTCATAGCTCAGTGTAACCTTGAACTCCTGGGCTCAAGCAATTCTCCTGCCTCAGCTTCCCGAGTATCTGGGATTACAGGCACACACCACCACATCCAAGTGATTTTTTTTTTTCTTTGTAGAGATAGGGTCTCGCTATGGTACACAGGCTGGTCTCAAACTCCTAGGCTCAAGCCATCCTGCCAAAGTGCTGGGATTATAGCATGTGTCTTCTATGAGCAAGTACATTCTCCAACATAATCGCAATGCTGTTATTCAACCCAAACAATCTAACTCTGATGCAAGATTACTGTCTAACACACAGTTAGTTTAAATTTATCCACAGTTATCCCCAAATGTCATGTACAGCTCCCTGTCCAATTTCCAATCAGTTGGGACACACTGCATTTATTTGTCCTGCCTCTTTAGTTTCCTTCAGTCTGGAATGGTCTTTCCACCTCGTTTTGTCTTTCATGACATTAATATTCTGAGAAGTCCAGACCAGTTGTTTTGTAGAATGTTCTACCATCTGCGTTTTCTGTCTATTTCCTCATGATTAGATCCAGATTAAGCAATTTTGACAAGAAATCTACACATGTGTGATTTTCATTAAATGACAGGAGGGCTGGGCTTGGTGGCTGTCCTCTGTAATTTCAGCTATTCAGGAGGCTGAGGCAAGAGGATTGCTTGAGCCTGGGAGTTCAAGGTTATAGTGAGCTAGGATCATGCCACTGCCCTCCAGCCTGGGAACAGAGTGAGACCCTGTTTTTAAAAAAATTTTTTTTGCATCACATCAAGAGACTCAAGATGCCAATTTGTCCTGTTCCTAATGCTAAATTTGATTACTTTGTTCACATGTTGTCCAAATTCTCTAGTTGTAATTAATAACTTTTCCCTTTGTACTTAATAAAATAATCTATGAATATCTTGGCTCCTAACAACTTTTCACCTAGTGTTTTTGCTTTCCATTGATGATACTTGCCTGAATCAATTATTACATTAGTGCCTACAAAATGGTGTTTTTATAATTCTGTTATTCCTCCCACATTTAGTGCAGGCATTCTCATGAAAAGAGGAGCTTTCTATCTCCACTTTCCACCTGGTGGTTTTCTTTTTTTAATATATTGTGAAAGGAAAATATCTTGGGCCCCCAAAATCATTAAGGAAAACTCAAGTTGGAAACTGCTTAGAGTAAACCTGCCTCCCATTCTATTCAAAGTTACCCCTCTGCTCACTGAGATAGATTCATATCTGATTTGCCTCTTTGGAAAGGCTAATCAGAAACTCAAAAGAATGCAACCATTTGTGTATCATCTGTCTGTGACCTGGAACCTCCCTCCCCACTTGCAGTCTTCCTGCCTTTTTTTCCAGTTGTCCCGCCTTTCCAGACCGGACCAATGTACTTCTTAATAGATTGATTGATGTCTCATGTCTTCCTAAAATGTGTAAAACTAAGCTGTGCCCCGATCACCTTGGGCATGTGTCGTCAAGACTTCCTGAGGCTGTGTCATGGGCATGTCCTCAACCAGGGCAAAATAAACTTTCTAAATTAACTGAGACCTGTCTCAGATTTTCCAGGTTCACGGTATCACTATGGGTCCATGGATTCCTTTTAAAGTTTTAATTGAGGGTTAACATTCGTAACATGTATAGATCTTCAGTATATGCTTGGTGAATTTTTACATGTCTATAAACCCAGGTAACAACTAACCATACAGACCCTTTTCATTCTGCTGGAAGGCTCCTCCATGCCCTTCCCTTCCCAGTTAATCCACCCCACGCCACCCCACCTCATTGTCCCAATGCCTCACCTCCCCATCCCTGTGGGTGATCACTGGTTTGGTTTCTATCTCCTCTACTAGTTTTATCTGTTTGAACATTATTTAAATAAGATCCTGTAGTATATACTCCTTTGTATCTGGCTTCCTTACCCCACATTTTGTATGATTCAACCATTCTGTATGTATCAGTTGTTCTTTTTCACTGATGGTGTGGTATTCCACTGTAGGAATATACTACAGTTTGTTTATTCATTCTACTGTTGATAGATAATTGAATTGTTTCCAGTTTGGGGGCTCTCATGAATATAAGTGCTATGAACATTCCTAGTAAGCATATGCATTTCTCTTGGGTACATATACCTAGGAGTAGAATTCCTGAGTCATAGAGCAGACAGATGTTTAGCTTTAGAAGATAATGTCAAATGGTTTTGACTTTACCAGTTTACAGCACCTCTGTCAGCTAGGCATGAGTTCCAGTTTGTCAACACTTTGTACTTTTAGTCTGTTACATTTTAACCATCTGGCTTATGTGCAGTGGTCTCTTCATACTGGTTTAAATTTTCATTTTTCTGTGGTATATATATATATATACCATGGAATAAAAGGAATGAAATAATGGCATTCACAGCAACCTGGATGGAGTTGGGGACCATTACTCTAAGCGAAGTAACTCAGGAATGGAAAACCAAACATTGTATGTTCTCACTTATAAGTGGGAGCTAAGCGATGAGGATGCAAAGACATAAGAATGATATAATGGATTTTGAGGACTCAGGGGGAAAGGGTGGGAAGGAGATAAGGGATAAAAGACTACACATTGGGTACAGTGTACACTGCTCGTGTGATGGGTGCACCAGAACCTCAGAAATTACCACTAAGGTACTTATCCATGTAACCAAACACTACCTGTTCCCTCCAAAATTTGAAATATAAATAAATAAAATAAATTTTCATTTTTCTGAGTATTACTAATGTTGATCACTTTTTCAAGTATTTATTGGATATTGGTTATATTCTCTTTAAAAGTGACTGAATCTTTTATCCATTTAAAAAAATTCAGTGTTTTTAAGTTGCTTTGCGGAAGTTCTTTATCTGTATTCTTAATGCAAGTCCTCTGGTAGCTGTCTGCATTGGGAACATTGTCTCCCAGCACTCAGCGATGGTGAGACGGGAAGTGGCAGACCCCCGCGCTGGCTCCTCCGTCGCCGCCTCTGGGTGCCTCCCTGCTTCCGATGGGATGGAGGTTTCAGGCTCACTTTGTTCTTTCCTTGCACCAAATCTGGAATCAGCCAAGGATCCTTGGTTCCTTTTAGTGAGGAATGACTATGTGTTTTTAAAGCTCTGGGGGTTGCTCTTATGTTTTCATGAGCTGATTTATGATGTTTTAATCCAGCATTTCCATTTTAAAGTGTGGGGAGTTGTAGAGAATGCCCACTTCACCCAGTGCTGACACGATAGTGTCTGTGAGTGCTTCTTAGCACTTATGTTGCTGCTTATGTACAATTGGACCCCTTCCAACCTAAAAAAATATAAGGAAGGTCTCACACTACTGGTGGGAAGATAAAAATGCTACTACCACTTTGGAAAATGGTTTGATAATTTCTTATAAAGATACCCATTGACCCAGCAATCTGACTCCTGGATGTTTGCCCGAGAGAAATGAACACATATGTTCACAAAAAGACTTCTTCAAGCATGTTCCTAGCAATGCTCTTCACAACTGGAAACAGCCCAAATGTCCATTAGCAGTATAATAGAAAAACAAATTACAGTGTATTCACACAATGGACTACTCAACAATAAAACAAATGAGCTCATTTCAAAACCTCATGTTGAGTGAAAGAAGTCAGAACACTACAGTACGTATTACATTATTTCATTTATATGAAACTCTAGAAAAGTCAGCACTGATCTATAGTGACAGAAAGTAGAAGAGTCACTGCTACTTTGAGGGGGACTGCCTGGGAAGGGGCAGAACAAACTTTCTAGGGCGATGACATTCCTTATCCTGATTGGGGTGTGCATACAACTGTGTATCTGTTTGTCAAAATTGTACAGTTAAGATTTACATATGCAATGTATATAAAATTTTCCTAAAATGCATATAAATATGCGAGAGTGTGTGTATAAATTATGTCTCCAAGTGTAAAACAAAAAGGAAGGACAGAAATATTAACTGCCTAGCAAAAGCTTGAAGTTGGCTGAGTAGATCAAGTTAATTTAACTCCAGGGGAACATTTGGCAAAAGGGGAAACTGGAGTTCTCTGTACTATTACTGAGCTTCAGGGCTGTCATCCAGGGGCTCAGCTTTGGTTTTACTTTTTTTTAGGGATTTGTTTGCTTCAAGAACTTCCCTGTAGTTCCGTTCAGCCTCACCAGGTGGCAGTGTCATATCAGCTAGGGGCCTGAGAAAGGTCAGCTCTCAGGAGACCCTGGTGCTCTCTGGAGCAGCTGGAGAGCGGGTGCTATTGTGTCATCATCAGTGGTCTTTGAGCAGACTATGACTCATACTCATTCACCAGGCTTAGCTGGACATTTTTTATCTTTTTCCAAAAATTATATCTGGGGCACAAATGTGTCACATTTGCAGGTATTCAAAAGACTGTGCCTGAGGCCCCATGGAAAGCTGGGTGGAGGAAGAGCTCCCAAATCCAACATGTAAGCTTCCCCGAAATGGAAGACTTGTGTGCGGCATGATTCCCTGTGGAGGGGTTTGGAAACATGGAAATGATTTCCCTCCACAGAGACGTACTTCTGCGACTTTCGATTTTACCGGGGGGCCCTGGGCTTCACTGATGATTATTCACATGTATTGAGCATTTACCATGCATCAGGCACTGTTTTAATTGTTGAACATACATGATATCATTTCTGGTCTAGCAGGTAGGGACTATGAATATCCCAATTTTTCAGGAGAAGAAACAGATACCAAGGGGCATTGTGACATTCCAGTGCTTGTGAGAAGGCAGCTGGCCTGACCAGACAGTCCACTCCAGGCTACAATCCAGGCAGGGCGCCTGGGACACTCCTAGCCTAGTGGCTGAGCAGAATGATAGGAGAGAGATTTTGGCAAACATTTCCATTACAGTATTTTGTTCTTCATCTCTTTAAAATCTTGGGTGGATTCCCCAGCTCAGTGTTTGTCTCTCTTGGTACATCTAGTGTACTTGGTGACATTGGAGCTTCCACTTACAGCCTATCTGCTTCAAAGCACACTGTAAGGAGGTCAGTCTCTTTAGAGGCTTTGTCTATGGACAGCAGCAACAACAGCAACAGGAAAAGGATTCTATTTTATCATCGTTACTTAGCACATGTTTGTACCCTGGTCTTTTAAATGCTAATATAGACTGCTTTGAATATACCTATATATACATGTATGTATATGTATGTATTTAAGGGAATAGAGTTGCAGAAATATTCCTCCATTCCCTCTTGCTCGTTGTGTGGTGGAGGACACATAATGGGTACTAAGTACAGGTTTGCGAGCTGAATGGCCTGTTGAATTCTTGGCAAAAGGCACCTGAAATTATGTTTAGCTCCCTAGTTAGTTTGCCTCATTATGTGGGATGTCCTGTTTCCTGCCTGATTGGTTTTGAAAGGCACTTTCCTGAGGGACGACTTCAGGTCACCTCCTGAGCCTCTGGTTTTATTTTCTGGAAGCACACCTTTGTCCAGAGTTTCTTTAAGGACTCCAAATTAGTTTTTTTGTTTTTGCTTTAGTTTTACACATACACACCAGACTTACATTTTATTTTTTCCTTTTCTTTTTTTTTTTTGGAGGCAGATTCTCACTCTGTCGCCCAGGTTGGAGTGCAGTGGTGCAATTATAGCTCACTGTGGTTTAGAACTCCGGGGCTCAAGCAATCCTCCCACCTCAGCCTCCCGGGTGGCTGGGACTACAGGCACGTGCCACTAGACCTGGCTATTTTTTGAAAAAAATAAAAACATCTCGGCCGGGCGCGGTGGCTCACGCCTGTAATCCCAGCACTTTGGGAGGCCGAGGCGGGTGGATCACGAAGTCAGGAGATGGAGACCATCCTGGCTAACACGGTGAAACCGCATCTCTACTAAAAATACAAAAAATTAGCCGGGCGTGGTGGTGGGCGCCTGTAGTCCCAGCTACTCAGGAGGCTGAGGCAGGAGAATGGCGTGAAACCGGGAGGCGGAGCTTGCAGTGAGCTGAGATCGCGCCACTGCACTCCAACCTGGGCGACAGAGCGAGACTCCATCTCAAAAAAAAAAAAAAAAAAAAAAAAAAAATCTCGCTATGTTGCCCAAACTGCTGTCAAATTCAAGCAATCTCCCTGCCTCGGCCTCCCAGAGTGCTGGGATTACAGGCATGAGTCACCACGCCTGGCCCTCCTTTGAAACTTCCCCCAACTCCTTTGAAATGTCTTGGGGGCTAATTTTTGTATTTTTTGTAGAAATGGTGTTTCACCATGTTGGGCAGGCTAGTCTGGAACTCCTAAGCTCAAGTGATCTGCCTGCCTTGGCCTCCCAAAGTGCTGGGATTACAGACATGAACCACTGTGCCTGGCTCATTTCTTAATTTTGAGAATAGGTCAGTTTTGTGAAATATGTGTGTCTTTTTTTGTTTTTTGAGACGGAGTCTCGCTCTTGTTGCCCAGGCTGGAGTGCAGGCGCGATCTCGGCTCACTGCAACCTCCGCCTCCCAGGTTCAAGCAATTCTGCCTCAGCCTCCTAGTTTTGTGAAATATGTGTGTCTTATTCCAGGAGGCAGTGGTGCAGGTGGGAGTAGGTGTCCATTTGGATGAGGTCTCCATATGGCGCCAGCAGTCAGGCGCTCAATGAGGAGCATTTATTTGGAAACAAAAGAAAAACAAAGTGGTTATTATGATTAGAAGAAGAACCCAGGAAAAGTAATTTCTCTCTCTGACATTTTCCTATCCCTCTTTCACCTGCCCAAGGCAGGACTCTAATCTGATTGTGGGTCTAAGACCTTCATTTCAGAGAAGGTCCTGCCTCACTCACCCTGGAAGAAGGAGTGCCGCACAGAGAGGCCAAGGAGACTCTGGACGGACGGGCCTGGCAGGGCTTCCCACTCGGTCTGTTAGCATTTGATCATGCTCTTCTTGTCCAATCACATTTCTACATGGTTGTTCAGGCTTCAGTCATGCCTATCCAATGAGGGTTCCATAAAAGGCCCAAGAGGACAGGGTAGGAGGTTCCAGATAGCTGAACACATGGGGGCTCACAGGAAGGTGAACAAAACTCTTTCCTGTGCCCAGAGGGTGGAGCACTCCAACTCCACGGGGGCCCTTCCAGACCTCACCCTGTATGTCTCCTCATCTGGCTGTTTACTTGTACCTTTTAAAATGTGCTTTGTAATAAACTGGTAAACAGAAGTGTTTCTCTGAAAACTAACCCTCTTTGGGTTTTATTATCGTAATTTGCTGGAGCAGCTCACAGGACTCAGGGAAACACATGAATCTGGTGGGTCAGAAGTTCCAGAGGTCTGGACTTGTGGCTGGTTAGAAGGAGGGGAGGGCCTTGTGGGAGTGAGTTCTCACCTTGTGGTTTCTTGGGCTATCTCTGGGTGGACAGCATCAGAATTGAACTGAATTGGAGGTCACCCAGCTGGTGTCCGCTGCACAACTCATTGCTTGCTTGGCATGTGGGGAGAAATCCCCACACATTTGGTCACAGAAGTCTTCTGTGTTGGTTATTGCTGAGGGAGAGAACAGGAAAAAGCAAACTGAGTGTTGTTTTTTTCCAGACTTTCACAAAGATTAATAATTGGACGCCTAGTCTCTGAGTTCAGAAGGCATCCAGTCAAGATTTCTAGAGTTGAGCTCAGAGCATCCTTGGATGATAGAATGGAGACAGCAGTTGTAGTTTAATGCACCTCCTGGTTTGCAGTTGGAATGTCTTCAGTTATAGCACTGGATGTTCCAGTAAACTTTTTTTTTTTTTTTTTTTGAGTCAGAGTCTAGCTCTGTCGCCCAGGCTGGGTGCAGTGGCGCAATCTCGGCTCACTGCAACCTCCACCTCTCGGGCTTACGCCATTCTCCTGCCTCAGCCTCCTGAGTATCTGGGACTACAGGCGCCAGCCACCATGCCTGGCTAATTTTTTGTATTTTTACTAGAGACAGGGTTTTACCATGTTAGCCAGGATGGTCTTGATCTCCTGACCTTGTGATCCGCCCACCTCGGCCTCCCAAAATGCCAGGATTACAGGCGTGAGCCACCACGCCCGGCCCCAGTAAACTTTCTCAGTGGCTCAGACAACAGCAGGCATGAAGTTTGTCCATATAGGATTTGTTGTGGTGATTTCTCTGAAGTTTATATCAAGTGGTCAAGTTTAGTTTGTTAGGGTTTCAGGAAAAGGGAAGTTTTACTTTTTAATGACTCCAAATCAGAAGGGCGGGAGAAAAATTGGAAATGTATAAAACCACAGGAGCCAGTTCAAAAGAGGAAGAAGCTCAAAGGTGGTGAATACAGTACTGTTCAACGCCTCCCCAGAGGTTGCAGCTTTAGTTGAAACAGAACTGTCTTCCTACAATCACCTCCATTTTCATCAGAGATCTCCTGAACTGCTTGGGCCCACTAGGAAGTAGCCTTCTTTATTCACCTGGAAGGCAGGGGACTCTGTGGGCAAGGAGTCAGGCTGGTTTAGTCAGGGGGCTTTACTGATTCCACGAAGTCACCTCTAGTTCCTTAAATCTGTCTGGTCATATCTGAAAATAGGACATTCCAGTCAAAGCCTTGGCAATATAGTTAATGTTTTCAAATTGTGTCTTGTTTTAGATTCTTGTTGAACCTATGCAAACAACTATATTGCCATAAAAATAAGAATACTCAAAGTTTCCAGAATTCTGGAGGAATCAAGTAGGAAGTAAAGGAGAAATGTCTCAACGTTATTTACAAAGGTATAATTTACCAGACTGCTGTAAGGTATAGATAGCTTAAGAGAAAAGAGAAAAGAGTTTCCTTAAATATGGTAAACAAGACATTAAAGAATCACCAATGTTTTAAACAGTTATAAAAACTACAATCATCTTCTTTGGTTCATTTAGTTCCATGTAATTAATTCTCGTTCTGCTCTATCTTGGATTAGCAGTTTTCTGAATCCATCCATTTTTTTCATTAGAGCTGTGGAAATTTTTACCACATTCAGTGGTATGATCTGAACATTGTCAGGAGCCTGTATCATTGCATAGTACTTGTCAGAGTCTTTCCATGAATCTCTTTGAAGATGAAACACTTTTGTCTGTAGCTGGTTGTAAGAGCTTTCAGGAAAGCATCAGAGTATAACAACTGTCTGTGATAGACAAAACAAACAAACAAAAAATAACAACCTTCTAGAATAGTCATGATTGAGGATATGGTGAGAGTTTACTATAATAGAGTTGGCAAGAAAATTTTATTATTTCTGTGGAATACAATACCTTAAGATACATAGAATTATGACTGATTATATGGACACTAAGGGCATTGAAAAATTTCTAGGAATTTCACATACAGGCATATGTCATTTTTATTGCACTTTGATTCTTTATTACACTTTGCAGATATTGTGTTTCTTACAAATGGAAGGTTTGTGGCCACCCTGCATGGGCACAATTTATCCAACAGCATGTGCTCCCTTCGTGTCTCTGTGTCACATCTTGGTAATTCTCACAATATTTTAAACTTTGTCACCATTGTTGGATCTGTTATGGTCATCTATGATCAGTGAGCTTTTTTTTTTTTTTTTTTATTTTGAGACTAGAGTCTCCCTCAGTCACCCAGGCTGGAGTGCAGTGGCGCGATCACGGCTCACTGCAACCTCCACCTCCTGGGTTCAAGTGATTCTCCTGCCTCAGTCTCCCGAGTAGCTGGGACTACAGGTGCCCACCACCATGCCTGGCTAATTTTTGTACGTTTAGTAGAGACAGAGTTTCACCATGTTGGCCAGGCTGGTCTTGAACTCCAATCAGTGATCTTTAATGCTATTATTGTAGCTGTTTGGGAGCACCATGAACCGCCATTAAGATGGTGAACTTAATTGATAAATGTGTGTTCTGACTGTTCCTCTGACCAGACACTCCCCTCCCCACCTTCCTAGGGCCTCCCTATTTCCCTGAGACACAACAGTATTGAAATTAGGCCAATCAATAACCCTACAATGGCCTCTAAGTGTTCAAGAGAAAGGAAGAGTCACATGTTTCTCATTTTAAATCAAAAGCTAGAAATGATCAAGCTTAGTGAGGAAGGCATGTCCAAAGCCGAGACAGGCTGAAAGCTAGGCCTGTTGCACCAAACAGTTAGCGAAGTTGTGAATGCAAAGGAAAAGTTTTTGAAGAAAATTAAATGTGCTACTCTAGTGAACATTGAAATGATAACAAAGCAACACAGCCTTATTGCTGACATGGAGAAAGTTTGAGTGGTCTGGATAGAAGATCAAGCCAGCTGCAATATTCCTTTAAGCCGAAGCCTAATCCAGAGCAAACCTTGAATTCTATGAAGGCTTAGAGTGGTAAGGAAGCTGTAGAAGAAAAGTTTGAAGCTACCAGAGGTTGGTTCCTGAGGTTTAAGGAAAGAAGCCAGCTCCATCACATAAATTAAGTGCAAGATGAAAGCAGCCAGTGCTGACAGAGAAAATGCAGCAAGTTATCCAGGATATTTAAGATCATTGATGAAGGGGGCTACACGCAACAACAGATTTGCAATGTAGACAAAACAGCTTTTTATTGGAAGAAGATGCCATCTAGGACTTTCATAGCTAGAGAGAAGTCAATGTGTGGCTTCAAAACTTCATGGGACAGCCTGACTCTCTTGTTAGGGCTAATGCAGCTGGTGACTTTAAATTGAAGCCAGTGCTCATTTGTCATTCTGAAAATCCTAGGGCCCTTAAGCATTGTGTGAAATCTACTCTGTCTGTGCTCTATAAATGGAACAACAAAGCCTGAATGACAGCACATCTGTTTATAGCATGGTTTACTGAGTATTTTAAGCCCAGGGCTGAGACCTACTGCTTAGAAAAATGTTACTGCTCATTGACAGTGCACCTAAACACCTCAGAGCTCTGATAGAGATGCACAAGGAGATTAATATTTTCATGCCTGCAAATACAACATCCACTCTGAAGCCCATGGATCAAGGAGTGATTTCAACTTTCAAGCCTTACTATTATTTAAGAAACACATTTCGTAAGGCTATAGCTGCCACAGTAATTCCTCTGATGGATCTGAACAAAGTAAATTGAAAGCCTCTGGAAAGGAGTCACCATTCTAGATGCCATCAAGAACATTCGTGATTCATGAGAGGAGATCAAATATCCACATTACTGGGAGTTTGGAAGAAGCTGATTTCAGCTCTCATGGATGACTTTGCAGGGTTCAAGCCTTCAGTGAAGGAAGTAATTGATGATATGGCAGAGAGAGAAAGAGAACTAGAATTAGAAGTGGAGCCTGGGCCAGGCGCGGTGGCTCACGCCTGTAATCCCAGCACTTTGGGAGGCAGAGGTGGGTGGATCACCTGAGCTCAGGAGTTCGAGACCAGCCTGGCCAACATGGTAAAACCCCGTCTCTACTAAAAATACAAAAATTAGCAGGGCGTGGTGGCGCGTGCCTGTAATCCCAGCTACTCAGGAGGCTGAGGCAGGAGAATCGCTTGAACCCAGGAGGTGGAGGTTGCAGTGAGCCGAGATCACACCACTGCACTCCAGCCTGGGTGACAAGAGCAAAACTCCGTCTCAAAGGAAAAAAAAAAAAAAAAAAGTGGAGCCTGAAGATGTGACTGAATTGGAATTGTTGCCAATCTCATGGTAAAGCCTGAACAGACAGTTGCTTCTTGTGGATGAGCAAAGGAAGTAGCTTCTTGAGATGGAATCTACTACTCCTGGTGAAGATGCTGTGAACACTGTTGAAATGACAACAAAGGATTTAGAATGTTACATAAACTTAGTTGACAAAGCTGCAGCAGGGTTTAAGAGGAGGGACTCCAATTTTGAATGAAGTTCTACTGTGAGTAAAACACTATCAGACAGCATGCTACACAGATATTTTGTGAAAGAAAGAGCCAATTGATGTGGCAAACTTCACTGTTGTCTTATTTTAAGAAATTGTCACAGCCACCCCAACCTTCAGAAACCACCGACCTGATTAGTCAGCAGCCATCATCATTGAGGCAAGACCCTCCACCAGCAAAAAGATAGTTTTTTGTTTTTTTTTTTAGATGGAGTCTCACTCTGTCGCCCAGGCTGGAGCACGTCTAGCTCTGTCACCCAGGCTGGAGTGCGATAGTGCAATCTTGGCTCACTGCAACCTCAGCCTCCTGGGTTCAAGCAATTCTCCTGCCTCAGCCTCCCTAGTAGCTGGGATTACAGGCATCTGCCACCACACCCAGCTACTTTTTTTGTATTTTTAGTAGAAACAGGGTTTCACTATGTTGGCCAGGCTTGTCTTGAACTCCTGACCTCAGGTGATCCACCCACCTCGGCCTCCCAAAGTACTGGGATTACGGGTATGAGCCACTGTGTCTGACCTACGGGATAGTTTAAACATAACTTATATGCACTAGGAAACAAAAAATTTGTGTCACTTGCTTTATTGCAATATTTAACATATCAAATAAGCTTAAGTAGTCTAGTAGATCTACTTTTATAAGATGAGAAACAAATCCTTTAAGATCTTCCAGGGGTTCTCTGGGAAATTCCGAAGTTAGTTCAAGGTTGAAAAAAAAAAAAGACTTTATTTAGAATTTGGTTTTGGGGAGGAGCAAAGATGTCCAGTTAGAAGCAGCTGCGGTTTGCAGCACTCATGGAGAGGAATGAAAGGAGCAAGTTAATACAGCACCTTCAACTGAAATATCCAGGTTCTCACATTGGGAGTGACTAGGCAAATGACTTGACCCATGAAGAATGAAGAAAAGCAGGGTGGGGCAATGGCCCACACAGGAGCAGCACAGAGCCAAAGGAACCCCCACCCCCAGCCAAGGGAAGCGGTGAGTAATTGTGTGACCCCACTCGGGAAACCATGCTTCTCCCATGGATCTTTGCAACTTGTGGATCAGGAGATCCCCTCGTGAGCCCACACTACCAGGGCCTAGGGTCCAATACACAAAGCTGTGTGGAGTCTCAGCAAAGCAGCAACTCAGGCATACACAGAGACCCAGGAGTTTTACATACTCCAGCCCTGGGATCCCCAGCAAGGCGGGAGGTCCACTCGTACATACCTCTAGAAAGGGTGCTGAATCCAGGGAGCCAAGCAGTATCATTCTGCAGGCCCCACTTCCATGGCATCTCTTAAGATAAGACCCACTGGTTTGGAATTCCAGCCAGCCAACAGCAACTGGCTGGAGTCTGCCTGAGACAGGACAGAGTTCCCAGGGGCGGGGCAGCTGAACCACCTCTGTGGTTCAGTCAACTCAGCCGTTCCAGCCTGTCCAAATGGTGCGGAAGAGGAAGTGTCCCCCACAATGCAGCATAGCTGCTTTGCCAGATCATGGCCAGACTGTTTTAAGCAGCACCTTGATCCATTCCTCCTCACTGGGTGGGACCTCCCTGCAGGGGCTTTAGCCACTCCAGCCAGGGTTATACGAACAGAGCTCTGATCTCTCCCAGGGATGGAGCTCCCAAGGGGAGGGACAGCTATCTCTGTGATTTGGTCGACTCAGCCATTCCAGCCTGTTGGCTTTGGAGAGTCCAAACTGTCCAGACCTGGAAGTGTCCCCACCCCACTGCCCCCAAAGCAGCACACCTGCTCTACCAAAAAGCAGCCAGACTGCTTCTTTAAGTGGATCCCTAATCCCATTTCTCCTGACTGGGTGAAACCCCCCCAACAAGCATGTTTGGGCCGGCAACAGGTCAGCACCCCCCTGGGATGGAGCTTCCAGAGTAAAGAGCAGGCTGCCATCTTTGCTGTTTCATAGCCTTCACTGGTGATATCTCCAGGCACAAGAAAAACTGAGGCAACTAGGGTTTGGAGTGGACCCCAGCAAACCGCAGCAGCCCTAAAGAATACTGGCCTGATTATTAAAAGAAAAACAAACAAACAGAAAACAAAACAACATCAACAAAAAAGACCCCACAAAAATCCCATTCAAAGGTCAGCAACCTCAAAGATCGAAGGTAGCTAAGCCCACAAAGATGAGAAAAAAATCAATGCAAAAGTGCTGAAAACTCAAAAAGCCAGAGTGCTTTGTCTCCTCCAAATGACCACAACACCTCTCCAGCAAGGGCACAGAATTGGGCTGAGGCTGAGATGGCTGAAGAGACAGAAGTAGGCTTCAGAAAGTGGGTAATAACAAACTTTGCTGAGCTAAAGGAGCATATTGTAACCCAATGCAAAGAAGCTAAAAATCATTATAAAATGATACAGGAGCTGACAGCCAAAATAGCCAGTTTAGAGAGGAACATAACTGACTTGATGGAGCTAAAAACACAACATGAGGACTTCACAATACAGTTACAAGTATCAATAACAGAATAGACCAAGCAGAGGAAAGAATCTCAGAGCTCAAAGGCTATCTTTCTGAAATGAGACAGGCAGACAAGAATAGAGAAAAAAATAATGAAAAGGAATGAACAAAACCTCTGAGAAACATGAGGTTATGTAAAGAGACTGAAGTTACGACTGATTGGGGTACCTGAAAGAGATAGAGAGAATGGAACCAAGTTGGAAAACATACTTCAGGATATCATCCAGGAGAACTTCCCCAACCTAGCAAGATAGGCCAACATTCAGGAAATGCAGAGAACCCCAGTAAGATACTCCATGAGAAAATCAACTCTAAGACATATAATCATCAGATTCTCCAAGGTCAAAGTGAAAGAAAAAATGTTAAGAGCAGCCAGAGAGAAAGGCCAGGCCACTTACAAAGGGAAGCCTATTAGACTAACAGCCGACCTCTCAGCAGAAACCTTACTGGCCAGAAGCAATTGGGGACCAATATTCAACATTCTTAAAGAAAAGAATTTCCAACCCAGAATTACATATCCAGCCAAACTAAGCTTCATAAGCAAAGGAGAAATAAGATCCTTTTCAGACAAACAAATGCTGAAGGAATTCATCACCACCAGGCCTGCCTTGCAAGAGCTTCTGAGGGAAGCACTAAATATGGAAAGGAAAAACTGTTACCGGCCACTACAAAAACACACTGAAGTACACAGACCAGTGACACTATGAAGCAATTGCATAAACAAGTCTGCAATATAACCAGCTAGCATCATGATGACAGGATCAAAGTCACAAATAACAATACTAACCTTAAATGTAAATGGGCTAAATGCTTCCAATTAAAAGACACAGACTAGCAAGCTGAATAAAGAGCCAAGACCCATCAGTATGCTGTCAAGAGATCCATCTCATGTGCAAAGACACACATGGGCTCAAAATAAAGGGATGGAAGAAAATTTACCAAACCTGGAGTCCCTCTCCCTCTCCCTCTCCCCACGGTCTCCCTCTCCCCACGGTCTCCCTCTCACTCTCTTTCCACGGTCTCCCTCTGATGCCCAGCCGAACCTGGACTGTACCCCTGCCATCTCGGCTCACTGCAACCTCCCTGCCTGATTCTCCTGCCTCAGCCTGCCGAGTGTCTGCGATTGCAGGCGCGCGCCGCCACGCCTGACTGGTTTTCGTATTTTTTTGGTGGAGACGGGGTTTCGATGTGTTGGCCAGGCTGGTCTCCAGCTCCTAACCGCGAGTGATCCGCCAGCCTCGGCCTCCTGAGGTGCCAGGATTGCAGACGGAGTCTCGTTCACTCAGTGCTCAGTGGTGCCCAGGCTGGAGTGCAGTGGCGTGATCTCGGCTCGCTACAACCTCCACCTCCCAGCAGCCTGCCTTGGCCTCCCAAAGTGCCGAGATTGTAGCCTCTGCCCGGCCGCCACCCCGTCTGGGAAGTGAGGAGCGTCTCTGCCTGGCTGCCCATCGTCTGGGATGTGAGGAGCCCCTCTGCCTGGCTGCCCAGTCTGGAAAGTGAGGAGCGTTTCTGCCCGGCCGCCATCCCATCTAGGAAGTGAGGAGCGCCTCTTCCCGGCCGCCATCCCATCTAGGAAGTGAGGAGCATCTCTGCCCGGCCGCCCATCGTCTGAGATGTGGGGAGCGCCTCTGCCCTGCCGCCCCGTCCGGGATGTGAGGAGCGTCTCTGCCCGGCCGCCCCGTCTGAGAAGTGAGGAGACCCTCTGCCTGGCAACCGCCCCGTCTGAGAAGTGAGGAGCCCCTCAGCCCAGCAGCCGCCCCGTCTGAGAAGTGAGGAGCCCCTCCGCCTGGCAGCCACCCCGTCTGGGAAGTGAGGAGCGTCTCCGCCCGGCAGCCACCCTGTCCGGGAGGGAGGTGCGGGGGTCAGCACCCCGCCCGGCCAGCCGCCCCGTCCGGGAGGTGAGGGGCGCCTCAGCCCGGCCGCCCCTACTGGGAAGTGAGGAGCCCCTCTGCCCGGCCACCACCCCGTCTGGGAGGTGTACCCAACAGCTCATTGAGAACGGGCCATGATGACAATGGCGGTTTTGTGGAATAGAAAGGGGGGAAGGTGGGGAAAAGATTGAGAAATCGGATGGTTGCCGTGTCTCTGTAGAAAGAGGTAGACATGGGAGACTTTTCATTTTGTTCTGTACTAAGAAAAATTCTTCTGCCTTGGGATCCTGTTGATCTGTGACCTTACCCCCAACCCTGTGCTCTCTGAAACATGTGCTGTATCCACTCAGGGTTGAATGGATTAAGGGCGGTGCAAGATGTGCTTTGTTAAACAGATGCTTGAAGGCAGCATGCTCGTTAAGAGTCATCACCACTCCCTAATCTCAAGTACCCAGGGACACAAACACTGCGGAAGGCCGCAGGGTCCTCTGCCTAGGAAAACCAGAGACCTTTGTTCACTTGTTTATCTGCTGACCTTCCCTCCACTATTGTCCTGTGACCCTGCCAAATCCCCCTCTGCGAGAAACACCCAAGAATGATCAATTAAAAAAAAAAAAAAAATTTATCAAACCTGTGGAAAACAGAAAAAAGCAGGGGTTGCAATCCTAGTTGCTGACAAAACAGACTTTAAACCAACAAAGATTAAAAAAAAGACAAGGGCATTACGTAATGGTAACGCATTCAATTAAACCAAAAGAGCTATTATAAATATATATTCCTAATACAGGAACACCCATATTCATAAAGCAAGTTCTTAGAGACCTACAAAGAAACTTAGACTCCCACACAATAATAGTGCAAGACCTTAACACCACTGACAATATTAGACAGATCATTGAGACAGAAAATTTAAAAAGATATTCAGGACCTGAACTCAGGTCTGGATCAAGTGGACTTGATAGATATCTACAGAACCCTCCACCCCAAAACAACAGAATATACATTCTTCTCATTACCACGTGGCATATACTCTAAAATTGATCACATATTTGGAAGTAAAACACTCCTCAGCAAATGCAAAGGACTGAAATAATAACAAACAGTCTCTCAGATCACAGCACAATCAAATTAGAACTCAAGATTAAGAAATTCACTCAAAACCACACAACTACATGGAAGCTGAACAACCTGCTCCTGAATGACTCTTGGGTAAATCATGAAATGAAGGCAGAAATCAAGAAGTTCTTTGAAACTAATGAGAACAAAGAGACAACATACCAGAATATCTGGGACACAGCTAAAGCAATGTTAAGAGGGAAATTTATAACACTAAATGCCCACATGAAAAAGCTAGAAAGATCTGAAATTGACATCCTAACATCGTAGCTAAAAGAACTAGAGAACCAAGAGCAAACAAACTGCAGAAGACAAGAAATAACCAAGCTCAGAGGGAAACCGAAGGAGAAAGAGACATGAAAAAGCCTTAAAAAATCAATGAATCCTGGAGCTGATTTTTTTTTTTTTTTTTTTTTTTGAGACAGAGTCTCACTTTGTTGCCCAGGCTGGAGTGCAGTGGCATGATCTTGGCTCACTGCAAGCTCCGCCTCACGGGTTCATGCCATTCTCCTGCCTCTGCCTCCCAAGTGGGACTACAGGCGCCCACCACCACACCCGGCTAATTTTTTGTATTTTTTAGTATTTTTTAGTAGAGACGGCGGGGGGGGGGGGGTTTCACCATGTTAGCCAGGGTGGTCTCGATCTCCTGACCTCGTGATCCGCCCACCTCGGCCTCCCAAAGTGCTGGGATTACAGGCATGAGCCACCGTGCCCAGCCTGGAGCTGGTTTTTTGAAAAAAAAAAAAAAAATTAATAAAATAGGCTACTAGCTAGACTATAAAGAAGAAAAGAGAGAAGAATCAAATAAACACAATCAGAAATGATAAGGGGGATATCTTCACTGACCTTAAAGAAATACAAACAACGATCAAGAATACTTTAAACAGTTCTATGCACATAAACTAGAAAATCTGGAAGAAATGAATAAAATACTGGACACATACACCCTCTCAAGACTGAATCAGGAAGAAATTAAATCCCTGAATAGACCAATAACAAGTCCTGAAATTGAGGCAGTAATAAGTAGCCTACCAATGAAAAAAAGCCCAGGACCAGACATATTCACAGCTGAATTCCACCAAAAGTACAAAGAAGAGCTGGTACTATTTCTACTGAAAGTATTCAAAAAAATCGAAAAGGAGGGACTCCTCCCTAACTCATTCTATGAGGCCAGCATTGTCCTGATACCAAAACCTGGCAGAGATACAACAAAAAAAGAAATTTCAAGCCAATTTCCTTGATGATCATTGATGCAAAAATCCTCAATAAAATACTGGCAAACTGAATCCAGCAGCACATCAAAAAGGTTATCCACGACAATCAAGTTGGCTTAATCTCCAGGATGCAAGGTTGGTTCAACATATGCAAATCAGTAAATGTGATTAATCACATAAACAGAACTAAAGACAAAAACCACGTGATTATCTCAATATGCAGAAAAGGCCTTCGATAAAATTCAACATCACTTCATGTTAAAAATTCTCAATAAACTAGGTATTGAAGGAACATACCCCAAAATAATAAGAGCCATATATGACAAACTCACAGCCATATCATACTGAATGGGCAAAAGCTGGAAGCACTCCCCTTGAAAACCAGCACAAAACAAGGATGCTCTCTCTCACCACTTCTATTCAACATAGTATTGGAAGTTCTGGCCAGGGAAATCAGGCAAGAGAAAGAAATAAAGGGTATTCAAATAGGAAGAGAGGAAGTCAAATTGTCTTTGGAGATGACATGATCCTATATCTAGAAAACCCCATCATCTTGGCCCAAAAGTTTCTTAAGCTGATAAGCAACTTCAGCAAAGTCTCAGGATACAAAATCAATGTGCAAATATCTCTAGCATTCATATACACCAACAACAGACTAGCAGAGAGCCAAATCATGAATGAACTTCTATTCATAATGGCTATAAAAAGAATGAAATACCTAGGAATACAGCTAACAAGGGAAGTGAAGGTCCTCTTCAAGAACTACAAACCACTGTTCAAAGAAATTAGAGAGGACACAGACAAATGGAAAAACATTCCATGCTCATGGATAGGAAGAATCAATATCATAAAAATGGCCATACTGCCCAAAGTAATTTATAGATTGAATGGCATTCCCATTAAACTACCATCAACATTCTTTACAGAATTAGAAAAAAACTATTTTAAAATTCATATGGAACCAAAACAGAGCCCAAATAGCCAAGACAATCCTAAGCAAAAAGCACAAAGCTGGAAGCATCACACTACCCAACTTCAAACTATACTACTAGGCTGCAGTAACCAAAACAGTATGATACTGGTACAAAAACAGACACATAGACCAATGGAACAGAATAGAGAACCCAGACATAAAGTTGCATACCTACAGCCATCTGAGCTTCAACAAAGTTGACAAAAATAAGCAATGGGGAAAGGACTCCCTATTCAATAAACAGTGCTGGAATAGCCAGCAAGCCATATGCAGAAAATTGAAACTGGACCCCTACCTTTCACTATATACAAATATTAACTCAAGATGGATTAAAGATGTACATGTAAGACCTCAAAGTATAAGAATCCTAGAAGAAAACCTAGAAGACACCATTCTGGACATTGGCCTCAGGAAAGAATATATGATTAAGTTCTTAAAAGCAATTGTGCCAAAAGCAAAACTTGACAAGTGGGACCTAATTAAACTAAAGAGCTTATGCATAGCAAAAGAGACCATCAACAGAGTAAACAGACAACCCACAGAATGGGAGAAAATATTAACAAACTATGCATCTGACAAAGGTCTAATATTTATAATCTATAAGGAACTTAAACAATTAAAAACAACCCCATTAAAAAGTGGGCAAAAGAACAGACACTTCTCAAAAAAAGACATACAAGTGGCCAACAAACATATGAAAAAATGCCCAACATCAGTAATCATCAGGGAAATGCAAATCAATACTATAATGAGATACCATCTTACACCAGTAAGAATGGCTATTATTAAAAACAAAAAATAACATGCTGGGAAGGCTATGTAGAAAAGGGAATGCTTATACACTGCTGGTGGGAATGTAAATTAGTTCAGCCATTATGGAAAGCAGTTTGGCGATTTCTTGGAGAACTTAAAACAGAGCTACTATTCAATTCAGCAATCCCATTACTGAGTGTATATCCAGAAGAAAATAAATCATTCCACCAAAAAGACACACACACTCATATGTTCATTGCAACACTATTCACAATAACAAAGACACAGAATCAGACTAGGTGCCTATCAACAGTGGATTGGATAAAGAAAATGTGGAACATATACCATGGAATTCTATGCAGCTGTAAAAAAGAATAAAATTATGTCCTTCGCAGCAACATAGATGCAGCTGAGGCCATTATCTTAAGCAAATTAACACAGGAACAGAAAACCAAATACCACATGTTCTCACTTATAAGTGGGAGTTAAACACTGGGTACTCATGGACACACAGATGAAAACAATAGATGTTGGGGACTACTAGAGGGAGGAGTAAGTGGGGAGAGAGAGGCAAGGGTTGAAAAACTAACTATTGAGCACTATGCTCAGCACCTTGGTGACAGGATCAATCATACTCCAAACCTCAGCATCATGGAACATACCCAGGTAACAAACCAGCACATGTACCTCCTGAATCTAAAACAACAGATGAAATTATATTTTAAAAAGAACACGAAGCACAACAAATTATTTTGATAGGATATAGACTTTTTGTTTCCCAGGCAGATCCCTAAAAAAGTAAAGAAAAACCCTTCATAATCTCTTATTAGGAATAGACCAATAACCTAAGAAACCTGGTTATTTTAACAGAGAGAAAAAAAAAACTAATCTCTAATTTTATATCAGCACATTTTAAAAATATTTATAAGTAAATCTATTTAATCCTAGCCAGCTTTGACCTTGCAACACAAAATTTCTTTTCCTCAGAACTTCTGCAACTTTCTATATTCATTTAGGTTTCATCTTTTTCTTTTATTTTGGAATAACCGGTCATTTTATTTTAGGACAAAATTACTCTACTTTCACCTAATGGAAACATGCCCTTCATTCTTTTTAAAATCAAAAACACATTCTACTTTTTTGCATACCTTATTGATTGATTGATTGATTGATTGAATTGGGGGTCTCACTACATAGCCCAGGCTGAATGTGAACTCCTGGGCTCAAGTAATCCTCCTGCCTCAGCCTCCCAAGTAGCTGGGACTGCAGGGACCTGTCACAGCATCCGACTGCAGACTTTTAATATAAAAACACATCCTGTTTTTCTCCCATACTTTGAACACAGGGTTTTTACCCTTCACCCTTTTGGTTTCTAATAGTTTCATTTACATATATTGATTTTATATGTATATATGTATGTATATATATATATATATATATATTTTTTTTTTTTTTTTTTTTTTTTTCTGAGACAGAGCCTTGCTCTGTCACCCAGGCTGGAGTGCAGTGGCACGATCTCGGCTCACTGCAACCTCTGCTTCCTGGGTTCAAGCGTTTCTCCTGCCTCAGCCTCCCCAGTAGCTGGGATTACAGGCGCCCGCCACCACTCCTGGCTATTTTTTTTTTTTTTGTATATTTAGTAGAGACGGGGTTTCACCATGTTGGTCAGGCTGGTCTTGAACTCCTGACCTTGTGATCCGCCCGCCTTAGCCTCCCAAAGTGCTGAGATTACAGGCGTGAGTCACAGTGCCCGGCCTTGATTATAATTTTTAATCATTAATAACCTTTCTTTTACAGAGCAACCTAGAAAGTAAACAATATTTGAATCATCTCAATATTAACATCCTGTAGTATACCAGCACATTTTACCAATATACCATCTCATCATTTTTTAGGTGTGTTCTTTTTCGTAATGTAATTTTTGGATGTGACAAAAATAACATATTTATTAATAGAATGAAATAGCCTTTGTCTCTCTACAAAAAGCAGGAAGCCAAAAACTAGAGAAACTTAAACACGCGTAATAGTGTTTCAGTATTTTATCTTATTTGGAAATGATCTAGATAGTCAATGAATATTCATCTTTTAACTTAGTAGAACTTTAAAGTTTCAAATTTCCAAAAAGATTTTGGAACTTATTTTTAAACAGACATATAAAACATAACCATTGTTAAAAAGTCCATTTATAAACTTTTATGTCACTTAATTTACTTGCTTTTAACAATTATGTTTGAATTGTTTGTGAAAATTTCATGAGACATTAAAGCTAGTAATCTTATTTTGTAGATAAATCAGGCAATATTTTAAAAATCATGGAAGTAAGAATATAAAGGTTAAAATAAGTTCTTTCCAATGTTTTCTTCGTTTTTCTTTTTATTGCAGCAGTTGGCATATGTCAAGCAATCTATTTTTATTGTGTATTTTATTGTTAGGTTGAATTTATAATTTTATAATCTTGAACATCTAGTAAAGATAATATAAGTTTACTTGATTAGTAAACCCAGGTAGAATAAGTTGTATGTCTGCAGTACAGTTAATGTTGACAACTCTCAAGACACGCCTGATTTAATTAAACCAACAAACTTAAACTAGCTTTTATTTATGGAACATTATCTCAGATCATATGAACATGAAAAACATTTGGGTTAGTTTCTATATGTCTGAGAGTTTTAAGAATACTTATAATAATAAGCATTTATGTAATAAATGTTTATTATTTGTTTATATTTATAAATTACTTATAAATTTATAAATTTAAAATAGTCATAAATTATTTATAAATTTATAAATATAAGCTATTCATAAATTATAAATTTATAAATATAAACTATTCATAAATTATAAATTTATAAATATAAACTATTCATAAATTATAAATTTATAAATATAAACTATTCATAAATTATAAATTTATAAATATAAAATATTCATAAATTATAAATTTATCAATATAAAATATCCATAAATTATAAATTTATCATAAATTATAAATTTATAAATATAAAATATTCATAAATTATAAATAATTATAAATATTCACAGTTATTTATTATTTATGTAATAAATGCTTAAATAATAAATAAATATTACATATTAATAAATGCTTAAATAAACATTGACGTCAATACTTATTTATATAAGCATTTATGTATTTATAAATGCTTATGTAAATAAATGCTTATATAAAAAAATAAATGCTTATATAAATATTACATAAATATTTATTATTTATGTAATAAATGCTTAAATAATAAATATTACATATTAATAAATGCTTATTATTCTTTAAGCCAGTTCAGTAGAGCTCTTTTACAAATTAATTTTGGCAATCACCATTTGGTGGTAAAAAAATCACCTATACATAACATACATATGTAGATATGAACATACAAATGCAAACAGAGATCTTACAGTTTTCATCTTAAATCTTAGCCATGAGTTAGGTATAAATACAGGAATACAAACTTACTAATTTATATAAACATTGATTCTCACCTTGGCCTTATTCACTTTTT
Source organism: Homo sapiens (assembly GCF_000001405.40). Classification (NCBI taxonomy): domain Eukaryota; kingdom Metazoa; phylum Chordata; class Mammalia; order Primates; family Hominidae; genus Homo; species Homo sapiens. The sequence goes on from NC_000002.12 coordinate 95,251,306, forward strand.
CCTTTCAGTCTGATCTTCCTGTAGGTAACAATAAGACATTTGTTGAGGATGAGAACTTTCTAAAACAATCCTTTCAGATATAAAAATCCAAATCTTCCAAGGTACACCTACTTTAATTATGACTCAAAGCCAATAAGCCTTTTTAGGCTTAACATTAGTTAGCCTTTCTTGGACTACCTATAGAGGCAGAGACATCCCCAAAGAGTGTGCAAAGGATGTGGAACTCCCCAATCAAAGACTGTCCCCATGAGAGCCTAGGAAAGCAGAGACCCTCATTGTTAACAAGGCAAGGAAGGCTGAGACGGCAATGACCCCTGTGGACTGTGACCCCGATTTTAGGATGAGCTTCCCCAAGAGCTTCTGGACTGCTAGCCACAGGCTGGCGCCTGATGGAAGCCTGACCACTTGCGTCCCTATCTGACAGAGACCAGAGAATATTTTTGCTGGTTACAAAGCAAAACTCTTAGGACATGAAACAAGATGAAAGGAGAATCTCTTCTTAGGATTTTCCCCCTGTGACAAATCACACTTTCAAAGGTCAGAGACAAGAAAACGAAGACTCTTTAGGGAGGCTGTGGATCAATGACCAGTGGGTACCCAGAACCAAATTCACAAGTGTTGCAATTAAAATATCTAATTCTTACAAATGTTTTCCTCCTTCCAATCCAAATTTGGAAAGGAAGGGACAAGGAAAAACCTTGGCCTGTGTTGGAAATAAGAGTTCGGAGTCGCAAAGAAAATGAGCACTCAAAGGATTTCTCAGTGAGGCAAATTTACTTCTTTTCTTTTTTTATTATACTTTAAGTTTTAGGGTACATGTGCACAATGTGCAGGTTTGTTACATATGTATACATGTGCCATGTTGGTGTGCTGCAGCCATTAACTCATCATTTAATATTAGGTATATCTCCTAATGCTATCCCTCCCCCCTCCCCCCACCACACAGCAGGCCCCAGTGTGTGATGTTCCCTTTCCCGTGTCCATGTGTTCTCATTGTTCAATTCCCACCTATGAGTGAGAACATGCGGTGTTTGGTTTTTTGTCCTTGTGAGAGTTTGCTGAGAATGATGGTTTCCAGCTTCATCCATGTCCCTACAAAGGACATGAACTCATCATTTTTTATGGCTGCATAGTATTCCACGGTGTATATGTGCCACATTTTCTTAATCCAGTCTATCATTGTTGGACATTTGGGTTGGTTCCAAGTCTTTGCTATTGTGAATAGTGCCACAATAAACATACGTGTGCATGTTTCTTTATAGCAGCATGATTTATAATGCTTTGGGTATATACCCAGTAATGGGATTGCTGGGTCAAATGGTATTTCTAGTTCTAGATCCCTGAGGAATCGCCACACTGACTTCTACAATGGTTGAACTAGTTTACAGCCCCACCAACAGTGTGAAAGTGTTCCTATTTCTCCACATCCTCTCCAGCACCTGTTGTTTCCTGACTTTTTAATGATCACTATTCTAACTGGTGTGAGATGGTATCTCATTGTGGTTTTGATCTGCATTTCTCTGATGGCCAGAGATGATGAGCATTTTTTCATGTGTCTTTTGGCTGTGTAAATGTTTCCTTTTGAGAAGTGTCTGCTCATATCCTTCGCCCACTTGTTGATGGGGTTGTTTGTTTTTTTCTTGTAAATTTGTTTGAGTTCATTGTAGATTCTGGATATTAGCCCTTTGTCAGATGAGTAGATTGCAAAAATTTTCTCCCATTCTATAGGTTGCCTGTTCACTCTGATGGTAGTTTCTTTTGCTGTGCAGAAGCTCTTTAGTTTAATTAGATCCCATTTGTCAACTTTGGCTTTTGTTGCCATTGCTTGGTGTTTTAGACATGAAGTCCTTGCCCATGCCTATGTCCTGAATGGTATTGCCTAGGTTTTCTTCTAGGGTTTTTATGGTTTTAGGTCTAACATTTAGTCTTTAATCCATCTTGAATTAATTTTTGTATAAGGTGTAAGGAAGGGATCCAGTTTCAGCTTTCTACATATGACTAGCCAGTTTTTCCAGCACCATTTATTAAATAAGGAATCCTTTCCCCATTTCTTGTTTCTGTCAGGTTTGTCAAAGATCAGATAGTTGTAGATATGTGGCATTATTTCTGAGGGTTCTGTTCTGTTCCATTGGTCTATATATCTGTTTTGGTACCAGTACCATGCTGTTTTGGTTACTGTAGCCTTGTAGTATAGTTTGAAGTCAGGTCGCGAGATGCCTCCATCTTTGTCCTTTTGGCTTAGGATTGACTTGGCAATGTGGGCTCTTTTTTGGTTCCATATGCACTTTAAAGTAGTTTTTTCCAATTCTGTGAAAAAAGTCATTGGTAGCTTGATGGGGATGGCATTGAATCTATAAATTACCTTGGGCAGTATGGGCATTTTCACAATATTGATTCTTCCTGCCCATGAACATGGAATGTTCTTCCATTTGTTTGTATCCTCTTTTATTTCATTGTGCAGTGGTTTGTAGTTCTCCTTGAAGAGGTCCTTCACGTCCCTTGTAAGTTGCATTCCTAGGTATTTTATTCTCTTTCAAGCAATTGTGAATGGGAGTTCACTCATGATTTGGCTATCTGTCTGTTATTGGTGTATAAGAATGCTTGTGATTTTTGCACATTGATTTTGTATCCTGAGACTTTGCTGAAGTTGCTTATCAGCTTAAGGAGATTTTGGGCTGAGACGATGGGATTTTCTAGATATACAATCATGTCATCTGCAAACAGGGACAGTCTGACTTCCTCTTTTCCTAATTGAATACCCTTTATTTCTTTCTCCTGCCTGATTGCCCTGGCCAGAACTTCCAACACTATGTTGAATAGGAGTGGTGAGAAAGGGCATCTCTGTCTTGTGCCAGTTTTCAAAGGGAATGCTTCCAGTTTTTGCCCATTCAGTATGATATTGGCTGTGGTTTTGTCATAGATAGCTCTTATTATTTTGAGATACGTCCCATCAATACCTAATTTATTGAGAGTTTTTAGCATGAAGCGTTGTTGAATTTTGTCAAAGGTCTTTTCTGCATCTATTGAGATAATCATGTGGTTTTTGTTGTTGGTTCTGTTTATATGCTGGATTACGTTTATTGATTTGCATATGTTGAACCAGGCTTGCATCCCAGGGATGAAGCCCACTTGATCATGGTGGATAAGCTTTTTGATATGCTGCTGGATTCAGTTTGCCAGTATTTTATTGAGGATTTTTGCGTCGATGTTCATCAGGGATATTGGTCTAAAATTCTCTTTTTTTGTTGTGTCTCTGCCAGGCTTTAGTATCAGGATGATGCTGGCCTCATAAAATGTGTTAGGGAGGATTCCCTCTTTTTCTATTGATTGGAATAGTTTCAGAAGGAATGGTACCAGCTCCTCCTTGTACCTCTGGTAGAATTCGGCTGTGAATCCATCTGGTCCTGGACTTTTTTTGGTTGGTAAGCTATTAATTATTGCCTCAATTTCAGAGCCTGTTGTTGGTCTATTCAGAGATTCAACTTCTTCCTGGTTTAGACTTGGGAGGGTGTATGTGTCGAAGAATGTATCCATTTCTTCTAGATTTTCTAGTTTATTTGCATAGAGGTGTTTATAGTATTCTCTGATGGTGGTTTGTATTTCTGTGGGATCGGTGGTGATATCCCCTTTATCATTTTGTATTGCATCTATTTGATTCTTCTCTTTCTTCTTTATTAGTCTTGCTAGCGGTCTATCAATTTTGTTGATCTTTTCAGAAAACCAGCTCCTGGATTCATGGATTTTTTGAAGGGTTTTTTGTGTCTCTATATCCTTCAGTTCTGCTCTGATCTTAGTTATTTCTTGCCTTCTGCTAGCTTTTGAATGTGTTTGCTCTTGCTTCTCTAGTTCTTTTAATTATGATGTTAGGGTGTCAATTTTAGATCTTTCCTGCTTTCTCTTGTGGGCATTTAGTGCTATAAATTTCCCTCTACACACTGCTTTGAATGTGTCCCATAGATTCTGGTATGTTGTGTCTTTGTTCTCGTTGGTTTCAAAGAACATCTTTATTTCTGCCTTCATTTCGTTACATACCCAGTAGTCATTCAGGAGCAGGTTGTTCAGTTTCCATGTAGTTGAGCAGTTTTGAGTGAGTTTATTAATCCTGACTTCTAGTTTGATTGCACTGTGGTCTGAGAGAAAGTTTGTTATAATTTCTGTTCTTTTACATTTGCTGAGGAGTGCTTTACTTCCAACTATGTGGTCAATTTTGGAATAGGTGTGGTGTGGTGCTGAAAAGAATGTATATTCTGTTGATTTGGGGTGGAGAGTTCTGCAGATGTCTATTAGGTCTGCTTGGTGCAGAGCTGAGTTCAATTCCTGGATATCCTTGTTAACTTTCTGTCTCATTGATCTGTCTAATGTTGACAGTGGGGTGTTAAAGTCTCCCATTATTATTGTGTGGGAGTCTAAGTCTCTTTGTAGGTCTCTAAGGACTTGCTTTATGAATCCAGGTGCTCCTGTATTGGGTGCATATATATTTAGGATAGTTAGCTCTTCTTGTTGAATTGATCCCTTTACCATTATGTAATGGCCTCCTTTGTCTCTTTTGATCTTTGTTGGTTTAAAGTCTTTTTTATCAGAGACTAGGATTGCAACCCCTGCCTTTTTTTGTTTGCCATTTGCTTGGTAGCTCTTCCTCCATCCCTTTATTTTGAGCCTATGTGTGTCTCTGCACTTGAGATTGGTTTCCTGAATACAGCACGCTGATGGGTCTTGACTCTTTATCCAATTTGCCAGTCTGTGTCTTTTAATTGGAGCATTTATCATTTAAGGTTAATATTGTTATGTGTGAATTTGATCCTGTCATTATGATGTTAGCTGGTTATTTTGCTCATTAGTTGATGCAGTTTCTTCCTAGCCTTGATGGTCTTTACAATTTGGGATGTTTTTGCAGTGGCTGGTACTGGTTGTTCCTTTCCATGTTTAGTGCTTCCTTCAGGAGCTCTTTTAGGGCAGGCCTGGTGATGACAAAATCTCTCAGCATTTGCTTGTCTGTAAAGGATTTTATTTCTCCTTCACTTATGAAGCTTAGTTTGGCTGGGTATGAAATTCTGGGTTGAAAATTCTTTTCTTTAAGAATGTTGAATATTGGCCCCCACTCTTTTCTGGCTTGTAGAGTTTCTGCCGAGAGATCAGCTCTTAGTCTGATGGGCTTCCCTTTGTGGGTAACCCGACTTTTCTCTCTGGCTGCCCTTAACATTTTTTCCTTCATTTCAACTTTGGTGAATCTGACAATTATGTGTCTTGGAGTTGCTCTTCTTGAGGAGTATCTTTGTCGTGTTCTCTGTATTTCTTGAATTTGAATGTTGGCCTGCCTTGCTAGACTGGGGAAGTTCTCCTGGATAATATCCTGCAGAGTGTTTTCCAACTTGGTTCCATTCTCCCTGTCACTTTCAGATACACCAATCAGACATAGATTTGGTCTTTTCACATAGTCCCATATTTCTTGGAGGCTTTGTTCATTTCTTTTTATTATTTTTTCTCTAAACCTTCTCTTCTCGCTTCATTTCATTCATTTTATCTTCCATCACTGATACCCTTTCTTCCAGTTGATGGAATTGGCTACTGAGGCTTGTGCATTCATCATGTAGTTCTTGTGCCGTGGTTTTCAGCTCCATCAGGTCCTTTAAGGACTTCTCTGCATTGGTTATTCTAGTTAGCCATTCGTCTAATCTTTTTTCAAGGTTTTTAACTTCTTTGCCATGGGTTTGAACTTCCTCCTTTAGCTCAGAGTAGTTTGATCATCTGAAGCCTTCTTCTCTCAATTTGTCAAAGTCATTCTGTGACCAGCTTTGTTCCATTGCTGGTGAGGGGCTGCATTCCTTTGGAGGAGGAGAGGCGCTCTGATTTTAGAATTTTCAGTTTTTCTGCTGTTTTTTCCCCATATTTGTGGTTTTATCTACCTTTGGTCTTTGATGATGGTGACGTACAGATGGGGTTTTGGTGTGGATGTCTTTTCTGTTTGTTAGTTTTCCTTCTAACAGTCAGGACCCTCAGCTGCAGGTCTGTTGGAGTTTGCTGGAGGTCTACTCCAGACCCTGTTTGCCTGAGTATCAGCAGTGGAGGCTGCAGAACAGCAGATAGTGGTAAACAGCAAATGTTGCTGCCTGATCATTCCTCTGGACGTTTTGTCTCAGAGGAGTACCCGGCCATGTGAGGTGTCATTCTGCCCCTACTGGGGGGTGACTCCCAGTTAGGCTACTCGGGGGTCACGGACCCACTTGAGGAGGCAGTCTGTGCATTCTCGGATCTCCAGCTGCATGCTGGGAGAACCACTGCTCTCTTCAAAGCTGTCAGACAGGGACATTTAAGTGCAGAGGTTTCTGCTGCCTTTTGTTTGGCTATGCCCTGCCCCTAGAGATGGAGTCTACAGAGGCAGGCAGGCCTCCTTGAGCTGTGGTGGGCTCCACCTAGTTCGAGCTTCCCTGCTGCTTTGTTTACCTACTCAAGCCTCGGCAGTGGCGGGCGCCCCTCCCCCAGCCTCACTACCACCTTGCAGTTTTATCTCAGACTGCTGTGCTAGCAATGAGCGAGGCTCCGTGGGCGTAGGACCCTCCAAGCCATGCACGGGATATAATCTCCTGGTGTGCCATTTGCTAAGACCATTGGAAAAGCGCAGTATTAGGGTGGGAGTGACCCTATTTTCCAGGTGCCGTCTGTCACCCCTTTCCTTGGCTAGGAAAGGGAATTCCCTGACCCCTTGCGCTTCCCGGGTGAGGTGATGCCTCGCCCTGCTTTGGCTCACGCTCGGTGTGCTGCACCCACTCTCCTGCACCCACTGTCCAACAATCCCCAGTGAGATGAACCTGGTACCTCAGTTGGAAATGCAGAAATCACCCATCTTCTGCGTCGCTCACGCTGGGAGCTGTAGACTGGAGCTGTTCCTATTTGGCCATCTTGGCTCCACTCGAGGCAAATTTACTTCTGCAGAAGGGTGCTGCTCACTCTTGTCACTGTGAGAGCACACCAAACAAAGGAGGGAAGGGGTTTTTATCCCTAATGCAGTCAGTCCCTGCTACTGTTGTCCAGTCCCCACTGCCTGGAGTTGGATGGCACAATCTAAGCTGATCCTGATTGGCTACTTCTAATGGAGCAAGGGTTGGGGGCTACAGCAGCAGGAAGAGCAGTTTTGAAACTAAGGGTGCCAAATAAGGAACAGATGTGGATTGTTATAAATTGGGAATGGACGTGGGTTACAGATTGGGAACAGATGTGGGTTACAGATTGGCAATGGCTGGAAGGTTGTTTACCATAACTAGGGGCAAGGAGGCAAAGAAGTTAGGCTTTGAAAATAGAGGACAAAGAACGAGGGAGTTGAAAAAGTGGAACCTTTGAAGAGGAATTCACTGTATCCAACACCTGGATCCCTTGACTAGGCACAACAGACACAATGCCTGACTCCGTAAGAATTCCTACCTCTCCCAGGGCCCCGTCCATAGGTTCTAGAGCAAATGGGGCATCTTAACCTTTTAGGGTCCCATCCTCATCACCAGAAACTGTAGGGAGGGCAAACCTTTTCCTCCACCTGTTAGGATTTCTGCTGGGCCTGAGAATGAGATTGACATCAGACAGATTAACAGGAGAAAAACAAACACATTTATGTAAGTTTTACATAACATGGGAATTCTCATAAGGGATCAAAGGCGGAAAGAAATGGCAAGAACTGCCTGCATGTGTATCAGGTTAGACAAGGAGAAGCGATTGCAGAGAATAACTGGATATGTGGCGAGGTGCAAGGGAGAGAATTACTTTAACAAGGTCTGTTTGCAGGGAATTCTCTTGGCGACAACTCCCCATTGAAGAATGTTCCTTTCTTCTGGAGAAAGGAGGGCACCTTTCACGTGGGAGTTTTTGTCTCCTGTTTTCCGGGAAAGAAGGAAGATCAGAGTGCCCTCGTTGCATCTGCTGTTTTCAAGTTGCCTTAGCTTGAGGTAATCCTTATGTCAAAGTGGCCTATTTTGGGGTTGAATGTTCTGCCACTCTTCACTGGGATTGGAGTGTGTATGTGTGTATTTGGGGGAGATTGGAGGCTTGAGTTTGGCGGCTCTGACAAGACCCCAGAGATCCAGGCAGATGGAGGCACCACCATCTTATTACATCACCATCTCAGCATGCTGCTTCAGGGTCTCCCCCATGGAGAAGAAAGCCAGGTGACCTCACACCTACTTTGCTGTGCTTCAGCCAAGAAGTAACCCACTTGATTTTAACTTACAGCCTGCTCATCAGAATTAGCCACATGTCCCTGAGCCAACTACAATGGAGCCTGGAATATGCAATCTTCCCCAGCATCTGGGAGAGGAAAGTGAACATGGAGCATTGTCTTGGCTGTGGTGGCCAACAAACATTGGGACAGAACTTGATTGTAGGGGCACCAGTGGGAGGCGAGTGTTATGATCCGATGGCTTCACTTGTGATCTATTCTTCATGATAATATAGGCTAAACCTGAGCCCTGGGCTCCAGGACAGGCAGTCTGCTGCCTTTGACTAATTTTTAAGTGCAGAGGTGCTGGGCTTCTCTGTAGAGGAGCAGCACTGCTGAATCACAGTGATTTTCCTGGAGAGAGAGTCCTAGGAGGGGATTCCAGCTGTTCCCCACCCCACCTGAAGCAAAGGCTATTATTCCCACAGGAGTGCTCCTGGGGAGCCTGACACCACCAGGGAGGAGCCGCACTTAACCCTGGGGCTTCTTGTCAGAGCTTTGGTTAGGTGAAACCTGGATCCTGGAGGTGCCCTGGGAAGCTTCTGTCTCCAAGATTCACACCCAGGTCCGGCTGCTGCGTGGCTCCCAACATATCACAGAACCAAGGCTCCTTTTTCCAGCTGGCCCATGTCTGAGTTTCTGCTTTATGCTTCTGGTGCTTCTCCCAGCAGCCTGCTGCCTGTTGCAACATGTGCTCACATGCCACACTTCATTTCTGCATCTGTACTCACCAGCTCATCTAGTTCCTCCTGGGCGCCAAACACACACCCACCCTTTTTTGCTGACCTTCTGTCCCTTCCTGGGTTTGCCACCTCCTTGCTTCACACTGACTTTGAAACAGTGTCTGGCCTCCGTGTTACCCGCCTTCTCCCTGATCTAGCCTAGATCCTGAATGCCAGCCATCCCCCTCAGCTCTTCCTCCTGGGCTCCATTCTGCTGACACTCATAATTCCTTCTTTGTCTCCCCTTCTTATCAAAGGCCCAATCTTCATTTGGGGGCACTGCCTCCCTCACCAAAGTGCATTCCTGGACATCCTAGAGCAGCCTACTTCACCAGGTTGTAATTTACACCACAGGTCCCCCTAGGACATTGCCAGTCTCCATGGAAACCTTGACAACAAAGCCAGTCTCCTGGGTTCTCATCCTCTCTCCCTCTGGGGACAAGAAGACTGACTGCAAGAGTAAAGGGCCCATTTCTGTCTCCCTGGGCCCAGGCAAACTGCTGCCTCTGCCTCTGCTGTCTTGGGCCCTGCCTCATCTGCAAGAATGCTGCTCAGGAAGTGCCTGCTTCCTGCATGATGGGAGGTGGGATCACCAGCAGCTGATTGGTGAAGCCGGGGGTCAATCTCAGAGGTCAGCAAGGCCAAACCCCGCTTTGGCACATGGAAGACTGGAGTCCTCAGTGGCTCATGAATCCCAAATGAGAAGGTGAGGGCGGCCTGCAGCCCAGGTGGTTCTCTCTTAGTGTGCAGTGTCCTCTAGGCATCCCTCCAACAGTGACCTGCAAAGGGTTGTGTACATGGAGAGGGCTCACATTCCAGCCCCAGACAGAACCCCATATGATGTTATCATCAGGCTACAAGTTTGAGTTTTCAGTGCCAGGATCTGAGACAGGAGGAGACTCATGACAACCCAGAAGAGGGAGGCCCTGCAGGCAGGCAGAGCCCAGAGAGATTCCCCACCACGGACACCTGTGAGGGCATCAGGAGGAACGTGATGACTGACATTCCTTCCTCTGTGGCACTTACCTTCCTTACCTCCAACCATTTGTCAAAGACCCTTACACAATTCTTTTTTTTTTTTTTTGAGACACGGTTTTGCTCTTTTTGCCCAGGCTGCAGTGCAATGGGGTTATCTCAGCCCACTGCAACCTTCGCCCCCTGGGTTCAAGTGATTCTCCTGCCTCAGCCTCTTGAGTAGCTGGGATTACAGGCACCCGCCACCATGCCCAACTAATTTTTATAGTTTTAGTAGAGACGGGGTTTCACCATGTTGACCAGGTTGGTCTCGAACTCCTGACCTCAGGTGATTTGCCTGCCTCAGCCTCCCAAAGTGCTGGGATTACAGGCGTGAGCCACCACGACTGGCCTCCACAATTCTTTTAGTGGAGATTCAAGGACAAAGGACAGGGACTGGCTCCCAGATTCCAGGTTGTGACCAGTAGCAAAGTGAGCAAAGGGACACTACAGAATCCTCTACTGTGCTGAGGTCTTCGATAGAGGAAGTTGCCTTGCAAGGAGGTGGGAGGGATGCTGTGGGATGGGCTGAGCCATCTAGTTGAATATGAAAGGAGAGGGCCTGGGGACCTCCAGGCAGAAGTCCCGGGAGTTCCTCATTTGCGACTGGTCATGCATCAAGTTCCAGGGCCAAGGCTGGTAGGAATGGGCCCCGTGCAGGCATTGGGGGCTCCCCTTCTCCTTCAGAGCTACATGGAGGTGTGGTGCCAGTCAGTGCACGCTCTAACGTATTTAAGTACCAGCAGAGTAAAACAAGAATGAAAGGGAAAAGAGAAGACATGAATTATTTCGTTTACGCTTGACAAGTACAGGATCCTATTTTAATACAACACAACTTATGGATATGTATTTTTATTTTCTTCAGTACTATGTCATTTGCTTCTAAAATACTTTTACTAATTGGGGACTAGGAGAGTAAAACTTAAATGTATTAGGCAGCAAGAATGCAAGTGAGGGAGAAGTGAGGGAGAACAGCCACACTTTCTGAGCTGTGCTCTGACAGGGAGAATTTGCTTGGTACACTCAGAACAAAATGCATCTACAGTCAGATAACCTCGAGACACAGAGGATGGCATTGAAGGCTTCATCCACACAGTGTCTACACTCCCTTCTCCCTGAGCCACAGAGCTGTGTCTTTATTCCAGGCAGCAGAGTGCCCGGCCGAAAGTTCATGTTTCCCACCCTACCTGTAGCTATGTGTGGCCTTATGACCAAGTTCTGACTAATAAGATGTGAGTTCAAGGTCTGGGGATGACCTCTGGGAAGGCTGTTTAAAGGAAGTTGAGACCAGGAGGGATACACCTCCTCTCAGCCATCTCTGAGCCTGGGATGTGGAAGGGATGACTAGACCTTCTGCAGCCATTTTGTTCCTTGAAGTAACCACAAGGTTAGAGACTGCCTTAGGATGATAGAGTAGAAAGAGAGAAGGAGCAGGGGTTGTTGACATTTATGGTGCTGCCGGGACAGCCCTAGATTTTCAACCTCCAGTCTCATTTTATGTGAGAGGAAATATATTTCGGCTTAGGTTTCCCCACTGTTATTTGGAGTTTTCTGACGTATTCAACTGAACCTAATCCAAGAGATACTTGACACAGAAATCCCCCTTCTGGGAGACTCAGAAGTTATAGTAGCAAATAAAGACAATAAGGAGCTTTATAATCAACAAACCTATTATAGGCAGAATTCTAAAGATGTCCCTGGAGGACTCCTGTCCCTTGGCTATTCAATCAAATGTCATTCAAGGTATGGCTGTGACACGACTTTGCAGATGTAATTATGGTTACTAACCAGCAGACTTTAAGGTAGGGGATCATCCTGAAATATGTAATTGGTTCCAGTGTGAGTCATTAAATACAGATTAGGAAGCAGATGAGTCAGTCAGAGAGATAAGGCAGAAAAGATGAGAGAATATGGCAGATTCAGGAGTCAGAGAGATTCCAAAGGTGAGGAGGATTGGATGCACCCATGGCTAACAGCCAGCAAGGAAACAGGGGCCTCAGTCCTACAGCTACAAGGACCTGGATACTTCCAACAGCCTAGATTCTACCACAGAGCCTCCAGATCAGAGCCCAAGCCATCAACCCACACCTTGATTTTAGTCTTGTGAGACTCAGAGCAGAGGAACCAGCCGAGCTACCCAACTTCCTACCTACAGAACAATTAGATCATACATTTGCATGGCTTGAAGCCACTAAGCTTGTGGGGATTTCTTTCAGAAATAATAGAAAATGAATACAGAAACCTGATCACTTTCACATAAAATATTAAATTTTTGGCAAAATAACACATACATTTGGTAAAAAATAAAACAGTACAAAAAGAACTATACTGCAAAATCAGCAAAACCCTGCCCTGCCCTTGCTGCCTGCAATCCAACTTTCTTCTCTTAATTATTTTTTCTGATATTACCTCCATATCTCTAAAAAATGTTGCTGTATCTAGATTTGTGAACACAGACATTGCGTATTAACTTTCTATTATGAGAGAATCAAATGTAGCTCCTTCATCCTTTTTCATCACACTACAATTGCTTTAATATGTTTGTTTTTATTTTTTGTTTCTTTGGTTTTTTTTTTTTTTTTTTTTTTTTTTTTGAGAAAGTCTCGCTCTGTTGCCCAGGCTGGGGTGTAGTGGTGCCATCTTGGCTCACCGCAACCTCTGCCTCCCAGGTTCAAGCGATTATTGTGCCTCAACCTCCTGAGTAGCTGGGAATACAGGCATGCACCACCACACCCAGCTAATTTTTGTATTTTTACTAGAGGTGGGATTTCCCCACATTGGTCAGGTTGGTCTCCAACACCTGACCTCAGGTGATCTGCCCGCCTCGGCCTCCCAAAGTGCTAGGGTGTGTTACAGGTGTGAGCCACCGCACCCGGCCACAATTGCTATAATATGAATGAATTCCACCTCCAGTGTTGGCCTAACTCTTGCAGGTGTACTATGATTGCATCTCTTTTCTTAGTCCATGTTATAAAATTTCCCTGTTTGGTAACTTGCATAATTTACTAGACACATATCTTTATTTCCAATACTCCATCAGGCACCTTCTACAGAGTTTTCCTTTATTCTAGAATCCCTATCCCCAGGTATCCCTCTTTCCCTTCCATCCACACACACACACACACACACACACACTGCTCCTCTCCCACTCTAATCTGGTCTGGGTGGTCTCCAAGTTACGTAAACAGGTGGTTGTCATCCTGAGGTGTCTCTGCCTCTCTTTTGGCATTGATTCACTGTTTCCTGATTCCTGTATCTTTCTTATTCTTGGCTTGTGCCACCATTTTTGAGGAATACATCCTCTAGGAAGTTCTACAAAAAAGAATGCAGGATATATTAATGTTTTAGGTTCTTTAGGTCTAATATTGCCATCTTTATGCCACTGAAATGGTAATTTGGCTGGTTATAACAGTCTGAGGGAAGATCATGTGGCCTGTGCATTTGGAGGCCCTTGATCCACACTGTTCTGCATTTGGAAGCGCTGCTGCACTGTCTTCTGCACTGGGAAGTCGCTTATGCACCGTCTGACATATTAGGAAGGCACTGCTCTGCCGTCTCTGCATTTGGGGGCACTGTTCTGCTGTACTCGGCATTTGGATGTTACTGCTCACTGTACTCCAGCTGGAGGCACGGCTCCAACATTCTCTGCATTTGGAAGGAAACATTCCAGTGTTTTCTGCAGTGGGAAGCCCTTTTTCCATTCTTCTGTGGATGTGGAAGGCACTGCTCTGCTTGTGTGTTTGGGGGACACTGTTCTGCTGCTCTCTTCTTTACCATCATCTTCATCTGCAGGCACAAACCCTGTCTTCTGCTGCAGAGCCACTGCCTCCCTGCCCTTTGCAGGCTGAGGCACTGCTCCACAACTACTGCTTCCCTTTGGAGTCAATGCTCCCCTGTCATCTTCACTGACCTGGGACTGCTTGGCAGTCTTATGTATTTAAAGAGACAGCATTCCCTCTTTGCTCTGTATGTGGGAAGGCTCACAACCCACACTGTTGTATTGGGAGGCAGGGCTCCCATGCCCCTTGCACTTGGCTGTCTCTGCTGCTCTCTCACTTTCATCTGGAGTCACTGCTTCCCTGCCCAGTGCATTTGGAAGGCACAGCTGCCCTGTCCTCTGCCTTCGGTGGAACTGCCTCACTCCACTGTGCGCTTCCATGGGCCTGCCCCTTGTCCCCTGCATGTGGAAGGCACGGCTCCACTCTCCTCTACATTTGGAGGCATTTCACTGTGATCTGCCTTTGGGGACACCACTCCATTTACCCTGTGGTTTGGTTTGGATCTATGTCCCTTCCAAATCGCATATTGAAATGTAATCCCCAATGTTGGAGGTGGGGCCTGATGGGAGGACTGGATCATGGGGACATATCCTTCATGGATGGCTTAGTGCCGTCCCCTTGGTAATGAGTGAGTTTTTGCTGTGAGTTCACGCGAGATCTGGTTGTTTAAAGGTGTCTGGCACCTTCCCCTTCTCTCTCTTGCTCCCACTCTCGCCATGTGACCTGCCTGCTCCCCCTTTACCTTCCGCCAGGAGTGAAAGCTCTCTGAGTCCTCCCCAGAAGTTGAGCAAATGCTGGCACCCAGCTTTGTGTACAGCCCACAGAACCGTGGGCAAGTTACATCTCTTTTCTTTCTTTCTGTTTTTGAGGCAAAGTCTCACTCTGTCACCCAGGCTGGAGTGCAGTGGTGTGATCTCAGCTCACTGCAACCTCAACTTCCTGGGCTCAAATGATTCTCCTGCCTTAGCCTCCCGAGTAGCTGGGACTACAGGTGTGAAACACGATGCCTGGCTAATTTTTGTATTTTTAGTAGAGACGGGGTTTCACCATGTTGGCCAGGCTGGTCTCGAACTCCTGACCTTAAGTGATTGTCCTCCCAAAGTGCTGGGATTACAGGCGTGAGCCACCGTGCCCAGCCTCTTTTCTTTATAAATTGCTCAGTCTCAGGTATGCCTTTATGGCAATGCGAAAACAGCCTAACATAACCTGTGTCAGAGGCTCTGCCCACAGCCCTCCACATTTGGAGACATTGGAGCTCTTGTCCTCTGAGTTTATGTGGATGTCACTGATCCAATGTCGTCTGCATTTGGAGCTGCTGTTCCACATCATATGCTTCTTTATTTTTTTGAGACAAGGTCTTACTCTGTCACTGAGGCTGCAGTGCAGTGGCACATTCAATCATAGCTCACTGTAACCTCGAACTCCTGAACTCAAACAATCCTTCCACTTCCCAAGTGAGTCCTGTGCTTCTGGAAGGAATGGCTCCAACACTCCCTGTCTTTCTAATGCATTGATAATCCACTCTCCTGTGCATTTGGGGGGCCCTGCCCCACTGTCCTCTGCACTTGGATGTCACTGCTCCACTGCCGTCTTGATTTTGAGGTCCTTTCTCTGCTGTCCTCTGCATTTGGAATGATCAGCTGGAGTGAGGCAGGCATTCGCTGCAGCGGAACTGCTTTGGTCACTGACTTCATCTATTTTCCTGCCAGCTTGGTAGTCCATCCCTAAGAGCTCCATGTAGCCTTGCTGGTCCCCAGTGGTCCCCCAGAGCACCCCATAGGCTGCCCAGACCTTGGCAGGGAGCGTCTGCATCTCTACACATGCCGACAGTGGGTGTTACACCCTAAACTGCAGCTGCCCCCCAACTAGCTGAAGGCTTCCTGAGATATGTTCTGGGCCCATCTGCAGCCTAGGCTCCTCCCGGCCACCCAGCTGCTTCCTGCCCCACCCCTTGTGACAGCGTGGAGGGCACCCACCGTCTCCCACCCTCCTTTCTCATGCCTATTCCTTACTTGTGTGTATTGGTCCCTGAGGCTTGGTGCAAAGGCTCCTTATATTTAGGGTGCAGGCTGCGGTGGACGTGGAAGGTGGGGGGAGAGACGGCCAGAGGCAGGAAAGGGATCCTGATGCCCCCTCACCAGCCCACATAGAAAGGTCAGGAGCTTATGAGGTGGGGGTGCCCCTGCCCTACAGGATAAGAGCTGTTTCCTGTGAGGGGGGCCTGGGGCTGCCCTGGCAGTGGCTCTTGGGCCTCCTGGCCCACCAGAACGTCCTGGCAAGCTCACAAAACTCACAAACACTGAACTCCACTTCTAGAGATTCGAATTTGGGAGCTCTGGGGCATGAGCCAGAGATCTGCAGGTGATTCTGACAGGCAGCCAGGTGGAGACATGGGGGTGAGAGATGAGTTTTCTTTGCAGCCCACCCAGAGAGGAAAGGCCTTTCCTTTCAAAGAGCCTCAGAAAGCAATGGTCCAGGTCCTTCCTGCTTCCTGGGAGATGCCACATGGCTCTACTTCTGAGGGGTCTGTGCAGTGGGTGTGGGAGCACCTGGGGCTCTTGGGTGTCAGGTGTCCTATGTCCTCTCCCATGGTCTGGGGAGAGCATGCACTTTTGGTCTGCAGAGTGCACCAGCTGCGTAGGAAAGGGAAATGCTGCTGGGAGTGGGACCCTGGAGGCCTGCGCCAAAGTGCCTGCGCTCGTCCTTCCATGCCTTGAACCAGGTGTGGGTGGCCAGGTCTGTAAGGCAGAGAATGTAAGTAAGAAGTGGGGGAGAAGGCAGGGTAGGGTCAGATCTCTGGCTCCTCTCAGTGTGGAAGATGGGAAGCCAATGCCGCTTTCCCCTGACCTTCCCATTCTGCCTCCTTACCCTTGGGGGCGGCTCTTGTCCTGGCTCAGTGCTCCTGGCCCTGCCTCATCTCACTGTCACTGTCCTGAGAGGGAGTCCAAGCTGCAGAGCAGGGCTGGGCAGTGCAGGACGACAGCACAGGCCCCAGCTGCCAGACCTTTGACCTCCAGGGCCATCTAGCCTTACAAAAGCATCCTGGGCATCTCGCCACATTATTAACTCACAATAACTTGCGGTCAGCTAATCCTTTATGGTCTTTCTGTTTCCACAAACAGTTGTGAGTCTGAGAATCCTTGAGTTGGCCGTTTCATCCTCCCTTTCGGGCAGTGGGTATGAGCCCCATTCCAGTCTCTCCAGATCCCTTCCAGGCCTCCTCCTGCCATCGGGACCACACACTTTCCCCATGGTTCTGTGCAGTAGGTGCTCTGATGAGACTGGTTTCCAGGTGCTGAGCAGGGCAGGCTGTGATCAGAGTAGGTAATGGGCCGCCAGAAACTTCCTTCAGGCTTTGGGTCTCACGTTTCACCCCAGCGTGGCACCCCCATCCCAGGCTCCGGGCTATGGTTGGGCAGGCTCATCTTTAGGCCTAGCCCTACCTCTTCCCGGGCCCCACTGATGAGAAGCCTCTGCTCTTCCACCCTGGACTCCCAGAACTATCTCAGGGACAAAGGATGCAATAGAAAGTCTGTCTATTTCAGCTTGTTAGTGCAGAGCTCCTGAGGACCTGAGCAGGTCACATCAGGAGACTCCGGGGGCCCCACAGTGCTCGGGAGAGTTTGATGGACAGTGCTGTTGTGAGCCCCCAAGAGGCAGAAACAGACACATGGCCCCTCCAAAGGGGGAACACCAATGACCTCTCCTTCCACTGATGTGGGGGAAGAGACTGAAGGGGAGAAGGTGTCAGGTTAGGCCCAGCGGCTTTTGGCCAACGTGTGTCCACTGTCTTTCTAAGTCCAGTTCTAGGGGGGCTCCGTGATGCTACCAGACCACACATGGCTTCAGCAGCCTCGAGGTTCTGCACACCAGACTTCTGTCTCTGTCTCCTCCCCAGGGGTCAGGGCTCCAGGGCCCCAGGGAGAGGGGCAGCTGATGCCAGTGTCAGATGTGGCCTGAGCCTAACCTTGAGACAAGTCCCCTGCTGATCTTGGAGAGAGAGGGCAGCCGAGGAGGCTCTGGGCAATGAGGAGATCTGGGTCAGGCTGGAAGATGCTGCTTTCCCATTTGACACAGAGGCCATGGAGAGGGGGCAGAGGGGACTCACCTGACCATGGAGATGGGGGAAGAGCACTCACCTGGCCATGGACCATGGAGAGGGAGCAGAGGGTACTCATTGAGGGGACCCACCTGGCCATTGAGAGGAGGCATAGCCTATCCCGTGGGCCTGGGCTGCAAGGACTGAAGTTTTTAGTTGACCGGAAGCCTTCCTACAGCAGGTCTTTCTGGAGGATCTGTTTGATTGTGGCCTGCTTTTTCTAGAAACTCACCCTGCCACAGGGAACCAGAGCACAGCCATCCCTGCCTGCAGGCCCCTGCCCTCCCAATCTGACCACTTCTAACAAAGCTCCCTGAGGCCCTGATGTCCCGTGGCCTTCTAGTGCCTTACTGGCCTGCCGTCGCCGTCATGGGGACTCTCGACACTTTGCTGAAACCCTCACACACTTCCACACTTGGGCAGCCTCTGTTTGGGTTGCATCCCATCCTTACTGCCTGGAGAGGCTCATGAAGAAGGTCCCAGGGCTCACTGAAGAGCCTCCTCCCTTTCCCACCCGACCCACCTCGCCCTTCCTCACCAGGCTCACTCATCACAGCGGCACAGAGTTTTAGTTTGGGGATTCACCCATTCATTCTTCTTCTTTTTAAAAAATCTATTTATTTATTTATTTATTTGAAGACCAGGTTATGAGACTGGCTAATTTTTTTTTTTTTTTTTTTTTTGTATTTTTGGTAGAGACAAGGTTTCACCATGTTGGCCAAGCTGGTCTTGAACTCCTGGGCTCAAGCGATCCATCCACCCCGGCCCCCATAGTGCTGGGATTACAGGTGCCTGCCACCAACCCAGCTAATGTTTGTATTTTTAGTAGAGATGGGGTTTCACTATGTTGGCCAGGCTGGGCTGGAACTCCTGGCCTCAAGTGATCCACCCGGCTTGGCCTCCCAAAGTGCTGGGACTATAGGCGTGAGCCACTGCACCCGGCCAGGGGTTTTGGTTTGTTTATTTTCATGGCCCTTATGGGGAACAGATCTTATCTTTAAATGTATTCAGATGTGCTTTTCCAAAGTTTCGAGACTGGAGAATATGCTGAGAATATGCTGGGTTCTGTGTTCAGGGCTGAAGAGGATGTGACGGTGAGTAAAACTCAGTCCTGTCTATGTGGGGGAGACAGACAGGTAAACGGGTAATATGGGGGCAGGTTTCATATTAAGGGATGCCTTGAAAGGACCCCTCACTCAGCCTAGGGGTCCTAGAGAAGGTGACCACTGAACCAAGCTTAAAGGATGAGCAGAAATTGAGTGAACGTGGAGGCTGGGGATAAAGAAGGGAAATCATGAGCAGGGCCAGGATGGAGGGGAGTGTGGTAGGGTGAGCCGAGGACTGCAGGATCTAGCCAGGGGAACGGAGAAGGGCTCCAATGTTGGAGGGCCCTGGAGACAAATTAAGGAGTCCAGTGTAGGAGCCGCTAGGAGGTTTGAAGCAGGGGAGCCTGGGGTCCATCTGCATTCACGATGGTCCTTTCTGAAGCAATACTTAGGAGGGGTGCTGGAAGGCTGGATGTCTGGCTGCATGCCAGAATGAGGGACAAGAAGTCAGGCAGGGACCCACATTTTGGGAGCGTGGTGGTCAAAATGCTCCAAAATATTCCCAGAAAGGCATCCCAGAGGCCTGTTCCCCCATGGCCACCATGTGCCACAAGCTTGGGCCCAGCCGCTATGCTTACTCCATATAAGGCTGTTGTAGCCAGAGGGCCCTGGTGGACTGGGAGACCCTGCCTCCGGTTGGGACCATCAGTTTCCTCCCACTAGGATGAAGAGTGTGGCCTGTGGTGCTGGTGGGACTCATAGTAGACCACCTGGGAGAACACATAGACTCAGATCGGCAGGGCAGCCCTCTCTGCCATGTTGGATGAGGAGAATCTATTCTGCAGAGGAGGCCAGCGTGCACTGGGGAGAGGCCCCGTCCCAGAGAGAGGGTCTGAGACAGACATGGGGGCACTTGATGGATTTCCTTTTCCGGGATCTGAGCCCTCCTGAAGGACCTTGGACTCCAAAAGTGCCCTTGTATCTCTATAATAAATCCTCATGTTTCAAATTCTTCAGCTGACCTAAGTGGGTTTTTCATTGTTGCCATCAAAAATGTTGACTAAGACAGTGGCCGTGCGTAGCCTTGATGATCTGGTAAGTGGGTCTTTGTCCCCTTGAATTGGTTTAAAACTCATTCCCAGTGTATGGCATGGATAGCAGAGGCAAGAAAGAAGAGGAACCTGTCTTCTTGCCTGCTGTTTCCTTGAGAGTGTCTGAGCATCTTGCTGGTCTATTCCCAGCATGGCTGTGTGAGGCAGCCAGAGGGGCCCTGGGGCTTTCTGGAGGGCAGAGTCCCTTCCCTTGCTGAGGTCTCCATCTCTCCCCGCCTCTTCCGCACCTTGGGGCTGTGGGGTTTGGGGAACATCGATCTTCTGGAGATGCGTGAGTCAGGGTGAGCACGTGGCCCCAGGAGGTGTTTCCAGGGCAACCAGGAGAAGCTTCTCCTGGTCAACCAAAGAATTCCCCACGGAGGTCAGAGGGTGCCAGGGGTCAACAGGAGCAGAGAAAGTGCAGGTATGCCCAGAAAGATGTGAGGGAAAGGAGGGGCCAGGACCCCCCTTGGCCTCCCATCCCCACTTCCAGAAGCCCTGCAGCTGGGTGGCCTGCCCTGCCCCCCAAGCCCCTTAGTGGCTGCCCCAAGGGCACCCATGCTTGTGAGCAGCCCCCACCTGCCTGCTTGCTGGGCTTTTCCAGGGAATTCAATTAGGGCAGTGGCTTCCTTGCCTCCTCTGCCCAACTCCAGGGCTGGATCCTGAACCCCACCTGCTCTCCCACACAGGGCTGGGGATGGGTGGAGGCAGGGGCTGACTGGTGGATCCGATGATAAATTGTTTATTGGGATCCTGCTGGGGGGAAGGGGAACTGTCCTGTCCACTCCTGGCTTGGCTGCTGACTCAGAATAGTCCTTTCTTCCATGCATCTATTTCTCCATCTGTTCAACAGGCAGATTCAGCATCTTCATCCCGCCCTGGGCTGAAGAAGAGGCTTGGTATGTTTTTGTTTTTCCTAGGGGAATTATTATCTTCAAACTACAGTGTTTTCACCATACACACAAATAAAAACAATAGCAGTAGCCAATGATTGGCTTAATTATGACAATAATTGAGAAGAGAGAGGGGGTGGGAGTGGAGCACGTGGGGCCAAAGCTGCTTATTTCCCAAGTCTCCAAGGGCTTTTACTACTAACCAGGAAGCTGGGACCTGAATTCCCCCACCACTAGTGCACCCGAGTCAGAAGACACAAAATCGCCTAAGCGGCAGGTGCTCGGGTGAGGGCTGTGTCCATCTTGCTGCTGATGGGGTGGTTAGAAAGCCATCCCAGGGGAAGGCATTCTTTCTAACAGCCTAAATTGGAGGGAGAAGGAGAAGGGAGAAGCAGTGAGGCCCTGGAGAGACCAGCCCTTCCTCAATGCAGCCTCTGTGGAACCAGGAGCCCCCAACATAGATGCTGGGTTCAGGTGAGTCGGGAGGAAGGGCTGTGGGAGGGCCTAGGCACAGCCTGCACTGAGCTTCACAACACAGTCATAGGCAGTGTGGCTAGGGGCCTCTCTGCACACCCTGGGGTTGGACCCCTACAGGAGGAGCTGGCCCTGGACCCTCCCTGGGGTCCATGGCCAGCTCCCACCAGACCTAGGGTGCCAGGACACCCCTAGACTATTCTTCACTGCATCCCTGATCCTCATCTCTGAATCACCCTTTGATGAAGCCCCACTTCCTGTCTCACCCCACTGTAACTGGACTATGCCTTCTACCATTGTGTTCTCTCATCCCCTGGCTCTGAGAAAGTCACAGAGGCAGCAATGGGGAGGGTAAGAGCTCTACTGTGGGCCCAGCCCTGATTCACACGTAAGGCCCTAATTGCCTGATAACCCTACCAGGGACAGCAGGACATCCCTGAGCCTCTCACCCACCCTGCAGACCATCCTGAACTACTGCCCTGGGCTGAGCTTGGGGGTCCTGGGAGCCATGGAGCCAGCCCTTCTCTCCAAGGCTCCCAGTCAGGGGCAGGGAGCTGCCATGGAATCTCACAAACTTTGATTACTTATTTAAATACGAGTAACACGCGTTTAGTGCACAGAAATGAGGAAGTACACGTGAGCAAAGGAGAATGAAAAATTGCCGGCAACTCCACTGCAAAATGATTGCTGTTTTACACCTTCACTGTGTGTACTGATCTGTAATCTTCTTTTTTTTTTTTTGAGACAGATTCTCGCTCTGTCACCCAGGCTGGAGTGCAGTGGCACGATCTCAGCTCACTGCAAGCTCCGCCTCCCGGGTTCATGCCATTCTCCTGCCTCAGCCTCCCCAGTAGCTGGGACTACAGGCGCTCGCCACCACGCCCGGCTCATTTTTTTTTTTGTATTTTTAGTAGAGACGGAGTAATCTTCTGTTTGAGGAAATGATCACCATTTTACACCTTCGCTGCGTGTGCTGGTCTGTAATCTGCTATTGGCGGAAATGATCACCGTTTTACACCTTCACTGCGTGTGCTAGTCTGTAATCTGCTATTTGCACTTATGAGTGCATGTGAATATTTTTCAGTCACAAGAGACATTTCCACGGCATGTTCTTTAGCAACTGCCCAGTGTGTGATGTAAGAGGCTCATTTTGCTGGTTCCTCAGTGGTGGCTTTCAGGACTGTTTCTGATATCCTCCAGCCCTTCAGTGAATTTCCCCATGACCTGCTCAGCTACAGGCGACTTTCTGGGCATTGGGCATACAGCTGTTCACAAAACAGAGACCTGTGCAGACACGTTTCTGGTCATATCCTATCAGTTCTTTCAACTGCTGACTGGATGAGGTATGGCCAGGCCAAAGGGCATACCTCTGGGATTTGCCCTCCCAAAGGCCTGTGCGTGTCAGGGTGGGCCTCTGTTCAGGATTGGCCTGGCAGTGGGCACCGGGCATGACCTGCAGGGACAGAGCAGGTTCCAGATGAAGCAGGGAGAGCAAGCCTGGGTCCTGGCCCTGTGTCTCTGGTTTTATGACCATTTTGACCAGGGCTTCACCAAGCAGCTGTTTTCCCAGCTCCTAGACTGGGCTGCTGGGGCTGGGCATGGAACAGAATATTTGAAATGGGGCCATTCTAGGTGATCCCAAGCTGCTGAGGTGCCTTTCGGACCCAGCTGGTGGCAGCCGTTGCCTGCAAGGATCTAGGTGGTGGGGAGCCCAGGCTTCCACCCGAGGCCACCAAGGGCGGTCCCAGCCTGGCCCTGCCCCCTACCCTGTGCCTCCACCCCTGCCCTTCCTATGCTCCAAGGCAGGCAGGGAGGCGGGAGGCCAGGTAGCTCAGGAACCCAAACCTGTCGGGCAGGTTTTGAGAGCTGTGGAGAGAGGGACAGAGGCTGGAGAAGGATGTATGGCCTGCCCTGGGCTTGTCTGTTCCCTCCTGAGCCTGAGCCCCTTACCTTCCTGACCCCATGAAGCACACACTGGCTCTGCTGGCTCCCCTGCTGGGCCTGGGCCTGGGGCTGGCCCTGAGTCAGCTGGCTGCAGGGGCCACAGACTGCAAGTTCCTTGGCCCGGCAGAGCACCTGACATTCACCCCAGCAGCCAGGGCCCGGTGGCTGGCCCCTCGAGTTCGTGCGCCAGGACTCCTGGACTCCCTCTATGGCACCGTGCGCCGCTTCCTCTCGGTGGTGCAGCTCAATCCTTTCCCTTCAGGTGAGTGTGCCCCTCCCCCATGAGGGCCTCAGCATTTGGGTCCCCAGCCCGGCTTCCTCTGTCCCACTCTACCATGGGATGTGCCCAACCTACAAGCAGGCACTTGCCATCTTCCTGGGGTAGAAGGCGGAGGATCTGGGGAGGGCTCCAGAACCTGCTGTGTGACTGTGGGTAAGCCTCACTTCCTCTCTGAGCCTCAGGTGCTCTGTCTGTAAAGTGAGGAGGTTACATTGGAAATACATTAGACCTGACTCAGACATCCTCTTAGTCTATCGGTGCTTGGGTTGGGTGGTCCAGGAGTGTCTGAAGGACCCTCCCAGTCCTGTCCCTTGCTGCTTGAGGGGAAGAACTGCCAGGCCAGACCCCTTCTCTGCCTTTGCCCAGGCTCAGGACTGACCTGTAGGGTCCAGGAGGAGAGGTCTGCAGCCTCCTCTCTGCTCGCCCTCCTGTAGCAGTGCTGAGGTCAGGGCAGGATGGCACAGGGCTGCGGTGATGCAGCCTTCTGCGAGGGTGCCATGGTGGTGGCAGGAGCCCTGCCTCAGAGCCACTTTGCCCTGGCAGTGGGGAGAGGAGGGACACAGGGGCAGGGCAGTGGCTGTCCCCAAATCCTCAGCTTGGCTCTTTCCCATAGAGTTGGTAAAGGCCCTACTGAATGAGCTGGCCTCCGTGAAGGTGAATGAGGTGAGCAAGCTGGGGAAAGGTGCTGGGGGAGGGAGTTCTGGGGTGAGCAGCAGGGTGGGAGCAGAAAAGCCTTGGCTCCCCTTAGCCCACCTCGCTGGGTGTCCACTAGGCAGGGGCTCAGGCATCCTCTCCCCTCCTCTGTGGGCGCTGCAGTCCGTAGACCTGGGTGCAAACCACAGCTCTGCCATTTACTGGCAGTGAGGTTTGCAGGGAGCTGGAACTTCCTGAACTTCAGCTTCCTCCTGTGTAAGATGGTGATGAGCAGTAAGAATGCGGTCACCTCTGGGACGGGTTCCATGAGATGCAGGCCATGCCCCTGACGGCACTCCCGCCCCTTCTGGTTTCCCTCTGGACTCAGGCAGAAGCCAGGGCTGGGCAGTGGGGGTCGGGTCACCCCTCATGCCCTGCTGCCTGCCCAGGTGGTGCGGTACGAGGCGGGCTACGTGGTATGCGCTGTGATCGCGGGCCTCTACCTGCTGCTGGTGCCCACTGCCGGGCTTTGCTTCTGCTGCTGCCGCTGCCACCGGCGCTGCGGGGGACGAGTGAAGACAGAGCACAAGGCGCTGGCCTGTGAGCGCGCGGCCCTCATGGTCTTCCTGCTGCTGACCACCCTCTTGCTGCTGTAAGGCGCTGCCCAGGGCCCGGGTAGGGCGGGCTGTGGCCCCCAGGCTCCCTCTTACCCAGCAAGCACCTTCCTCCTCCCTCCATTCCCACAGGATTGGTGTGGTCTGTGCCTTTGTCACCAACCAGCGCACGCATGAACAGATGGGCCCCAGCATCGAGGCCATGCCTGAGACCCTGCTCAGCCTCTGGGGCCTGGTCTCTGATGTCCCCCAAGTGAGCACTGTTACCCCTCACCCTCATGTGCCCCTGTGAGCACTGGGCCCGGGCAGGACAGAGCCGAGTGGGCCCTCGATGGCCCATAACCAGCGCATCTGAAAGCCGCCTCCTCTCCCGCCCTTGCCTGAGAGTCGACCACCCTCAGGGTGGATGCCATAGGGGCAGGGAAGGGGCCAGGGAGAGAAGGGCGTAAGGACTGTGGGTGACCAGGAAGGGCAGCCTCAGGGCCTTGTGTTTGCCTAGGAGCTGCAGGCCGTGGCACAGCAATTCTCCCTGCCCCAGGAGCAAGTCTCAGAGGAGCTGGATGGTGAGGGTCTCGGGGACTGGCAGGTGGGCTGGCTCCTTCCAGGGCCCCTGCTCGGGTGCCTCGGTGGGGGCCTCTCACTCCCTCATTCTGGACACCCCCGGGAACAGGCTGGTAGAGGTGGGGATCAGGCCGGCTGGAGAGCAAGAGTGGCCGCCACTCAGCTGCTGGAGGAAGAAGCCGTGTCCCCGCTCCTTCACTCCCCTCCACCCCCCGGCTCCTGCAGAGCCCGGTGGGGCCTGGGGAGGCAGGATGGGAATGGGGAGGGCCCCTCCACTCTTGGGGTCCCACCCTGCAGACTGCCCTGTGCTCTGCAGGTGTTGGTGTGAGCATTGGGAGCGCGATCCACACTCAGCTCAGGAGCTCCGTGTACCCCTTGCTGGCGGCCGTGGGCAGTTTGGGCCAGGGTGAGCTGGAGCCGCATCCTGGATAGTGTGGAGCCCAGCGGGTGTCCTCCTGGGGCGATCCCACCTGCACCTAGCCCTGGATTTCCTGAGCCACCTCTGCCCCACCTGTGACTTCCCCATCGCTGTACCCCAGGATCCAGCCCCCCTCCCCTGGCTTAATGTGCCCTGGGGCAGTTTCCACTGTAGGCAGGAGGTCAATGATTTGCAGGTCCCTTTGGCTGGGGGAGGGGAGTTCTGCCTCCTGCAAGGCGTCTGGGGATGCATATGGTGGACCCTGCTCAGGCTGGGTGTGGGTCTCTCAGTCCTGCAGGTCTCCGTGCACCACCTGCAAACCTTGAATGCTACAGTGGTAGAGCTGCAGGCCGGGCAGCAGGACCTGGAGCCAGCCATCCGGGAACACCGGGACCGCCTCCTTGAGCTGCTGCAGGAGGCCAGGTGCCAGGGAGATTGTGCAGGGGCCCTGAGCTGGGCCCGCACCCTGGAGCTGGGTGCTGACTTCAGCCAGGTGCAGACCCAGGACAGAGTCCTCTTAAAGCCACGGAGGGCTAGCTGCCTGCTGCTCCTGGGATCTGGCAAATTCCCAGTCCCCTTGCCCCAATGTTCCTCCCTTGCTCCACCCACCCAGGGTTAATGCGGGTCATCCTGGCAGTGGGTGGAGTGCTCCCCAGGCCACGCCCTGTACGTGAACTTCATGTGTGTGAGCTCCTTGAGTTCTTGCTGCCACCAGGGGCAGTAAGAGCCATGGCAGTCCTCATTTTACACTTGAGGACATTGGGGTTCAGAGGCCCCTGCCCCCCTCATCCACCCTCAGGGATCCCCTTCAGGCCTCTCCATGAACTTTGTCATAACCCACCTTCCCCCATTTCAGGTGCCCTCTGTGGACCATGTCCTGCACCAGCTAAAAGGTGTCCCCGAGGCCAACTTCTCCAGCATGGTCCAGGAGGTGAGAGCCACCTGGTCTGCCTGATTTCTCCCTCACCTGCCAAGTGAGGGCCTCTGTTTCCCCCTTTTGGGCAGGAACCCAGTTGAACCTAATATTTGGGGTCCCACCCACCACACAGCACCCTGGGCAGGGGACTCCCGACGACCATCCTTGGTGTGCACACAATCTGTGCTCAGATGGGAGAGCTGGGCCCTTCAAGGCGGCAGGCGTCTGGGGGTGGCAAGGGAGCAGTGCTCAGTCTGAGCCCAGAGGGCAGGCGGCTCCCCTGGGTGGAGATGGGCCAAGGGGGAGGATGCGGTGTTGTGAGTCAGCGCCCAGGACCCAGGACCTGGAGCTGGGGAAATGATGAGTCAGCCATGCTGGGTGGCTGGAGTGGAAGGTTCCAGAAGGAAGGAAGTCAGAGCTGAGGCTAGAAGGGTGGACTGGAGCTGGACCTTCAGGAGCTAGACCTGGCAGTTGTGTGGAGGGCGGCTGAGAGTTCACTGCAATGGTGGGAGAGGGATGGGGGTAGGAAGAAGAGGTCCGGGAGGAGCAACGTTTTGGGAAGTTGAGTCAGACTGGGCCAGGGGATGGGAGAGGAGGGCAGCGACCAAGAGAAAAGAGGGAAACTGGGAGCACTGAGGGGGGCCCTCCCTCTAGGCCTGGTGACTTTGGGGTCTCCCAAGAGGGGACACTGGGCAGAGATGGGGAGGCCCAGCACTACTTGGTTCCTGCAGGAGAACAGCACCTTCAACGCCCTTCCAGCCCTGGCTGCCATGCAGACATCCAGCGTGGTGCAAGGTTAGGCCACACGGGTCAGAGGCAGCTGCCAGGCATGGCTTCCCACCCCACCCCTACCAGGGAGGCTTGTTGAGAGAGGACTGGGGTGGCGGGGGACTGTCTTCCCTCTGTGGTTCCCAGATGTTCTTCCTGCCCGCTTGTCTTGTTCCTGGGCCCCAGGGTGCCCTCCGCATCCCACAAGTCCCTGTTACTTTGGGCAGAGCTGAAGAAGGCAGTGGCCCAGCAGCCGGAAGGGGTGAGGACACTGGCTGAAGGGTTCCCGGGCTTGGAGGCAGCTTCCCGCTGGGCCCAGGCACTGCAGGAGGTGGAGGAGAGCAGCCGCCCCTACCTGCAGGAGGTGCAGAGATACGAGACCTACAGGTGCTGGGCACCGCAGGGTGGGATGGGGTGGGGTGGGGTGGGCAGCCCAGCCTCTATGCCACCCTGACACCCTGAGCCCCATTCCCAGCCTCTATCAGCCCCTGACTGTACTGAGCCTCTGTGTTTTTTGTTTGTTTGTTTGTTTTTGTTTTTTTCATTTTTTTTTTTTTTGAGACGGTGTCTTGCTCTGTCACCAGGCTGGAGTGCAGTGGGGCGATCTTGGGTCACTGCAACCTCTGCCTCCCCGGTTCAAGCGATTCTCTTGCCTCAGCCTCCCAAGTAGCTGGGACTACAGGCGTGCGCCACCACGCCCAGCTAATTTTTGCATTTTTAGTAGAGACAGGGTTTCACCATGTTGGCCAGGATTGTCTCTATCTCTTGACCTTGTGATCCACCAGCCTTGGCCTCCCAAAGTGCTGGGATTACAGGCCTTAGCCACCGCGCCCGGCCGCTTCTGCATATTTTTAAGCCAAGACCCCTGACTCCAGAGGCCTCCAAGTCCCTATGAGGCTGTGTGCCCTTGGAACCTGAGCCTGGAGACCACACAAGAGCAGTAGGGCCTCAGGAAGAGTCTGTATCTGCATTTCTGAAGCCCCAGCCTTGGGGTTAGAGGCCACACCCGGTCGCCACGTCCCGCACCTGTCCATGTTGGTGCCAGCCACCTCCTTTCTTAGTGACACCCATGTCCTCTCTGTGGCAGGTGGATCGTGGGCTGCGTGCTGTGCTCCGTGGTCCTATTCGTGGTGCTCTGCAACCTGCTGGGCCTCAATCTGGGCATCTGGGGCCTGTCTGCCAGGGACGACCCCAGCCACCCAGAAGCCAAGGGCGAGGCTGGAGCCCGCTTCCTCATGGCGTAAGAAAGGGCTGGGAGAGGGGAAGGGTCCCCTCTTATAGGGCTGGCTGATTACTCTCGCTCCTGAGCATAGCTCCCGGTGTGGCTGCCAGTGTCAGTGTCATCATCTGAATAAAGGGGTTGAACCAGAGCAGGAATGGCCAACAAGGAGCTCTTCCTTCCTACAGCAGGGGCAACTGTAGCACCTAATGGGCACTCCTTACCCTGAGTCAGACACAGCCTAGAGTCCCTACCCCAGCTTCCAGGCGGCCCCCACCACCAATAGGCAGCAGCACCAGAGGTGGAATCTGTTTGCCAACCCCAGACTAGACGGTCTCTAAGGCCAAGGCTGCCACATACAGTTGTACAGGCTGTTCACTGAACAAGAGTACCTGGCTAAGGGGGTAAGTGGGGGCTGAAATCCACCCCATGTTTTACTTTCCAAGCCTCACAGCCTGACATGGGGCTGTGCCTGCCTCATAAGCCCTTCGAGCCCCCTGGTCTAAGATCTTTACTCCTCAGACCTGCTGGGATTCTGCCCTGTCGGCAGGTCATGCCTGGTCATGCCAGGTGACCCTTTTGAGTGCTGGGTCCTGGAGTAGGTCACCTCCATGGGCCCTAGGCACAGAAGTGAGCAGTCTTGGCTCTTTGGGTTTTGTTTGTTTTTTGTTTTGTTTGTTGTTGTTGTGACAGGGTCTTGCTCTGTCACCCAGGATGGAGTGCAGTGACACCATCATGGCTCACTATAGCCTCACCCTCCCAGGCTCAAGCGATTCTCACACCTCAGCCTCCCAAACAGTTGGGACTACAGGCGTGTGCCACCACCCCCAGCTAATTTTTAAAATTTTGTAGAGACATGGTCTCACTTATTGCCCTGGCTGGTCTCATACTCCTGGACTCAAGCTATCCTCCCACCTCAACCTGTCCTCCCACCTCAACCTCCCAAAGTGCTGGGATTATAGGTGTGAGCCCGGATAGTCCTGGCTCTTTGAACAAAACAGCTGTTTTCTCCTCTAGGCTGCCAGGGCCAGCCAGGGAACCAGGAACAGGGTGGGGATGAGGTGAAGGTGAGGCCGGGACAGTCAGGAATACTGGGTTCTCCCTCCTCTCCAGGAGGCCAAGTCCTCCAAGCTCCTTTCCTCTAAAGGCTCTGTGCTGGGGCCAACTGGCTGAGCAGGCTGGCCCTGGGGTGAGGGTGGGACAGAGGGTATGGTCAGGGCAGCCAGTCCCTGCTGTCCCTCAGTCCTGCCTCTCGCCTACCCCAGAGGTGTGGGCCTCAGCTTCCTCTTTGCTGCACCCCTCATCCTCCTGGTGTTCGCCACCTTCCTGGTGGGTGGCAACGTGCAGACGCTGGTGTGCCAGAGCTGGGAGAACGGCGAGCTCTTTGAGGTAGGCCTGTCTCTGCTCACAGGCCCTCCTGGGGAGAGAGGTGGGGGGCGGTATCAGCAGAGCAGGAGGGTTGGGGGAAAGTGGGGGTCGGGGGGTAAAAGGGAGAGAGGGAGGGGAGGAGTGAGACAGACATGGCCAAGGAAAGAGACAGAAACCCGCCAGTGGATGGTGGAGGGAGAGAGCACCCATGAGTCCCTGAGATGCTGCCCAGGCCCCAGGGCAGGGACCCTGAGAGATGGCACCCTGACCCATTCCCTCTCATCTCCTAACACTGTCTGGGAGCTGGGACCCTGGTGCCCGGTGAGCTGCGATGCTGGACTGGGTTCTCTGCAGAAGATCGGGCTGGGCAACCCTCCTAGGGATTCATGGGAAGAGCCCCTGTAAGGATTTGGGGCCCAGGGGTCACCAGAGTTAGAGGCCAGGTGTGAGCTGGGGTGAGGGGATGTTTCCTACCCCTGGTCTGTGCTGTGCCACAGCAGCACAGGGCCAGGCCCTAGGGGACCAGGGTGGCCTTGCCCCCACCCCGCTCTGTGCCCATTTCTCACTGCCCCATCCCCAGTTTGCAGACACCCCAGGGAACCTGCCCCCGTCCATGAACCTGTCGCAACTTCTTGGCCTGAGGAAGAACATCAGCATCCACCAAGCCTATCAGTGAGTGGACAGCCTGGGCAGAGCTGGGACCGGGGAAGGAAGGAGGAGGGCCGGTGTCCCTCAGGGGACATCAGCCCCCCCGCCACCCCCAAGGCTCATCGTCTGCACCCCTCACTCCTCCTCAGGCAGTGCAAGGAAGGGGCAGCGCTCTGGACAGTCCTGCAGCTCAACGACTCCTACGACCTGGAGGAGCACCTGGATATCAACCAGGTGAGAGAACGTTTTGGAAACTGTGAGGAGCCCTCCTCAGATCCCCCTCCTCTGGTCTTTTTGCCTCTGTGGAGGCACCGTCTCTTTGAACCTAGGAGACCTGAGAAGTCTGTGTGAGCGATTAAGGTGCCCAAGGGCAGAGGCCCAGTTATCAGCTCTGGGGAAGGTTCCGGGTGTGTAGGTGGGTCCGTGTGCACCTGAAGGCTATGTCCAGCCCCAAGCACAGCCAAGGTGGCAGCAGGAAAGGCTGGTGACAGTGAGCAGGAGGATGAGGGGGCCCATGTGTCCTGACTGAGGACAGGCATTGGCTGGGATGCTCCACTTGGGAGGGGGAGGCTGGGGAAGGACGTGGCAGTGACAAGGATGGTGGTGAGTCTGGCTAACGTTGGTGGAGGGCCTGCCAAGCTCACGCAGGTGGGAGGTGGTGGTGGCAGGATTCCATCCCCAGCCTGACAAGCCTCTTCCTGTAACCTCTGGAGTTACTGGAACTTGGTGTGTAGAACTGGAGACACTTGCCAATGCTGGAAAGAGACAGTTCTAGAATGAAGGCAAGGAAGGGCTGTTTCACAAGAGGGATGGACTTTGAGAATGGGGCTCTCCTCATGGTGCACAGCAGCTGGAAGACATTCACTCCTCGACTTCCACGCTCCTAAGCATATGCTGGGGAAACCCACATCCCCTGGCCCTGGTTCCCCTCGCCCTCCCCAAACACAGAGCATGCTAACTCCTGATTTTGCATCGTTCTGGGAAACCCTTCCAACCCCTGGATCCACCAACCAGCCTCGGCCCACGGACAGCACAGCCGGATGGCCCAGCCCCAACTCTGTACCTTGAACTGCACAACCTGGGACAGTTATGCAGCTCACTCCTCCTTCCGCATCTTTAACCAGACAGGAGCTCCCCGAGCAGGCGATATCTCAGTGCTAGGCTGAGACACTGCCCTGTGGAGGAAGCCTGGCCAGGGAGGGATGAACCAGGGGCCTGGGCAGAGGAGCCCCCATCCTCTACTGGCAGGAAGCCATGGCTCTCGAGGGGAGGAGTCCTGGGCTCTGGTCCTTGGCAGGGGAGGGTCCAGCTCACAGGAGAGTCTGGATAGATAGGGCTTTGGATTCAGATGCACTGGGCAGTCCTCTGAGGCCACCTGACAATGTACCAAATGTGGCTGTAAGAATCCTCGTCCTCAAAGGAGACACTGATGGGTAGGCAGACATGAGTAACACACAGGGCTTTCCAGAGCACGGGGAGGGCACCAGCCACCTTTCCACTTCTCCTGAAGCTGCTGCCACTGATGCCTGAGACACGGCCCGAAGGCCCCCACCCGAGAGGGCCAGGCCTTTTCTCCTCCAGGAGAAGGCAGCCTGGAGGGATGCGGGGAGGAGAGCCAAGCTGGGCTGCAGTCTCTAACCACCTGTGTAACCTCGGCAAGTGGACGCTCCACTCTGACCTCAGTTTCTTATCTGTTAAACACTGGGCTGACTTTTATGACCTCTAAATCTCTTCCAGTGATAGTAGGAAAATGCTAAGGCTCTTTCCTGAAAATACAGTTTCATTCATTCATTCATTCATTCATTCATTCATTCATTCACACAGCTAACAAACTTGTCTCCTGCCCACCATGTGTGACCCTCCGAGTTAGATGCTGGGGGTTTGGGGCTGAATAGGCAGGCAAAGTCCCACTCTTGTGGAGCTGACAGCATTGAACAATTAACCCACAAATAAGATCATTTCAGAGCAACAAGTGCTTTGAAGGCCTCGACACAGCTGATGGGATAAAGAGCGGCTGAGAGAGCTATTTTATTTCAGGTGGCCAGGGAAGGTCTGTGTCTCTGCCCAGAAGCCAGATGGGCACTGGAGGAAGGCCAGGTCTTGGCATTTGGGGCAGGGGCCTACTGGGAGCCTGTCTGGGGCTTGGGGTGTCCAGGGCAGGGGGCCCTGAGGGCCTGCTGTGTGAGTCTGTTCTTGTGTTGCTATAAAGGAATACCTGAGGCTGGGGCATGGTGGCTCATGCCTGTAATCCCAGTACTTTGGGAAGCTGAGGTGGAAGGATTACTTGAGCCTAGGAGTTCAAGAACAGCCTGGGCAACATGGGGAGACCCTCCTCTACAATTTTTTTTAAAAGCCAGGTGTGGTTTCTTGCACCTGTAGTCCCAGCTACTCGAGAGGCTGAGGTGGTAGAATCACTGGAGCCCGGGGGATCTAGGCTTCAGTGAGCTGTGATTGTGCTATTGCCCTCCAGCCTGGGCAACAGAGCAAGACCCTGTCCGCTTCCCCAACCAAAAAAAAAAAAGCAATACCTGAGGCTGCATAATTTATAAAGAAAAGAGGTTTAAGTGCAGGCTGTACAGGAAGCATGGCACCGGCAGCCGTTTCTGGGGAGGCCTCAGGAAGCTTCCACTCATGGCCGAAGGCCAAGGGGAGCCAGCACATCACATAGGGAGAGAGGGAACGAGAGAGCCAACGCAGAGGTGCCACACTCTTTCAAACACGTGAAATAACTGAGCAAAACTCACTCATCACATGGCAATGGCACTAAGCCATACGTGAGGGATCCGCCCCCGTGATCTAGTACCTCCCACCAGGCCCACCTTCACCCCCAACACCGGGGATCACATTGCAACATGAAATTTGGAGGGGACAAATATCCAAACCATATCGCCTGGTGACCCCTGTGCTTAGGGGAGCATCTCTGGGGTCCTGGCTCAGCAACTGGGCATGACTCCCACCCTGCGCCTGCTCTCCCAGTATACCAACAAGCTACGGCAGGAGTTGCAGAGCCTGAAAGTAGACACACAGAGCCTGGACCTGCTGAGCTCAGCCGCCCGCCGGGACCTGGAGGCCCTGCAGAGCAGTGGGCTTCAGCGCATCCACTACCCCGACTTCCTCGTTCAGGTCAGCGGTGGGCACCTCAGCAGGGCTTCCTCAGCAGGTGGTGATGGAACGAAGGGGCCCACAGAGGAGCTGGGTGTGCATCTTGCCTTGTCCCAGCTCTGGCTCTTCCACATTTCCTGGGGCCTCTTCCTGTGGAGGTGTCCCCAGATCATGTGCCCCTGGGCCTGTCCTCCTGCCACCACCCCGGTCACACAGGAATGGACAACCTCTCCCCCAACCCAACAGCATGTGTTGCTGTTCATGGTCCTGAACCCACTGCTGCCGAGGACGCATTGGGAAGTTGCCTCTTCCTTAGTTACACCAGAGGGTGCCTTATTTGTTCTTGTTGTTTCTATCTCACTGGGAAAATGTCTGAAATATTTCACAGTTCCAGGGAAAACTCACTGTGACTGATGTGTCACAATACACTTAGCTGGTGTAGGTTATATTTGATAAGACTGGGGATTTGGAGGCTGGGATCAGGTGGTGGTGGGCCCCAGGGGAGCTGGGTTCATCCCTCCTGGCCTCTTCTGTCCACCTGCAGATCCAGAGGCCCGTGGTGAAGACCAGCATGGAGCAGCTGGCCCAGGAGCTGCAAGGACTGGCCCAGGCCCAAGTGAGTGGGAAACAGGGCCCCGACTGGGCAGCAGGAGCCACAGGGGGCTTGGGAGGCGGGAAAGGGTGGGAGGATGTGAGGGCAAAGGCAGGGAACTGAGGACCCCCACCAGTGAGGCCTGAGGCTCCTGACCCCTGGCTGGGCTGGAGGGTTTTGCAGCATCAGTTCTGACTCAAGCTCTGCCACCCGTTGGCTGTGTGGCCTTGGGCAAGACATGCAGCATCTCTGAGCCGGAGGTTCTTCATCTGTTGGGTGGACTGTCCTCCATCTCAGAGCAGATGAAATCACTTCTCTGGCCTCACGCAGTTGGGCAGGTGTTTCTGTGTGTGCCACTTGTGGGATTTGCTGGGACAGGTGCTGTGAGGACATTGGGATGAATGAGATGTCATGGCAGTTGCCCTTGAGGGGAAAAATAGCATTTTGTATTTATAACTATTTAGGGTTTAAAAGTTCTCTTTGAAACATCCCATAGGCCCCACAACAACCCCACAGGGTGGGCAGAGCCAGAAGCATCCTCAATTTCAGCAGGTGCCCCTGCAGCTCAGGCATGTTCTGTGACTGACTTAGGGGCACCCAGCAAGCTAGAGTGAACCTAGAATTTGGATCTAGGCCCCCCAAACCAAGATCAGGCCCTGGAGCTTAAGGAGGCCTCAGTTTTCTGCCTCTGAGCCCAGCACTCCCACTTTCTCTTGGTATGTCAGACTGAAAGGCTGGGTGACGGGTAGATGGGTCCTGGGCGGGGCCGTTCTGATTTTTGTATCCTTTCAGGACAATTCTGTGCTGGGGCAGCGGCTGCAGGAGGAGGCCCAAGGACTCAGAAACCTTCACCAGGAGAAGGTCGTCCCCCAGCAGAGCCTTGTGGTCAGTTTGGAGGCCCGGGGAGCCTGGGGCCTGGGGGAGGGGAGACGTGGAGAGGGGACAGTGAAAGGGGAGGGAAGTTCTGAGAGTCCCTTCCCTCCCCTCCTCTCCCCTCCTCTCCCCTCCTCTCCCCTCCTCTCCCCTCCCCTCCCCTCCACTCCCCTCCACTTTCCTCCCCTCTCCTCCCTCCCCTTCCCTTGCACTCCCCTAACCAGCCCTGATCTCTTCTCCACAGGCAAAGCTCAACCTCAGCGTCAGGGCCCTGGAGTCCTCTGCCCCGAATCTCCAGGTGGCTGCTGTTGGTGGGGACGTATGGTGGAGCACAGGGGCTGCAGAGGCGGGGAGGAAGTAGGAGCCCATCTCACTCTGCACCTCAGAGCTCTGCCCAGGTTGCAGGTGGGGTTGGGAGGAAGATGGGGGTGGCAGCAGAGCCTGGGGGATCACCACCCTTGGCTTGTCTGTTGGAGCTGAACCCTCTCCTGCTGAGTGTGCTGTGGTGTGTGTTGAATTAATGAATGGATGCGTGAATGTGGGACACTGAGTTGAGGCTCTCGTCCCCTCCAGCTGGAGACCTCAGATGTCCTAGCCAATGTCACCTACCTGAAAGGAGAGCTGCCTGCCTGGGCAGCCAGGATCCTGAGGAATGTGAGTGGTGGGTGGGACAGGGAAGGGGCTTCCACCCCAGGCTTCTCCAGTCCCAGCTTCTCACTGTGGCTCCCAGGAAAGCTGGGCCTGTCCTCAAGTTGCCAGGCATGGGGGGTGGCGTGGGTGGGGGGCACTGCTGCTTCTGGGACCCCTACAGCTCAGACCTCCTTTCCTTCCTGCAGGTGAGTGAGTGTTTCCTGGCCCGGGAGATGGGCTACTTCTCCCAGTACGTGGCCTGGGTGAGAGAGGAGGTGAGTGGGGCCTCAGAAGCAATGACTGATTCCCTGCTCCATCGGACCAGCTGTTCACCCTGCTCTGCCCCGCCCCCGCCCCCGGAGCCCCTTGGGGGTGACCCAGGCCTTCAGGATCAAACCCAAACTCCCAAACCTGGCATCTGCACCCCTGCTTGCTGGCTGAGCTCTGTCCACCCCACCTCTGCTGCAGCGCTTCCCTGAGCTGAGTGTGAGCAGGGTTGGCGTTCTCCAAAATGTTTCATCACACCTGGCCTGCAGGTCCTTCCCTGGGCTGGCCCTTTCCCCAGCTTGTCCAAGGCCAATCCTCAAAGCCCACCTCCCGATGCAGACCCTTGCTGAACACAGCCTCTGCAAGCTGTCTGGATGCCCACACTAGGGCAACAGTGGTCTGGTTTTACCCTGAGTGTGTCTGTGTGTCTATGTGTGTGTGAGTGTGTGTGTATGCATGCACACACATGTGTGCTTTCAAGCACTGTGGCTTGACACACAGTGCTGGGTCATAGTAGGCCTTAATCCAGGCTGGTGAACAGATGGAAAGGGGAGGGGCCCAGCGAGGAGTCTGTAGAGTATGTCCGCATCTGTCTGTACCTGCCTCTCTGCATGTGTATACAAGTGTGCGGTGGCCCCAATGGTGTCCCCAGGCCTTTCTGTGTCCCTGTCAACCACTCTCCCTGAATTGAATATGGGTGTGCGCCTGTGGGTCCAGGTGTCTCTGCATCACCTGCCTCATGTTGGCGCCACAGGTGACTCAGCGCATTGCCACCTGCCAGCCCCTCTCCGGAGCCCTGGACAACAGCCGTGTGATCCTGTGTGACATGATGGCTGACCCCTGGGTGAGTGCCCCAGCTCATCGGGGCTTGTTCACCAAGTCCCGGAGCCTTCCTGCTCTCCAGGGAGGGCCGGGTGAGCAGGGTGTGAAGCCAGGCATGGCCTCTGCCCCGGCTCTGATGACAAGGCAGCTGGGTGAGGCTGGGTGCCACGTGGGTTGGTGAGCCGACCTCACGCCTTGTTGCAGAATGCCTTCTGGTTCTGCCTGGCATGGTGCACCTTCTTCCTGATCCCCAGCATCATCTTTGCCGTCAAGACCTCCAAATACTTCCGTCCTATCCGGAAACGCCTCAGGTGAGGGGCTGCCAGGGC
Organism: Homo sapiens; assembly: GCF_000001405.40. Taxonomy (NCBI): domain Eukaryota; kingdom Metazoa; phylum Chordata; class Mammalia; order Primates; family Hominidae; genus Homo; species Homo sapiens. The sequence continues at coordinate 95,288,608 of NC_000002.12, forward strand.
TGCAGGCAGCATCAGGGGCCAGGGAGGTGTCCTTTCAGCCGCCAGGGTCCCCTGTCACAGCCCCTCCTGAGACCTCCCAGGCAGAGGAGGCTCATGAGCGAGCCCTGAAGAGCCACACTCTGAGGAGCTCCAAAGCCAGGAAGTTCTCCCGTATGTCTGCCCCTTACCCTTCTTGCTGCATCCATTTGGGCGCAGCTTCGTGGGACCCTTCCCATCCCCCACAGGGCTTCCGAGGAGAAACCCTCAGGGCTCTGGGTTTGTCCCTGTGTCAGGGCTGAGGGTCTGGGGGGAAGGGTATGCTCACTCTCTGTCTTTGACACTGCAGCTCCACCAGCTCTGAGGAGACTCAGCTCTTCCACATCCCCCGGGTTACCTCCCTGAAGCTGTAGGGCCTTGTGGGTGAGTTTTCCCCAACTCGCTTAATTGCTCCCTGCCAGGGATTAAGGGAGTGGGGTGGGGAGGGGCTGGGGTCTGGGGTTTCCAGGGCCTAGGAGGGCAGGAAGGCTTGGGGACATGGTGGAGTCTGGGTATTGGGTGTGGCCCATCCAGCAGTGGGGCTGACAGCCCTGTTCTCCCCTCCCTCCCCTTCACCCGTTTCCTTCTTAATCCCTGACAGGGTGAGGTGACCCTGAGGCTGCCTGTCCTCCCCTTTGATTTAGCCTGGGCCACAGGACTTCGGTAGCTCTTGCCCCAGAGCCCAGGCTGGCATCCAGGCCTGGACTGTCCCCAGTTCCGGCTTACCTGGCCCCACCTTGCCTGCTCCTTTCCACCCCTTTCTGCTCACGACCCCCATCATTCACGCTCAGAATCACATGGGACTTCTGTGCAGCTGCAGAGCCAGCAAGTCCCTCCAGGTGTCACCCCTTACCCCCATGCTGGTGGCATCCTCACAGGAAGAGCCTGTTCTCCACCTGCTGGAGCCTGGACCCTGGGGTGGGACAGAGGCCTCGTCCAACCCCACTCCCCTTCCCGTGTGTCTTCCCCCTGCCAAGCCTCCCCCTGCCAAGCCTCCCCCTGCCCCTCTCTGAGCCCCTCGCCCCCCACACCGTCCTCATCTGGCCTCCCCCCTGGCCCCCACTTCCCTCTTATGCCCTTCCTGGCCCTTTGCTTCCTCCCTTAGTCCCCTCTTCACCATATCTCCACTGCTACCTTGCTGGCCCCAGAGACCACCCTGCCCAACCAAACCACTCAGGTAACGCCACTAATCAGGCAGGGGCCACCATGGCCTAGGTCTGGGCTGGCTGCAGGCCCTGCCTCATGGCCTCTGAGCCCTCCACTGCCCCAGGGCCTTGGGCCCTCTGCAGATCTCATCCAGGATTTATTGGTGTCCAGTGGGGTGAGGGAGGCCTGTCTGAAGGCCGAGCCTCCCTGCCTGCACCCAAGTTAGAAATGGGGGTACCAGCACTTAGCTTCTCTCTGAGTGCTGGCTCCCAAGGAAGGGACCTGGGACCTGGGCCACAGTGGGGGCTTGCCCTTACCTCTTCAGAAGGAAGCATCTTCCACAGCCCCCACCCAACTTTCTTAGGAGTGATCTGGTGGCCAGAACAGGATTTTGCACGGCCCCTTTTATCCTGCGCATGTGGCCTAGGGTCATCCCCAGCCCATCCCTGTGTCAGCCCTGAGTGCTGGACACTGCGTTCCAGAAATGAGGAAGAGGAGAGAGAAGAGATGGACAGACCTCAGATCCATTAAAGTGTTCTCACTTCCCTGAGACTTGGTTCTGGGTCCTTAAAACCAGGTTTCCTAGGCTGGGACCCTGTACATAGTTGGTGTTTAATGAGTGTTTATGGAGAGGAGAGTTCTAAGGTCACCTCTGGCTGCAGGCATCCAGGGATTATTCCAGCAATCTGCAGGTAGGGAGTGGGTCCCAGCCTGGGAGCCTGCTGTCAGGAGCAGGCAGACCTGGACTCACAGCCTGGCTGTGATGCTTGTTCGCTCAGCTTCTCCATTTATGAGATGGGGAGAATAGTCACAGCCTCCTCAAAGGGTTGTGAAAATCAAATGTGATAATTTGTGGAAAGCCCTTAGCAGTGGCCTGGCACAAAACAAATGCTCAGTGGATGGAAGCTGCCTATTATTATTGTCGTTGTTGTTGTTTGCCATGACTGCTCTGGGCCGGGGGTAGAGCTAGCATCCGGGCATGTACGAGGGAAGAGGGAGGCAGGCCTCTATTCAAAGGCAGAAATTCCTTTAAGATTGTGGTCTGCTGGGTTTCAGGGAGTGTCTGTGTTGTTTGTTTTTGTTTGTTTGTTTGTTTTGAGACAGGGTCTCGCTCTGTCACCCAGGCTGGAGTGTAGTGGTGCAGTCTTGGCTCACTGCAACCTCCACCTCCTGGGCTCAAGCGATTCTCATGCCTCAGCCTCCCGAGTAGCTGGGACTACAGGTGTGTGCCACTATGCCTGGCTAATTTTTGTATTTTTTGTAGAGACGGGGTTTTGCCATGTTGCCCAGGCTGGAAGTGTCTATGTTTAACTGCATCTTATAAACCAGCAACAAGTTTTCTACTGGGAATTAGAATGGTGCATACACAATGTATTATTATCACTGTCAGATGAGCATGCTTGAATGTAGCATGACTGCCTCTTTTTGCTTTTCCTAGAGGTTTTTTTTTTGCTTGTTACTCATCTGTTGACCTACCTGGGGGAAGTAGCACCCTTGCATTTCAAAAATAAAATTGATGGCATTACAAATGGAATAGAAACCATTTTTAAAATATTTTCAGTTCTCTTTCAAAATTACCTATTTTATCTTTTATATATTTGAACATATTAAGCATAGTTATTTTAAAGTTCAGTTAGTCCCTTATATGGAGCCTCCATGAGTCTGTTTCTAGTGCCTGTTGTTTCTCTTGTTTTTTGTTAGTTTTGTCCTGTCTCCTCCCATACTTGGCAATGTTTTAATTGAGTACAAGTAATTTCAGGTCTAGGATGGAGTTATCTTCCTCTATGAGGATTATGTTTACATCTGGCAGGTGGCTGGGGATGCAGTGAGCCAGATCTCTTTCATCTACTTGTAGGGGATGAGAGGATTTGAGTCACTTTAAGGGCTGACCTACTTCTGTTTCATTCATATTCATAGGGTGAAGCCCACTGGGGCTCCAACCCAAAGCATGAAACATTTGCCAGGTAGCCTTCCTGTTGGTGGGCTTTGCAGTGTCTTCTAGAATCAGCAGACCCCCTACAGAAAACGTAGTCCCAGATGCCATGCATATGTCTCTGAGTTGCCTTCTTTTCCCAGATCTTGGCCTTGTAATTCTTCACTGCTTTGTTTCCTGCCCAATACTCTCAATTAGACTTAAATATATATATATACGTACATATATTTATTAAATATATATATATACGTACATATATTTATTAAATATATATATATATAACTTTAAAAGCTGTTCAAAATGTCCTCCCCCGCCCCACACACACACGCAAATTTTGAGCAGCTTTTTAAGTTGTCCTGAACTGGGAATTTGGTCCAAATTACCCAGTCCACAGTTATTAGAAGTAGTCCTAAAAAACTGACTTTGACGTTCCCATTATATATTGGGAAAAGGCTGCCACTCTTTGAATTTAGTGTTCAGAAACTGTGGCCCAGCTAATTGAACATTGTCTTTTGAAAGGAGTTTTGTTTAGAGAGCAGCACGGTAATACTGGTTACCCGGGGATGGGGTGGCACTCGGCAGTTGGCAGAGAGAAAGAAATAGCCACAGAGAAAAATAAATTACCGATTTCTCTGGCTTTTAAAATGCTGGAATCCTAAAATGCTAATGCTACTTTATATGTGAAACAAAGCCCCTTCGAGGTCACAATCTCTCTCTTCTGGCCCATGACTGTCTCTGAGGGAGCAAATTATCATCTGGTTGAGCAGAGGAAGCTCCAGGAAGTTACATAGCTGGTTCAGGGTCTCAGAAGTTGAAGCCCAGCCAGGCTTTGGAAGCAGGTCCCCTGGTCCTGGTGGCCCTGGAGGTTTCTTCCTGGAGGCAATGCCAGTTCCCATTCCCTGTGGGCATGTGGGAGCGAGGCCCTATCTCCAAGGTGACTTGAACCAAGTGTCCTTACTGTCCCTGTGGCAGGGATGACAGATTGGGGGTGCTAGGAGTTCTTCCAGACCCTTCAACCTGGCCACCCAACAGAAGGCCTCATGGTAGATTCTGCCAAACAAATGCCAGATGGGCCAAGGTGTCTAAGGTCCCAGGTGGCTGCTCAGGGCAGCTCCAGCTGGCTTGAGGTGTACAAAGGGAGAGCCAAGTGGCTGGGGCAAGAGCCTGCCCAACTACCTGAAGGGACAAACAATGTGAGTTAACATTTATTTACGGAGTTCTGAGCATAAGTCAGGAAGCACTTTCCATGAATTAACTGGGAGGCAGGCATTGTTATTTACCTGCCTGACAGTTGAGAAAGCTCAGGCACACAGACTGGATGTGGGCGGAGTGGAAAGGGCAACGCTCATCCGAATGAATCAGCCGAGAACAGTGCCACTCAGGCCACATCTGAGTCTTCTGGAATCAGCCTGAGGCCCTGATCTGGGCGGATGTGGACAGCATCCCCCTTCCCTACTCTCCCTGAGCCAGAGTCGTCCATCGCTTCTAGCCTGAGTGCCAGGAGCTGAACCAGGAGGCTAGTGGCCAACCTGGTGCACACAGCACATGCTGCCGGAATAAAGCTCCTTCTCCGTGGTCCCAGCCCTTCCTAGCATATGCTGGGTGTGCCCGTCCTGGGGTGGTCCACACTCATCCGTCTTACAAATGCTGACCGAGAACTGCAGCTCGGATGAGGAGGGATGGAGGGGGTGTGCAGAGGGTGGGGCCCCGTCCGAGCCCTTGGCTTCTGCCCACGAGTGAAGCAGAATTTAGGGAAGAGGTGGCTGAGCCCCTACCCACACTAAGGGCTGGAGTGGGAGCCAAGGAGTCAGGCGCTGAGGTTAGAGGAGGGAGGTTTCAGAGAGGCGAGCTGAGTCCAAGGGGTGCGGTCGGCCGCCCTCTCTTCACTTCAAGCTGCAAGGAAAGGGGCTTTAAAGAAAGCCGCCAGAGAGCTTCACCGTGTCCCCTGCAGTTTAATAAATCCCTTGGACTGATGCCTCACCCACTGCAAAGTCTAGAGGGCAGTCAGGCTGGCTGCATTGAAGGCGGAGCTAAGGAGAGGGCTGGCGGCCCAGGTGAGGGCCTCCTGTGAGAGACAGCATGGAGTCTCCTAGGTCCAGTCGAAGGAGGCTGCCCAGAGAGTGAACCGACCTCAGCCAAGAGGAGGCAGAGCTGCCACTAAGTATTGGGGGCTTATGGGTCCCCTGAGGCCCATGTGAAACACTCTAGTCAGGGGACCATGGGGCCAGGCTCTTAGGACCCTTGGAGGAGCCCACAGAGAAAGAGGGACAGCTCTCAACCTCTGCAAACCCAGAGCGCAGCTCAGCCAGAGGCTGCCATGCCCACTGCCTGCCCCAAGCTGCCACCCCCAGGCCTGAGCTGGGTGGGGAGCAGGAGAGTTGATGATGGCATGGGCTTCGATGGGGGCTGAGCCTGTGTTTTGTGATGTGAAGTGATGAGGACCATTTGTATTTTCTTACCAAGATGCACCCAGCTGGCGAGGCTTTCTCTCTCTCTCTCTGTCTCTCTCTCTCTCTCCCCCCTGTACCCCTCAGCTCTCTCTCTCTCCCCCTGTACCCCTCAGCCAGGGCCCAACAAAAAATAGGGCCTAAGGAAAAGAGCCCTGGGCTGGGGCTCCACAGAGTTGCGTTTGGAGGCCTGGGGAGGAGGGACTTGAATTTGGGCCTGGAATGTGGGATCATGAGCAACAATGGAGGAAGGCGCAGAGGCCCCCAAGACCTGTGGGCATGAGCACCATGAGCCGCTCGCCCGGGGAAGGACAAGAATGAAGGCCCTGGTCAGCTGAAACAGCCCACGACTGCCTCCTGAAACACTGTGACGAGAGAAAACCCGACCTTCATCCGGGCTTGAAATCATCCCTTCCTTTCCCACTTCCAAACTCCCCCCAGCCTCAGTTTCTCCCCACAGCCCCTATGTGAGGAAACCACAGTGGGAAACACAGGGCTGAAGCGTTCCTAGTGGACAAGACCAGGTCCTTCCACAGCCTCCTTAACCTTCTGTGGGTCTGATATACCGCAGAGAATACTGGGAATTGCCAAGGCCGTCTCTGGGAAGTCTGCAGATGCCCGTGTGCCCACAACAGGTCCGCCTCTGAGGCCCATGTGGGAGTCCAGCCCCCTTTCTCCTCCCCTTCTCATTCCTGTGTTCCCCACAGGCCCAGGGGAGGGACCCAGCTGGAAGCACTTGGGGCCCTGGATAGGCCACTGAGGAAGGGGGGTGTGGTGGCAGGGTCACATACGCCCCACATCTGTATGAGGGGTGTCCACCCAGGTGCTAGCTGCAGTGGGAGGTTCGCAAGGCCCGAACAGCCGGTGGGTCCAGCAGAGCAGGGCAGTTGTCCCAGGCCCGCGGTGTCACGGCTGGTGAACTCCGAGGACAGCGCATCTGAGTGTGGGATGTCAGCGAGTGTGCCAAGCAGGGGCGAGCAGCTCTTGGGGGTGCTGCTGTGATGAGTGGGTTCCTCTGCTCCTGACTCCTCCGGCCAGGCCGTCAGGAAGACCAGCCCATCACGGCAGTGCAGTCACCAAGTTTCCAAGCTGCTGTGTAAGCCGTGGGCATAGAACCGCCAGCGGGATCTCAGCATCCACGGTGCTCACTCTAGGAAGAAGGCAACAGGCTTTGGGACCTGGCTTTACCACTCCCTAGCCTGTGACTTGGGCCAGTCTTTTAGCTTTTCTGGGTCTCACCATTATCATCTGTAGAGTGAGATAATTACACTTTTCTCCCAAGGTCACTATGAGGACTCAAAATGCTCAATGCGTCCCTGCTTGCGGAGGCGAGGCTTGCTCAGAGTCAGGAGGGCAGGACTGTCTCAGGCAGTGAAAGGAGGATGGGGCTGGGCACGGTGGCTCATGCCTGGAACTCCAGCACTTTGGGAGGCAGAGGCAGGTGGATCACTTGAGCCCCAGACTTTGAGACCAGCCTGGGCAACATAGTGAGACCCCATCTCTACGAAAAAATACAAAAATTAGCCGTGCATGGTGGCATGAGCCTTGTAGTCCCAGCTACTTGGGAGGCTGAAATAGGAGGATTGCTTGAGCCTGGGAGGTCAAGGCTGCAGTGAGCCATGATCATACCACTGTACTCCAGCCTGGGTGAGAGAGTGAGACCCTGTCTCAAAAAAAAAAAAAAAAAAAAAAAAAGCAGATGAGCTCCCAGGATGCCGGCCCTGAGCTGGCAGCCATGAAGGCGCTTGCCTCCCTCCACTTCCTAGGGTGCAGTGTGGGTGGGGCGGGGGCAGCTAGGGAGTCCTCCGGGCTCTGCCGAGCCCCTTCCCCAGTGTGAAGTCCAGCCTGTTCTGAAGTCGCACAGGGCCAGACACCTGGGCTGCCACCTCCCCTCTGGAAACAGTCCTCCTTGCCTCGGTGGGTCGACAGCTCCAGGCTATTTTCTTCCCCTGAGGATCTGAAAGTTGGAGGTAATTGGTTGGCTCAAAAAAAAAAAAAAAAAAAAAGGAAAAGGGCATGCAAGCACAATTGTGCAGGCTGCAAAGGAGGGAGGCATCCTAGGGCTTCGTCTCCATGGGAACTACTGGCACAGGCTGGCTCCTCTGGGCTCCAAAAAGGGAAACTTGGCAAAGGTTTCAGGCACCTGGCTCCTGAGTGGTTTGCTTGGGGGCCAAGCAAATGCCCAGGAGCTGCCCGCCCAAGGGACAGGACACAGCCCCCTCTCTCAGGGATGCCTGGGAGCCCTCGGCCCCATCCTTCACCCTCACACCCCAGGAGATCCCGTCAGGTCCTCAGCCACCCTGGATGCATCCTGACTTGGGAGCTGGGAGGGGACCCAGCACAGCTGGAGAGCATGAGCAGGTCATGCTTTGGGGAGACACCCGTGCTTCGAGGCCCTCGGATGGGTGAATGGGAGGTAGTTAATAAGGGACAGATGAAAGAGGTGGAAGGACCCTGAGTGTCACCCTGCTGATGTAGCCCTGGTGGCTGTTGCTGTTTCTAGGATGTGAGCCCCAGACCAGCACCTTGCAGACCAGCACCTCAGGCCAGGACCCTGAGAGAGGACGCTTCAGATGCTGGGTGCAGTGGCTCCCTGCTGTCCTGGGGGCCCCTTGGGCTGAGATCATCATAAGGGTGGCACTGTCCTGTGTCTGTGAAGAGTGGCAGGCGGGACTGGGGCAGTGGGGGTGTCCTGGCTTGTTCTGGAAAATACCTCCAGGAATGATCCCTTCCTTTTCCACTTCCACAGTCCCTCCTGGGCACTCTGGGTTCAACTGCTGCTCCTCCCCACTTCTTGGGGCAGAAACTCCTGCCCTGAACTCCCCTCTCCCCAGCCCCAGCTCCCTGCACCCTCTACCCCCATTCCTCCTTGGTGACCAAAAAGGGCAAGGAGCAGAGAAAGAGGCAGCGGGCAGGGGAGGCACAGAGAGCCGCTGGTGACAGGGTAGGGGAGAGGCCAGGAGAGCCAGACAGAGGCTTGGACAGGCTCTGAGAGACCAGGATTAGGGGCCATGGAGAGAGAGAGAGAAAGAGGGGAGAGAGAGAGAGAGAAAGAGGGGAGAGAGAGAGAGAGAGAGAAAGAGAGAAAGGGAGGGAGCGAGGAGGCAGAGGGGTGGAGCGATAGAAGCCGGCAGGGAGGAAGGGGTGGGCAGGGGGAGGGCGAGAAGCCGCCGTTGACAATTACGTCTGGGTCCAAGCAAACATGAGGCAGCTGCCAGCCGGCCTGGGCAGTCTTGTCTGCCTCGGCTGTGAAGTGGGGAGGCTGGCAACAGTTTTCTTCAGCGCCCAGGATGCAGCCGGCTAAGGTAGGTGCTGGGGGAATGGGGTCTTGCTCTGGAGGGGGGTCGGGGGGAGGAATGGAGGCTTCTGGGGGTTGCTCTGGACCAGGAAGCCTTTTTCTTTGACCCTTGTCCCCTCTTGTTCCACTTTCCTTTGGGGAAAGTGAGCGTTGGGGCGTCCTGGCTGGCGCTGGGGTGTCCTGGCTGGTGTTGGAGTGTCCTGGCTGGCGTTGGGGTGTCCTGGCTGGTGTTGGGGTGTCCTGGCTGGGAGGCTGAACTCCTAGGGCTCCCTTTGGATGGGAGAGGTTTATAAGTGTTTGCGGAAGAAAAGCTGGACAGAGGAGGAGCTTGGGGTCAGCCCACGACTCATCCTGCTCAGTTAGGTCCCTGGGTCAGGTGCCAGCGTGGCTGACACTGAGCCCGGGCCCCACAGCCTTCAGGTTTGGGGGAGGGGTGAGCCTGGGAGGGAGTCACTTGTGCTTGGAGGTTGGTCAATGAACGCATCTTCTAATCAAGCAATCAAGTAACGAATGAGTGCCCACTTCCTCTGAAAGGGCTAGGAGCCCCTAACAAGAGCACTTCCCACACATTCCCTTTCAGTAGGGCTGTGGGGAGGTCAGAGAGAGAATGCAAGGAAAACGCCTGGCACAGAGTTTGAGAAACAGTGGTGGGGAACAGGGAAGGGTGAAGAATTAAAGGAGGAATGAGGGAAGGAGAAATAAGCTGGCCCTCCAGCCTCTAGCTGACTCTCAAAAGGTCTGGCCTGATGCCCTGTGAGCTGCTCACACATTCAGGATAGTTCAGGTCTGGCTGCTCATAACAGAACGCCCCAAATAACAGTGGATGGAACAAGGTTAGCGGGGTTTCTCTCTCATGCAGAAGTCCAGAGGGGCAGTGGAGGGCTGGCTTGGAGGCCGCCTGATCAGCAGCATTTCAGGCCTGCCCTGTATCACCCCTGAGGTTACCTTAAGGTGCAACATAACTGCTGGAGCTCCAGCCAGCACACATGGGCTCATACTGACATATGAGCAGGAAGGAGAAAGAAAGAAGGGCAAAAGGACCCAGAGACAATCAGGGTCTTGAATGTAGGAAAGAAGGGATATGGGGTTGGCACCTCAGCGTCTCTGCCCTGAACAGATGGCTTCCTGCCTCTTTCATCTGTGAGGACAAGCATCCAAGCATGGGCGGGTGGCTGGCTTGGACCACACTGCCCCCAAACCCCAGGCCTCCCTTGTGCTATCTGCTCCATCTTCCAGGGTGCCAAGAGGATCAGCTGAGGTGATGGCATGAAGCCCTTTGAGCATGGCAACACTACACATGGAAAATGTGCCTTCTCTCCTGTCACCTCAAGTCTCCCCAGCAACCACCATGCAGGCAGGGCAGAGTGGAGAAACGTAGCGCCTTGCCCCAGGCTCACACACTACGGCGTCAGGGTGCACAGTGCAACCGTGCCCATAGGCAGAGACACATTGAGCGACCCTGCATGACTACAGAGATGGGAATTTCCAGAGTCAGGCTGCACACAGATGTGCACACAGCCAGCTCTGACCTCCAGCAGAAGACAGTCCTCCCCTCCTTTGCCTTTCCTCTGCGGGCCTTAACTGCCAAAGGTCACTCTGGGAGCTTGGCCACTCCTGCCCCTGCCAGACTGGCAGAGTGGGTGGCCTGAGTCCTGCACTTACATCTGGTTCTTCCCTTGGCCATTGTGACCCCACACTGCGCTCTACCCTCCCACAACCAGCTCCTGGGCCCCAGTGGGTCTCACTGTCCTTATGTCTGCTGGTGGCCTTCCTGTGGCTGGCCTGGCCAGGGAGGGGAGTGGGACCCACACCTCCTGGTGCTGGGCCCAGCAGAGACAGTGGTCCTAGGAGAAGCCACCATTAGGTTTCTCATCAAGATCAATGGGAGATTGTGAAAAATAACCTTCCTCTCTTGTGGCAGCAGGGACTGTAGTCAGAGCTCAGGTTGGGAGGTGTTCTGACTCCTCAGGGTCACGGTCAGTGGCTGTCCCCCAGTAACGCCCCATGACTGCCCGGCTCCCTAGCCTACTCCCCAGCCATTCATGAATTCTCACCTCACTCCTATGGGGAGGCGGGGAGGCACTGCCATTCCTATTCTAGACACTGAGGCTCAGAAAACTGGAACAGCTCCAGGACTCCATGAGCTTGATCCCATGAGCTCTTAGGAGAAAGGAGCGAAAGACCCGCAGTTTCTGCGACAGGCGCTGCTGTCGCGGTGTTGAGGCTGTGGTGTCTTCACAGCTCAGCCCGTGCACTGGGAACCCCTTTTGCCTGGCTTCCAGCCTTGTTGCAGGGCACTGTGCGAGATGGGCCCTAATTTGCTCCCACATTTCAAAAGACCCCAGGCTGCACTGGGAAGAAAGGGGCTCTGCCTCAGCCCTCCAGGTAGAGCCCAGGAGAAGGGCAGAGCTGAGAGCCAGAAGCCTGAGGGTACCAACGCCCATCTAGGACATTGTCTCCCGCATTATCTCCCTGGACCCTCACGCAGCCCACAAGGCAGCTGTTGGTATCATCCCCACTTCACAGATGGGGAAACAGAGGCCTGCCCCAGACTGCAGGCTACAAGAGTTGTGGCTGAGATTTGAACCCTGCTCTGTCTTACTCCAGAGCGCAGCAAGTCCCTAGGGCTTGGGGGTTGCGGAAGAAGACGCAGGAGGAGAAGGGCATGCCTTTAACCAGATGGCAGAGGAGGGGCCCATCCCAGCCGTGCGGCCGGTGGTCTGTTGTGCCCTCTGAGCCCTCCAGTGAGTGCACACAAGCCAGACTCCACCTGGCCGCATCCCCTGCGTTAGCCACGTGACCTGGAGCTAGCTGCCTCCCATTTTTGGACTGTGGATCCAGAGCTAGGAAGTAAAGGACCCCAACATTTTAAATTCAGGCTGCCTTGTCTTATCAAGACCTTCTGTGTGAGGCAGGGAACTGCTTTACTGACTTAGCAGAGGGGCCTTAGAGCCCCCCTGCCCTCCCCAGCCCACCCCTGGGCATCCCAGTGACTTCCAGGAGCAGCCAATGTGGCTTCTGCACGGAAGAAAGCACTCTCAGTTTCCAAGGTGAAGCAGAAGAGGGGAGAGAAGTTAGCACGTCTTTCTGGCCTAGTGCCCAGACCTGGGGCAGGCAGGAGCCTGAGAGTCGGGGGAGGGCACAGCATGGGGCGAGTCCCGTGCTGCTTCCTGCCCAGGGCTCCCGGCCTCAGCTGACTGATGTTGCCTTTGAGCAGGTGCGTCTGTCATCTGAGATCAGCCCATGCCTTAGAAGGCCAAAGAGCAGCCCTGTGGCAGGGAAAGAAGCAAGGGGACCTGCAGAGTTGGAGAGGGAGCAGCTGAGCTGAGACGGGAGGGCAGCGTGGGGGTGGCGTGTCCCACACTAGAGTCGGCCCAGCCTCCCCCTCTGACCTGCCACCTCAGCTCTCTGCCCAGCATGCCCTCTCCATCAGCCTGGCCATGCCTGGGCCAGGCTCAGCCAGGAAAAGCAGCTGCTGGTCTTTTCTGGCCTCACCTCCCAGCCTGCCCAACGCCCCCAGCCTTCCCCAGCCTTTATCACATGGACAGTAGGCAGATGCCAGGGTAGGCAAGGGACAAGTCCCCTGCATCCCAGTCCTCTGCTGCTGGTGCCACATGCCCCTGTGCCCAGCTCTGTCGTGGGATCCTCTCTCAAGATGGGCACTCTGGACAGTGCTCCAGAGAACCAAACTGTAGCCCCACCTCTGCCCCACTGACTCAGGGCCTCAGTCTTCCCATCTGGGTCTGAGAGATGCTCACAGCATCTGCCAGGCCTTGTGATGAGCAGTGCAGGGCTGGGAGGCACGGGCCTGGCTGACTCAAGTCAGGGCCACTGCCAGCAGTGCCCCACATGTGCACACAAATGTCCATGGGTCTTGCGCAGAGCCCTGATCCTCACTGTGCGGGACTAAAGGACCCCGGGCAGGAGACAGGCATGGCCAAGAGGCATCATGGCTGTGCCTTGTTGGCTGTGAGCCCTGACTGCACCAGCAGACCTGGGCTCAGTCCAGGCCCTGTCACACACTGGCTGTGTGTCCTCTGACAGGTTACTTAGCTCATCTGTGCCACTGTGTCCTCATTTTCCTGGGGGAAGTATGAATATCACAGAACCCCCAGATAAATGTGATCCTATACCAACCAGCTTGGCCTGGCCCCTGGCACAGAGTGAGGCCTCCACACATGAAGGGAATACCTATGCCATCCCTTCTGACTGTTGAGGAGAGCCTGGGAAGGCCACCAAGAGGCAATTTGGCCATGGGCAACTCAAGTTCACCCCTGGGTTAACGTGACACCCTCACTGCCAGGCAGCATGGGGAGCTTGTCCTTGTCAAGGTGGCAGCCATCAGAGCAGGGGTGGACAGCCCAGCTCTCCTGCTCCAGTGCTGCCAGAGGGCTGGGGCCCAGGGCTGTGTGTGTGTGTGTGTGTGTGTGCGCGCTCATAGGTGTGTTTGCAGGCATGTGTACGTGTGTGTGTATGTGCATATGTGCACACATGCATCTTCAGGGACTCATGACAACCTCGGCTCCCCCGACAAGGCGAGCTGCCTTGCCTATGTCTGTCTGTGCCCAGGGGTGGGTGGAGAATCCAGGCTCCCCAAAGCTTCCCCATTCCATACCCTGGGGCCTGCACGACACAACGCCCACCACTGCTTCCTGCCATCTGTCCCGAGTGATGGAAATAGAGCCAGTGACAGCAAGCAGTGCTGGGTGGGCCAGTCTGCACCGCAGCAGCCGTGGACAGGGTGGGGGGTGGGGAGCCCCACATCTGAGTAGCCTGGATGTCTCATGCTGGCCCTGGCCTCGGTGAAGCCCTTCCGGAAAGGAAGGGGGTGAGAATCGGGGGACCCCCTTTGCCTTTCAGGCAAGGCCAAGAATTTTCTATCTGGAGGGACAGACACTCTAAACAAATTCCCCAAGCTGCATTTTCAGATCTATTGAGGAGCTTTATAAGAACAGAGTAGCCCAGCCCTCTCTGCATCAAACAATCCAGCTCCTGGGCAGGCAGATGGTGAGAGCCTCCCCACGTGATTCTGGCATGTGGCAGCTGAGAGCGGCACATTGGGCCTCCCTGCCAGGCATGCTAGGCTGTGGGTTTGGACAGCCAGACCCTCCCTGGGATCAGAAGGGCGAGGAACACTGACTCTCCCCCACTGGGGGCTTTGTCACCTTGCCTTCCCCTTAACCCTGTGAGGGCACATTGTCACCCCCATTTTGCAGATGAGTAAACTGAGGCTCGGAGCTGTCAGGTTCTCTGTCAGGGTCACCGAGCTGGGAAGCGAGGGTGCGGGATTCATGTAACTGGTTGGCCACAGACCCCTCCCACTGTCCTCGGCTGCTGGAAATCACATCCACCTGCCTTCGATCTCCTGCCCTGCCCCCAACTAGCCGTGCCCTCTGAGCCCACACCCAGGGGCCCTGGTGGCACATACGAAGCCACTCACTTCTGTTTTGCATCCGTTAAGTCTGTAGACATCTGGGAGGAGTCAGCGATGCATCTTGCCCATGCATGTACTCCTAGAACGCCACCCGGGAGCCTGGATACTTTAACGCAGGTTTTCCAGGACCCCCACTTCTCACAGGCTGTCATGTGCCCCCCAGTCACCTCTGCCACATCTGCTCTGGAAGGCTTTCTGGGAGTTTCTCTGGAGCACAGTTGATGAGAACCATGGAGACTGAACTAGCGGCTCGAGGGTTTCACCTTGGCACACTCCTGACAGTCTGACTCCATCTTCTCAGCCAGATGGGCCTCCTCAAGACGAAGCTGTGCCATGCTGGGCATGGGGCAAGGAGTGGGACGCTGCTCCGTGGGCCACCTGGCCTCTCAGGGGACCTAGAGTGTAGGGAGCCACGAGGCAAAATGTCCGGTCCAGGTCCTGGAGGTTTGTTCCAAGTGCTCAGCCTCTGTCTGTGGTGTGGAAACTCTCGGGATGATGGTGTGGTGTTTGCGGCAGAGACTGGACTGTGTTCAGGGGGAGAGGAAGGCATGGGGGACAGCCCTGCCTCCTACATTCCCGCAGTGACAGTTTTCTCAGGCACTGGGAAGTCGCCGCCCCTCCCTCACTGGCCACATCTAGAGTAGGTCCTGAGTACCTGTCTCCATAATATCCCCAGCACCCAGCCATGACCTCCGCCTGGCTCAGCCTTCCCCCGCTCTCCTGGGCCTGGGCATCCCTCGCCTCCCCCAGATGGCCGCCTGCCTCATCGAACCCCCAATCTGATCTGCACATTCCACCAGGCCACCCTTCTGAGGCAGCTGCGAGTCCAGCTGGACTTGAGTGGCAGAGAGCAGCTGGGGCGGCTGTGCCCTGCCAGGAGGATGCTGCCCCAAGCCTGCCGGCTGGCAGGTCTGAGAACCATCCGGATCAGTCCTGTCCAATAGAGACATGATGCAAGCCACAGATGTCACTTAAAATGTGCCAGTAGGCACAGTAAAGAAAGAAAAAAAGGTTAAATTATTTTAACCATATGTTTTATTAAACCCAGTGTAAATGATTATCATTTCAACCTGCAATTGATATAAAGCATTTTTAATGAACTATTTGATAGTCTAGTAAGTAAATGTTTGGAACCCAGTGTGTGTTTACACGAGGGCACGTCTCAGTGTGGACCAGCCACATGTCAGTCTCAGCAGCCTGGCGAGAGGCCGCCGTCACTCAGACTTGAGGGGTCGCCTGGCTGAGTCGAGCAAGCCCCCAGCCTCAGCCACAGAGAGAAACATACACTTCCTGCCTTTACCGTTTTGCTGTATCTGTTGTGACCTGTGCTATTGTTTCTTATTATTTTTCTTTAAATTAACTCATGCATTGAATTTTAGTGAATTCATTTAAAAGGGAATCTTTAAATCAGTACTGTAAGTGGGAAGCCGGGAGCAGAAGTGGAAGGTAACCACCACATTGCCATGAAATAAGGCAGCAGCGATAAACTCCCACCCATGGTCTGTGGCCTGTTGAGGCTCTGAGCTGAGGCCGTGCCCTCCCTTTGTAAAGAGAATGGCAGTGGGGAGCTGGAGAGTGTGCTGGCCCCGAGTCTAAGTCATCTCCTGCACCTCGTAGGTGCAGCTCCCCACTGCCAGAGACCTCAGGCCAAAGCCCCCAGGACGCAGCTGACTCAGAACAGGCTGGGTTTACCCCTGTTGAATAACAGGAGAACGCATACCCCAGGGACCCTGGCAAGCTGCATGAGAACGGGTGAGCTAGAATCCATTACCGGATTTGGGGCTCAGTTGGGTGCTTTGGGTAATTTTGAGGTTCTAAGGAACCTCAAAAAGTTGGTGTGACCATTAAATATGATAACCCCTCCAAACAACTAACTCAGCACCAGCACACAGCAGGGGCATCACCCACGCCATCTTTTTCCATCCCTCCCTGGCTCCCCACAGGCCAGGAGGACTTAGAAGGAAGTTGAGGCCTGGTCCTGGCCTGCCTGGCTGGGCAGGAGCTACAGATCTCGGCCACCAGGTGACTGGCAGAGAATGGCCTGCCTGGCTCACCAGCAGCCTCTATCCTTCAGGGAAACTTGTGACCTTTGAGAAGGCTGCAGGTCCCCAGGGCCAGCCTAGGGCCGTTTCTGGGACACAGCCCTAAATGCCCACACTGCCAAGTATGCCACCAGGGACTCTGCCTGAACCCAGGGCCCAGATCTTCTGGCTTCACTCGTCTCTGCCACTCAACCCTGGCCATCCTCTAAAGCTGGTAGACAATGACAGTTCTGTCACCCATTAAAATGAGGCCGGCATCGAGCAGGAGTGGGAGGAGAGAGCCCCAGGTGAATTGTGAAGAGCACAGGGGACTTTTGATCATTCGTGAATATTTATTCAGAGCCTTGTGCATGCTTGCGTTTTTAACACCTTCTTTTTGGGTGCATGAGAGTATTTTTTGATGGAAATCTTTATTGAGCTCGTTGTAGATTCACATGCAGTTGCAGGAGCTCACAAAGAGGGCCCATGTACACTTAACCTGGTTTCCCCAATGACAGCATATTTCAAAACTACAACACAATAGCACAACTGGAGTGTCTGCAATGATGCAACCCACCAGTCCTAGTCCGATTTCCCAGTTCACACGCACTCATTTCCGTGTGCATTTTTTGCTACAATTTTTATCACGTGTAGGTTCAGGCACTCAACAGCACCATCAAGATGCAAAACAGCTCTGTCCCCTCAAGGCCCCTCCTGCCGCCCTGTGAGAGCCACACCCCTCTCCCTCCTGCCTGCCTCCCCCCATCCTTAACCCCTGGCCCTCTAATCTGTTCTCCATTTCTAAAACTTTGTCATTTTACAATGTTATATAAATAGAATCACACAGAATGTGACCTTTTGGGTTGGCTTTTTCATTCAGCGTAATTCTCTGGAGGTTCACGCAGGTGTGGTGTGCGCCAACAGTTTGTTTGTTTTACTTGTCCAGAATTCCGTGGTATGGATGCACTGGAGTTTGTTTAATCATTCACCCATTGAAGGGCATTGGGTTGCTTCCAGTATGGGGCCGTTCCAAGTAAAGCTGCCATGAACATTTGTGTACATGTTTTCACTTGAACATAACTTTTCGTTTCTTCAGGATAAACGGCCAAAAATACCGTGGTCGGGCTCTGTGGTAGCGCATGCCTAGTTTTTATAGGAAGCTGCCAGACTGTTCTCCAGAGTGGCTAAGGCGTTTTCCCTTTCCACCGACAATGGAGGGGTGATTCCGTTTCTCCACATCCTCACCAGCTTTCAGTTGTCATTATCTTTGGTTCTAGCTGTTCGGACAGGCACATGGTGGTGTCTCACAGCGGTCCTCCTCTGCGTTGCCAGAATGGCTAATGACGGCGAACATCTCTTCCCGCCGCCTTTGCCATCCACGTGTCCTCTCTGGTGAAATGTCTGTGCATGTCTTTCACATTTTCTAACCTGATGGTTTGCTCTTTTACTGTTGAGTTTTGGGAGTGAGGATCTCTTGGGTGCCAGGCTGTGTCACGAGGAAAAGCAGGTCACATGAGGATCAGGTTCCACTCTCGCAGAGCTGATGCGCTAAAGGGGAGAGACAGAAAACACAATAATAGGATCAGTTCACAAGGGCTGGGTGAAGAAGTGCTGAGATGGAGGTGCATGGGGGAGGGTGGCCTAGGTAGTCAGGCAGGGCTCTTCTAGGACCTGAGCCGTGAGTGAGGCCTTAAACGCCTGGGGCAGAAGTGTCCAGTGCCAGGAGCAGCAGGTGCCAAGGCGGTGGTGTGGGAGCAGACTTGGAGGGGCACGGTGGGGCTGTCAGGGCCTGGCAAGGAGGCACTGGGGCTCCCGGCAGGGTTGGGGCATCTAATTCATGTTCCATCTCATCACTGCCCCAGCTTCTCTCCCAGCACCAAGGCACTGTGGGGTGAGGGGCCAGGGGGCCGCCTCTTAGGACGCCCTCCCTTCCATGCTGTGAGCCTCCCAAGCCAGCAGGAGGGTGCCTGGGCTGCTATTTAACATTCCCTGACAGCTCAGTCAGACCCTCTTCCAGACAGACAAGTGTCAGATATTCATGAGGATGACCTCCTCCCGCCTCCCCAGCAGCCTGAGGGCCCAGGCCGCAGCCTGATGAGTCCCAGCTTCCCAGGCTCGGCTGCTGGGGTCTCCCTGCCCTCCTGTCCCTGGCCCTCCCCTCCCTTCTCTTCTCAGAACCCACCCCCTGCCTCACAAAGAGGGGTGCCCATCATGGGCCTGCCTTGTGGGGCTCACAGGTGGGATTCTGGCCCCTCAGCCAGATGGAGGAGCCTGGCCCGGAACCCCCACCACCACTCCACCCAGACTCTCTCCACAGGGAGAAAAGACACACTGGGGCCCCCTAGCCCAGGAGGGCATCACAGCACTCCTCAACGGATATTTTTGGAAGGCTGCTGATGTGCCTGAGGGGCTTCGGAACACACCCAGCTCCAGAGACCGCCCCAGGGACCCAGGCCGAGAAACAGCCTCAGCAGCAAAGCCTGTGGTCAAGCCCATGTGAACTTTGGAATCAGAAGACTATATGTGTAGTGTGGCCCTGGCATGTCCCAAAACTTCTCAGGGAATTAGTTTCCTCATCTGTGAAATGGGGATCGTCTTACCGATTGCAGGGGGTTGTCGTGACGAGATTACTTTCAGCTCAACATAGACATCCACTTGGGAGGTGCTCAGCCTGCCCTTTGGGCTCACCCAGCCTTCCCGGGAGGACTGAGCCCTGTGAGCTAGAACCCAGGACACCCATGGGATCTCCCGCACGACCTGGGCCTGGGGCTTCAAGACAGAATCCCTGTGACTAACCCTGGGCCCCGAGAAGCAGCCTTGCCAGCCAAGCCAGTGCTGTTCTGAGATGGGCTGCAGACGGGGCTGGGGGTCCCAGTGAAGAGCTCCTGCCAGGGGCTCCGAGGCCGCCTCAGTTTCTTCTGATGTCCTCTGCTCACCCCCCACGCAGAGCCTGCAGCAAAGAATTTGTGATGTAATGAAGCACCTGCTGCCCCTCTCTCCCCTACGACCCTCCTTAACCAAAATAAAGACTCCTGAATAAGATCATGAATAATGGAGAAAGTGCGTTTCTGACCCAGCCTGACAGGACGTGTGTGTGCATATGTATGTGTGAGCACATGTGCATATGAGCATGTGTACGTGTGTGTGCCTATGCATGTGTGCTTGTGTGTGCATATGAACATGTGTACTTGTGTGCATGTGTGTGCGTGTGTGTGCATGTGAGCATTGTACACGTGTGTGTGCATAGCGTGTGCACATAGGGAGCTTCCCTCAGCACCCCAGGCACCCGTCCACCCCCAGCTCTCCCCCTGTTTCTGCTCCATCAGCATGGTCAGTGCCTCTTCTTGCTGCAGCTCTGGGCACCACTGAGCCCCCTCATTGCTTGGTGAGCCTTGGAGAAGGGGAGGGACGTGCAGGGGTTGTTGCCAAGGGTGTGTCGGAGGAAGGGTGGATGATGACTGTGAGCTGGAGGACTGGTAGTTGGGACCTAGCTGGGGAAGGCCCAAAAGCCAGGATAAGGGAACTGGACATCTCCCTGCCTAGGGGACCACTTCATCAAACACTGACTAGTGGGCCAGCTGCCCATCCCGAATGTGGATAGGCCTCAGGGGACCATGAGCCAGTGAAGCACCCAGAGAATCCTCCCCCAGCTGGAGCCTGCAGTGTGCAGAGACCAGTGGGGGTGCCAGGCCCATGCCTCGGGAGAGGGGCCAGCCTTTGCAGCAGCAGCAGAGCCCTGTCGCTGGGCTCTGTGTGGACGGGCATGGCCAGGGCTGGTGTCCGGCGCTGCTCTCTGATCTCGTCTGCTTTCCAGGACTGGCTCTCTGTGCTTCCCTGCAGGCTGTGACTGGCCCGGGCTCCCTGCTGCCAATTCTTCCAGTTCAAATCAACCTGGGTCAGTCTCTGGCTCTTGCACCTGACAGTCCAACTAGCACAGGGGCTGTCTTCCAGGGCTGCCTCTGTAGAAGCTGCTTGACGGCCCCGTCCATCTGTTATTTACTTTGAACAACCAAATACTTTTCAGGACCGTGCAAAGGTAGCACACACGAGACCCTGTGACCTGGGAAGGGTATGGACAACCCACCCCCTGAGTGGCCCTCTTTACTGGCCAAGGAACCCAACTGCTCAGAACACATATGCATGTGGGGGTGGTGCCACTGCCACAGCTAGAGGTCAGGCAGTGCGTCACAGACAAAATGAGGGCCATTGGTGGGCTGTGGTCCAATGGGCCAGACCACACCTGTCCCCCTGCCACCCCGAGCAGGAGAGGACAGCACAAAGGCAGCAAACTAGACCCAGCAGGTGCACAGAGGTGTGGCCAGCGGCAGCCTGCGGTGCACCTCCCTCCTCTGTGCCTCATGGGCCAGCTGCCAGCATGGGAACTGAGCATGGTGGGCAGTTTGGATGTCAGGATTGGGGGGCCTGAAATACGTTGTAGGAGAGCAAATCCTGCTGCCCTGGGGCCTCCACCATGACCCCAGGAGGTTGTTTTCTGATCCACACCGACTCAGGCACATGGCCCACTGCTTTTTTTTTTTTTTTGAGACAGTCTGGCTCTGTTGGCCTTGCTGGAGTGCAGTGGCATGATCTCAGCTCACTGTAACCTCCGTCTCCCGGGCTCAAGCAATTCTCCTGCTTCAACCTCCTGAGTAGCTGGGATTACAGGCACATGCCACCACGTCTGGCTAATTTTTGTATTTTTAGTAGAGACAGGGTTTCATCATGTTGGTCAGGCTGGTCTCGAACTCCTGACCTCAGGTGATCCGCCTGCCTCGGCCTCCTAAAGTGCTAGGATTACAGGCGTGAACCACCACGCCCGGCTGATCCACTGCCTCTTAATGACCACCCATGACTCACTCCTCCCAAGACTCTCCTGCCCATAGCTGGAGCTGTTTCTTCAGATCCCTGCCAGCCTCAGTGGTCGGTTCCACCAGTGCAGCCCTCCTGGGGTCACCACCCAGCCTTTCATTCATTCTCAGCTTGCCTCAGCATGAAAACTCAGGCAGAGCAGGGGCCCTGCTGGGGGAGTGAGGGAGCCAGACGTGGCTGTGTGACCCTGTACAGATCCACTTGCCTCTCTGGTTTTCAGGCAGATGAGGGATTGGGATCGTGATTTCTAAGGGGCTGTCCAGCTCCGACAACCTGGCCTGTGCCAAGGTGGAGAATCCAATGAGTAAGTCTGGGATCACTGCTGACATCCCCTCTCTGCACCCCTGTCTGCCCCTCTTCCAGGGGTCCCATCTTACACCATAGCCAGGGTGTAGAGTGAAAGGAACCTCCCCAGGTCTGGCAGGAATGGCCAGGACAAGGGGCACTAGGCATGCAGCCCCGGAAGGTGAGCCCTCTGTTGTGTTCAGGCTGGCCTCATCTAGGATATCAGGGCAGCTCGGGACCATCCAGGGGTCCCCCCTCTGAGCAGGGGCTCAGGGCTGCTCTGCCTGTTCCTACTGCAGGAAGTGACAAAGGCGTCGGACGGCAGCCTCCTGGGGGACCTCGGGCACACACCACTTAGCAAGAAGGAGGGTATCAAGTGGCAGAGGCCGAGGCTCAGCCGCCAGGCTTTGATGAGATGCTGCCTGGTCAAGTGGATCCTGTCCAGCACAGCCCCACAGGGCTCAGGTAGGGGCCAGGGTGGGCTGTGGTCAAGGGTGGGGGTGGGGAGATCTGTTCTGAGCACTGTCCTTTCTGAGGGCTCAAAGGCCAGCCTGGGACCCCAGCCTGGGCTACATCGCCCCTGTCTCTATTGGAGGTGTGTTTTCATTCATTCACACCCTTCCCCATTCATTGAGTGCCTGCTTCACACAGGCCACTGAGCTCCCAGTGGGACCCACAGAGCATGGGTACAGAGAGCTGGGACCACACTGCGGTTTTCCAGTTGGCTAGGAAGACAGAGCCAGGCTGCAGAGTCCAACAAACCAGGCTCCACCCTGCCCACTGCTCACGCCCTGAGTAAGCCGGGGCACCTCATTGATCCTTTCTAAGCCTTCCGTGAGAAGCCAGGCTGGAACCTGTCCACAGGGCACATTTGAAGATGGGAAATAATGTGTGCAGTGCCTGGTGATCAGGAGGCCCCACCCTCAGCCCCTCCTTGGTCCTGTTCAGTGCACCCCAAGGATTGGTGCTGGCTCTTTGCCTTGGGCTGCATTCTGGTGGTGTGTTAACGAGAGAACGGGCAGAAATCACTGCCCTGGGCTTGCCATGGGTGATATTTGGTGTTTGCCGAGTATAACAGGGCTGAACAGACAATGGCAGCCTCATGCGGCCCCCACGATCTCACACACACATTCAGACACCTCACACTCACACCTATGCACACACACCGGTGCCTCTACCACACACAAGCTTGCACACTCATCATGCACACATAGGTAGGCATACCATACACACTTGCATACTCACATACACACACCACATGCAGGCACCCACACACCATGCACACTCATGGGATCACACATGTGAGTATGGTGCGTATAAGAGTCTGCCTCTGACTTTAAGGAAAAGGTGCAGACTTGCCCTTGACAGCTGCATCTTGTTTGCTCTCTTGGACCCTCTCTAGCTGTGTGATTTCCAGGGAGCGTTTGTCCCCTGGCCAGGAGAATGGGCATGATCGGGGTCCCAGCCTCCTAGGCTTGATGGGGGTCATGAGTGGAGGGGATCAACTGAGGGGTCTGGGCAAACAGCAGGCACAGTGGCTGACAGCCACAGCCAGAGGTCCATGCCTGTGCACAAAGGGACTGGCTGCTACGCACCAGATCCCCGTCCTTTACCCACAAATGCCACTCCAGGGTGCTCCCAGCACGATTCCAGCCCCCTCCCTTTTGCCACCACCACCTCTGCTTCCCCACAGAGCCCCTACCCATCTGTGATGCTGTCACCTTGGCTGAGACTTGTCCCCAACCCCTTCCCATGGAAGCGCTAGCACCTGTGAATGCATGAGTGAGTTCCACATGCACCCCCAACTTCTCGGGGATGGGGGTGGCAGGTTTTGCAGGTAGCAGAAACATGATGAGGTCACTAAAAGCACATGCACATAGCTCGACCGGGAAGGACCGCCTTCAGGGCACTGTTCATTCTGCATCAGAATGAAAATGCGCCTGCTCTCCCTTAGGGTGGGGGCGAGAGCACGGTGGCCATCGCATGTGCTGGCGGCTCAGGTCCACTCTGACGGGCACAGCTTCAGGTCGCTCGAGACTCAGATTTCCTCCACTTCAGTCTTCCAGGGTTTTCTTGGTGGCAACAAGTATTTAAGGGGTGCTGCAGTGGTACCCTCCCTCCATCCCTCAGGTCCTGCAGATGCTCAGCCTCATCCTCCCGTCTCTCTCTGGCAGGCAGAGGTGGCTCAGGACGGGTGGGGCTGGTGTGCATCCTTTGCCGAAGCTTTCTGCACACCCGTGACAGCAGCAGCTATGCTGAGTGGGGTGGACGGGGAGAAAGGTGACAGAGGGGCCGGCATGGCGTGTTCAAGTCAGGGCGGGGGGGACCACCCCTGCACGGCCCACCCCTGCATGCCCCATCCCACCTCACGGAAGCTTCCTAGAGGGCAGGGCCTTTCCACACCCAGCTGTCAGGACACGTTTGCTGAACAACTTGTCAAAGGCGCACAGGAGACAGGGCCAGGGCTGGGCCAGGGCACCAGCGATGGGTTTGTTCCCCTGCATGGATGTGTTTACCGGACCTTGTGCCGGCACTGGGAGCAGATGTGAACGACACATCCAAGAGCCTATTTGATTGTGCAAGGAAGGCAGTGTGGAGCTCATCACCCTGATTTACCAGAGCGTCCATGGCAGCTCAGAGAGGTCACGTGACTCAGCAGATGGCACAAGAAGCGGGGGTTGGGGTGGGGGAGGCTCGGGCCCAGAGCTCCACGGTGCCCACCCTGACGAGCGTCTTTGGTGGGAGCTGAGGGACGAGGGAGCCCAGGGACCTCACGGACAGAGGAGCCGGGACTCCAATGTGCCCTTTGTCTCCCTTGGCCATAGCTCCCGGGTCTCCTCTCTTCAGTCCAAACACGTCCCGTGTGTGTCCCGCAAGGAGGCCGGGCTGGTGTGGTCACACTGAGGGCTTTGTGCACGTGTGAAGTGCTGCGCGGTGTGCAGATGAGGCATCCCCCCTCTTTGGGAGCTGGCACAGGCTCTGGGTGCAAAGAACAATGGGGCCCATTCAGTGCAGCCCCACTGTGTGCTCTGCGAGGCCCAGCACGGTGTCCTGAGCCTTGGGGTCCTGTGGGAGGGGGGCGGCCCAGACACTGTGCCCTTGTACTGGGGTTTTTCCATTCAGCAGAAGTGGGGCCAGAGACACATGTCGGGAACAGCTGGGAGTGAAAGCCAAGGCCCAGCCTGGGAGTCCTGGAGGCTTGGGTGAGGTAGAACGTCGGCAAGGAGTGGACAGGACCCAGGGTCCTGGAGACAGTGGGCAAGGGCTAGAGCATCTGTGGCTGGGCCCTGGGTGGCCAATTCTGGGTGTGAAGACCCCAGGATGGAGTCAGGAGGTGGCCAGCAGTGGGGCCTCTAAGAGGGGAGCCCAGGAGACTCAGAGCACAGGCAGCCTGGCCCCACCCTACCCAGGAGAGGCGCCCCATCCTCAGCCTAGAAGCTCCTTGGACCCTCTTCCATGACCCGGAAGCTGGGACTCTGGCCTGCCCTGCATGCCTCCCCTGCATCTAAAGCCTCTCCCTGCAGGATGCCTCTCCAGAGGCATGGCCAGTGCCACAACTGGACAGACCTGTTTCTCAAGTTTGATGCCCACAAGGGCTGTGGGACTTGGGTTTCTTCAACTGGAATAATAATGTCACCCACAAATAACCTGGGGTCCCAGCTGCAGACAACCGAAACAGGGTGGGCTCCAGGCCTCAGGAAGTTCACAGAAACTCCGGAGGACCAGAGAACGAGGTCTGAATGGGACGAAGCCAGGGCCCCACCTAGCGCCTTGGGAGATGCCTGGCATCCTGGACCACTCTGGCAGGAACGCTCTAGCAGCTGCTGCACGCTTCTGTGTGACACGGTGCAGCCATTCCTCACACACACACACACACATACACACACACACACATACACACACAAGCACACACACATACACACACACATGAGCACACACACACGCATACTTACACACACGCATGCACATGCCCCTCCCCCAGAGAGAAGACCCACATCCTCCTCAGTCGCCGATGCATCCCAGGGAGATGCTCATTCTCCCCGGGGTGCCATGGCAACCCCACGTAAAATCATAAAGACACCACCACCAGTGCTCCTGGGAAAGAGGGGTAGCAGAAAGGCATCGGAACAAAAGGTGAGTTAACTCGTCTCTAATACGTAAAGATCTATAAACAGAATTTTCGCGTATTTGAAGATACAGGATACAATTGACATCATGAAGCATCAAGATACATGATATCAAAGTGAGATGTCAGATCAGTGCAAATTTTCAAGGATTTCTGAGAATTAACCCCTTTCCATGGGGTTGTAGTATGACATCTGTGGCCATCTTTAATCCACCACAAAGATGGATTAAAGATGGATTAAAGCCACAAAGATGTGGCTGAGTCCTTGGTGGAGTGATCCAAACCCCCATTCCTGAGGGATCTGAGTCCTGGGTGGTCCTGCCTCATTGGGGTTGCTAGAAGCCCCCACTGACTTTCATCACTGTAACTGGCAGTGTTGCTAGGCTCCCTGGAGAATTCACTGGATTTGAAGCAGAGTCCTCCCTGCTCCCCTCGATAATAGGGTCATTCACTGGCCGATGGCCCTTGATGCCAGTTGGTCTGAGTGGTGTGAGGGGCCCAGCATGGCCAGGCGGCCGTCCCAGCTTCCAGTTTAGCAGAACCCCTGCTGCCTCCTGCTGGGGACCCATTCTCCCATGGGAATTTAAAGCCTCTAATCCAGAGCCTGGAGTATTGGTGAGGAGCAGCAGAGGTGCGGTGAGCAGGCACTGGATGAGGGAGGGGCCTTTGCGTGTTTTCCCGGGCTCCGGGCTTGTTCTTCTGGCTGGGGGAGAGGCAGCACATCCAGCAGTGTCACTGGCACCCGACAGGGCAGCCCTGGAACCCGCAACGGCTGCCAGAACCAGTCTTCAGCGGGTCTCATCACTGTTCTGTGAGGCCAGCTGCCTCTGGGGGTGGGCACAGGACGGGGACGGGAGCCTGTGAGCCCTGGTCTTTGGTCACACCGCTCTATTCCGTGGTGAAATGAGTCTGTTGCTTGGGATCTATGGCGTGGAGGCACCGTGATGGGGGAGGTGCTGGCAGCACCAGGGCAGGCCAGAGGGAAGGTCACACCCAGAGTGACCATCACTCCCATGAGGATAATGGGAGCCCCAGAGTGATGGCAGGGATGCAGAGTGGCTGACCTGCCACCTGGTGGCTGGCTGGGCACTGAACTGCAGCTGCAGCCTGATCGGCCCAGGGAGAAGTTCTTTTATTGAATCTACGGTGTTTCGTTCTCAAGCAAATGCCAGAGGAGCCAGGAACAGAGGCTGTGAGGTGCACAGAGGGGACCACTGGCCCACCTGATCGTCCAGTGCCTCCTCGGCCCCAGCGCCCCTTGGAGGGCACTTGTGAAGCACTTGCTGTCCCACACTCCGGGTGGTTCCTCCCCAGGCCTCCCAGCCCTTACTCCCCCGATCCTGCCCCTCCACCTCCCTGACCCCTGAACTAATGGTTAACAGCCATCCATGAATCAGTGTAAACCTGTGCCTTCGGCCCTCTCTTCTTCAGACAATGTGGGCAACACATGTACCAGGAAGATGTCCCTTCTCCACGTCCTTCCCCTAGGTGGGCCTCAGTGTCACCTAGAGTTGGGGCCAACATTTCTTGCAGCTCTGTCTATAAGTCACCTCCGAAAGTTTTTCCTCCTCAGACGGCTTCGAGACCGTAGGGGGCGGGTGGGCTGTGGGGAAAGCGGCAATGCAGCAGGTACTGTGGGAGTCGCAGCCCCCGCAGGTACAGCCTCCCTGCGCCCTCCAGACCTGCCCTGCCTCGGGCCCCATCCACAGCACCTGGGCATGACGACAGAGCACTGTGTGCACATGCAGATACCAGTGGGGCTGGGCGAGAGGTTGATACTCGATTGCTGTTGGGTGTTTCGGGGCTCATGGCCACCTACTCTGTCTCTCTGTCTCTGTCTCTCTCACCATCAGGCGCTCCACCCCCACAGCAGCCCAGCAGTGGGAAGTTAGCTGAATGCCAACAGGAGAGATTTTTGGCATTGCTCAAAACCCAAGAGACCACAGATTTCCCCTCTGGGGGCCTGCCATGGCCCCGTAGAGCATTCCAACTTGCCTTAGACTCATCGTGTGTCATTGAATGTTCTGGGTCATTAGGCCCAAGGGGCAGCACTGCTTGTACTTGGCCTGCACCTGCGGAACAGCCTCTGAGCCGCACATTTAACTGTGGTGCACAGGAGGCCCGCCGGGCACCGCACCTTCCTTTACTGGCAGGGGTGCGAGGCGCAGCAGCTCGTCTTTCCCTCTGCAAGGGATCCCTTGGCTTGCCTGAACTTGCATATAACAGAAACCCCAAATAACAGTGGCTTGATCAAGACAGGTGCATCGGCTCCTATATGGGAAACATGGGGTGAGGCGGTGGCTGGCACTAGTTTGGCAGCTGGGGGACGTCAGTGTCAATGTCTTGGGTTCTTCTACCGTTCCCCTCACTGTGGCAATGTGGTTGCTTTGCAGCCCACACAGCCTCATTTCAGGCAACAGGAAGGAGAACCCAGGTGGAAGCGGAGAGTGGTGGTCCCCATGTCAGGAAGGCAGCACTCACAGAAGTCTCTGGAAGACAGATGCTTCCATTCCACTGGCCAGAGATAAGCTGCCCTCACTGCGAGGAAGGCAGGGGAATGGTGGAGTTTTCAGCTGGGCGCATTTCCATCTCCAACAGCATCTGAACCCTGCTGGTGAAACTCAGGAAGAATGAATACAGAACTGGCATTCTCAGCCACATGTGGCTTGCAGGGTTGTTTTGATGACTGAAGGCACTCACTGGCACCCAGAAAGACCTTAGCAAGCTGCCTGGCTGTTATCGCCTTTATTTATTGCTAAGTGCTCAAAAATGTGGAGGGCAGGGGGTTGGTCAGCTCCAGTCATGAATTTGGCTCTCCCTTCTGCTCCTCAGCAGAGGAACCGCTTCCCACTTCCCCTTCTGCATTTTAGAGAGGCACAGCAGGGCTGAGGGATGAGGCCAGTGGATAGAGGTCAGAGGTCAAGAGACAGCCTAAGGCTAGGGCCCTACCTATGCCCCCGTCCTACTCAGGGCCCCTGGCCCTGAGCCTCCTAGGCAGGGGACTGTGTGAGAGCAGGCTGTTCCCTGTCTGGCTGCAGAGAAGCCCTGGGGCCCGGGTGAGGCCCCTCTGCAGTGAGATCACACCCTCAGCTGATAATCACACCAGTGTCACCTCCTCTGTTGGTGCTGGGAGCTCAGGAGTGACGCCCACCCCATCCCCACGCCTCCCAGCCCAGGAAGCCGCAGGGGCCCTTCTGCCTCCAGGAACAGTGAGCTCCGGGGGCCTGGAGGCTGAGGCCAGGCACCAGGTGAAGGGGCCAGCCCTGTGGCAGGGGCAGGGGCTACCTGAGAAGGCAAACCCAAGGCAGGAGGACTGAGTGCACTCTGGCTGCCCCGGGGCTCTGGGCTGAGGGGCAGGCAGTCCCCGGAAAGGCTGGGAGAGCCAGAAGCAGGGACAGAAAGCAGAGGAGAGAAGGACAGGCCCAGAGCGCCCAAGACACTGGGGACAAGCTGAGACCAAGAGGAGAGACGCTGCTTTTGAGAGACAGAGACAGACAGACAGACCAGGAGTGGGGAGTCCTAGAAAAAGAAAGGTGTTGAGTGTCAGGCTGAGGAGAGGCTGGCAGAGGAGGTCAGGGAGCAGGCTTGTGGGGGTACCGCCTGCACAGTGGCAGGCAGGGCAGAGCTGAGGGCAGGAGTCGGGCGGATTAAGCCAGGCCCAAGGATGGCAGGGTGCGGCCCTGGCCCGAGGCTGCAGGAGTGCCAGCATGGCTGTGGGAAGCACCTGGGAGGCATCATCAGCGTCTTCTTCCGCTTCATCTCTGGGAACCTGGCTGGAGGTGAGGGTTGCTTTGGTGGGGCTGGGATGGGGCTACAGAAGGGACAGCTTTGGGCCGGGTCAAGGATTGGGCCTGCCTTATCTGGGGTAGGGGTGACAGGGGGCAGGGGTGGGCAGTGGCCCTGGGAGCAGGACCAGGAAGGACTGCAGTCTTTGCAGCCCACCCCTCCCCACTGTGACCTGGGGACAGTGAATGCCAAGCCTGGGATCCCCCACTCATGGGCCCAGGGAGGGAGAGCAGATGGGGAGCCGCTGGCTTCTCCATGGGGTACACAGACTCAGGACAAGCCTGGGCTGGGAGAGAGTGGGGTGGCTCTCAGGCCAGTCCTCCTCCTGTGCACACTGACTCGACCGCCCAGGCCCTCCCCGTCTCCTTCCCTCACTGGAAACCCTCTCCTCTTCCATCAAAGGCAGAAGTGGTGTCTGTGATGAGGATTAACAAAAATGGGCAGGTGTGTATTAAGACCTCTATACAGAAAGTGCTCAGTTAATGACAGCCACCTCCCAAAACCTATGAAACCTAAGCAACCTGGAGGCCTTGGCAGGGATGTAGGGGACTCCCTGAGTCGGTACTTGTGGGCCCAGGCCTGTGGGGAACCGGGAGGTGGGTGATCCACAGCCAGCCAGTTCCACTCCAGGCTCTCCCTCCTCTGCCTGCACCCGGGGCTGAGCAGGACCAAGACCAAGTCTCGGCCACGGGGCTACGAAGCAGGCACAGGGGTGGTGCCCTGCATGGGGGGACCTGGCATTTGCTGGGAAGGGTTGATATCAGGAGCTTCAGACCCTGAAAGGAGTGAGCATCAGCAGCTTGGAGTGCTGAGCAAGTGCTGTGGGGACGCGGAGGAGAGTAGGCTAAAGAAGTCAAGTGATTTCCAAAGAGAGATAAAATGATGTCCCTAAAACAAAGATGAGCTGGTGTAGACATGTGACATGTACATCCCAGGACCTGGTGCCACAAGCTGCCTATGCTGCCAGAAGATGCTGCCCCCATGCTGAGAGGTCACCTGCAGCCGCCGGCAGGGCTGGGCTGCCACAGCATCTCCAGGGACCAGGGGCTCATCCCCCAATCTTGTCCCTGCCCTGTCCTGAGTGCCTTGCACAGAGCCTGGCACATAAAATACCTGTCAAATTCATGCATGACATTTTGAGAAGCATGCAAATGTAAGATTGAGCATACACTCACGCATCCCCAAACAAGTAGAATAACAGGGGCTTGGAGAGCGGTAGAGCAGCACAGAGTCTGCAGGAGGAAGGCGGACCCTGCTGTGCGGAGGCTGGTGGAGCCGGGGGCTCAGTCTAGCCCCAGGTGGCAAGTTTGGTGGCTCTGAGTGGGGACTCGGAGAGCCCAGGGTTCCTGGGCCTTCCAGTTTTTCAAAAGAGAGGGGAATGCTGTGGCTACATGTGCTGTCCCTTAGCGGTGCCTTAGGCTCCCAAGCCTTCCCTTCCTCAGGAAGTTATTTTGGGGAAGGAGAGAACTTTGAAGACAGTGGACCCTGGGCCGCTTCTCTGTGAGGTGAGACACTGGTGGGCCAGGCCCAGGGGGAGAGGAATGTACCTGAGGTCACTGAGCTGCTGGGCATGACCCTCCAAGCTGGGTGCTCCTCCTTGCTCCTCCTGGCTAGTGACCCCAAGCATCCCTCCTGCCCGCCCTTGGCCTGGCTCCTTATCTTCCCTGGAGGGGCTAGAGCGATAGTGCCTCCTCCGCTGGGTGGCCCAGAGGGCCAGTTTATTGCCATGATGTTGCCATAAGCAAGAGTCCGTATCGTCTGGAGCTCCGGGCGCCTGTGTCATGCCTTTTACCTGCCTCACAGGCTCTTGGGCTCATGGTGCTCCCTCTCTCTCCCTCCGCTGCGCCGTCTGTCTCAGTCCATGTTCCTTGCCTTCCTTAGGGAGAGTGAGACATAAGCCTCGTATTGGATTAGGAGGCCAGGAGGGCTGCTCCCAAGGTGGCCGTTGAGCCCCATCTCAGAACAAGGGAGGGAGGGCAAGAGCGGCAGGTTTGCCTCTGCCCGGGGCCCCAGGTGCCTCTCCTGGCACCGAGGGCTGGGGCTTGCTGGTCCACCTCTGAGTTCCTCCCAGCTCTGGCGATGCCGGTTCTGGGATTCTCAGCCAGCCAGGGAGGTGCTCTCTGGGAGCAGGGGTGAGGAGGCTAGAGCTGGCTGGGTGTGGACCCGGAGGCGCGGCTGAGAATGAGGTGGGTGCTGCTGAAAACACCACTGCCTGCTGCCAAGGTATGGAACCACACGGAGGGAGCCTGAGGCGCTGTGGCCTCTGACCCTCAGTCCACTCGGTGTGGCTGCTCTTCCCTGCCATTTGCATTAAATTTTCTGCAGATCCTGTGGTCACCTTTCAGGTGTCAGCAAGTACTCAGGGAATCCTTTCCAGCCCGGCACCCCTTCTTTGCTTCAGGACTCCCTCCTGCCACTCACGGCAGCCTGGAGGGGTCGGGGAGGAGGAGGCAGGGTGTGGTGGGGTGTGGGCGGGTCCCGGGTCTCTATGCCCTTCCCAGACCTGCCCAAGGCCGCCACCCCTCAGCAGCCCCTGCCACCCCTCGGCCTGTCTCCCAGGTGCTGAGCCTGCCCCTCTCCCGTGGTCTTTCTTGTGGGGAGGATGGGACTTTGAAGATGGATTCCCTGGGAGCATCCCCTCCGGCTCCATGAAGGCCTCTGGGTGGGTGTCCAGTTCACTGTCCTCACCCTGGCGGCCACTGGCCAGTGTAGCCACAGTCACCACCCGACCTCCTCCAGGAGTACGTCAGACCCAACTGGCCCTGCATCCCCCAAACTCCAGGGGACACATTCAGATCACCATGGCCTTCTCAGAAGTCCCTGAATTGGAGGGAGGATGGACTGAAGCTCCCCAGGGTGGGAGAAGGAGGGAAAATGCTCAGCACTCCACCCAGCCTTCCCTAGGCCCTCTCCTCCCCGCCCCCCTCGGCCCCACCCAGCCTCTCCTCCCTGCCCCCCCAGCCTTCCCTAGGCCCTCTCCTCCCCACCCCTCCCCAGCCTCTCCTCCCTGGCATCCCCAGCCTTTCCTAGGCCCTCTCCTCCCTGACCCCCAGCCTCTCCTCCCCACACCCCCAGCCTCTCCTCCCCACACCCCAAGCCTCTCCTCCCTGGCCCTGCCCCCCGAGCCTTCCCTAGGCCCTCCCCTCCCCAGTCCCCCAAGCCTAGGGAAGTCTAGGCCCTTTCCTCCCCGGCACCCCCAGCCTTCCCTACGCCACCCTCTGTGGATGAAGGGGTGGGTCACAGAGCCGGTTTCGCAGCACCTTAGTGTGGCCTGCAGAGCTGGTCCTGTATCTCTCGTGCTGTTCCTGGCTGTTGGGACTTCTCTCAAACTCAACAGGAAAAGTTACATTTAATACCAGATATAAGCATGGAGTTCACGTCAAGAGAGCGTCAGCCCTGTGCTCTGGGTCACTCACCCTATCACAGGGCAGGCGCCCCGGATGGAGCCCCAGAGACAAGTCTGGGGTGCAGTGGAAGAAGGGGGGTCAGGGCTGGGGCTGGGGCACCCGACGGAGGCAGCAGAGACCAGAAGTTACACACAAAATTGGGCACATCTGGCTTGAATTGACACAGCGTCATTCTGACGCACTAAAAATGCCATTCTGCAAATAGACATTGAGTGCGTGTCAAGGTTCTGTTGAACTCCCTAATGAGGGGACTAACGAACGACAGAGCTGATTTAAGAGAAACACGGGGCTCTTTAGAGAGGGTGGGAACAAAAGGCACACAGAGACAGGACTGCTCAGTTAAACAGAAGGGATATGAAACTGAGAAAGACCCAGGTGAGTGAGGCCACTGCCTGCAGGGTTATCTCCTCTGCCAGAGGGAAGAGGAAACCATGGCATCTGTAACTGTGTTACAGGCCTGGAAGACATCGGAGCCCTAATCAATCGTGCAGCTTAGTTCTGCCCCTCCGAGAGTCAGATCCCCTGACCGCCATGCTAGACAGTGCCTGGTGGGACCTCAAAGGCCACTCAATTCTCCTCAGGCCACGTTTCCACTACTCTTAAGCATCTCATCTCTGCCACTCATAGCTCTGTGTGAAGCAAATTGCTTCTAACCTCTCTGAGCCTCAGTTTCCTCATCTGCAAAATGGCCATAAGAATAATGAGGTTGGCAAGGCCTAGTGGCTCATGCCTGTAATCCCAGCACTTTGGGAGGTCGAGGTGGGCAGATTGCTTGAGCCCAGGAGTTCGAGACCAGCTTGGGCACACAGTGAGATCCAATCTCTACAAAAAATACAAAAATTAGCCGGACATGGTGACACACACCTGTGGTCCTAGCTACTTGCAGGGAACATGGGCAGATCGCTTGAACCCGGGAGGTCAAGGCTGCAGTGAGCTGTGTTTGTGCCACTGCACTCCAGCCTGGGTAACAGAGTGAGATCCTGCCTCAAAGAAAAAAATAAAAAAGAATGAGGTCACTGTAGAGGGTTGTCAGAGGCACGTGAAAAGCCCTGTCCCCGTGGGACAGCCTGCTGCCCTCCCCACCTTGCTGTGACCCTGGACAAGTTGCTGGGTCTCTATGCATCTCAGTCTCCTCATCCATCAAATGCGCACAGTGGAGAGTGGTTTTAAGGATTCTATCAGTGTCCATAAAGGGCCAAAGCAGTGCTGCCCCTGGCCACAAGGGCAGGGCTGGTGATAGTTGGACTGGTTTCAAGGCCCTGAGTTGGGGCCTCGGTTTTCTTGTCTGTGAAGTGAAGGCTGGAGAGAAGGATTTTCAAGGTCTAGACCAGATGTCTATCCCGTGATTTCTCCCCACCCCGCTTATCCCGGCACAGGGGCCAGGGAGCCTGGGGTGTGCTTGCGGCTCCTGTTCACGGGACGGGGCCTGCCTTCAAAACACCACCCAACCCCAGCCCTTGGCAGCTCTCCCTGGCGCTTCTGAGTACTGCGAGGCCCTGTGCCCCTCTGCTCAGAGCACTCCTCAAACACTTCCCCAGGGCCTTGCCAATGAGGCAGAGTTCATTAAGAGCCACCGCGAGCAGGTCCATGCTCTTCTTTACCCAGGAATTTGGGATTCTCAAGGAAGAATGGGCTGCTGTGGTCCTGGCCCCCGCTCTGGCCTCCACCCACCCAGCCTCCCCCATTGCCTGCCTCCTAACGGCCAAATAGAACATGTAGGAGGGGGGTGAACAGGAACACTATGGGAGGGTCAGCGGAAGGACGTGATGACTGGCGAGATGGGCAGGGCAGCCTCCAGAAAGGTGCAGAGCCACCTGCCCAGGCACAGGGCCGTTTGGCCCCATGGCCACCTTCCTGGCACCAGGTCCCTCCCCAGTATGCTGGGCATGTGGGGCCCACATCCCTGCCCTCTGGGGTGCAGGAGGTTGGGAGTTTTTTGGGAAGGTGGGGAGAGGAGACAGGAGCAGCTTTCAGATGCTCTGGGGTGGGAGGAAACGTCTCTGTGTGCTTAGAGCTACTCAAGGAAAAGGCAGAACTGCGGTGGCAGAGAGGGCAGTCAGTGCTCTGGGCTCCGTGGCACAATCTTCCAGGCTGGAGCCCGCAGGCCTGGCCACCCCTCCAGGAAAGGGCCCCTCCCTGCGGGTGCAGGAGTGCTCTCTGCAGGCATTCCCTCCTCTTCCACCAGGGGGTAGCAGGTGCCAACGCGTCCGCCTCCCTGGACCATTTCACTCCTTCAAGTCACTGGCTCCACCGCGTTTTCTGTTCCCACCCCGTCACAACTTTGGGGCTTAAAGGCACCAGGATCTGGCATCCCCGGGATGCCACCTGTCTTCCAGGATGTGTCCTGGCTCCCGATGCCCCAAGCTAAGCCCCGGACAGGCTGGGAACCTCTCCCTAGCAGCCCCTGCCCTGGTCCCTAGGGCCCCGCAGGCCTTGGGGTGGCAGTGGCCTTGTCCCATGTCATCCCAGAGGCCTCGGGAGGCAGATGGTTTTGTCTAGGAAGACCTGTCCTCCTGTATGGATGAGGGGCCAGCTCCTGAGGGCAGGGGAGGGGAGGGCTGCCAGGGCCACGTGCAGGGCTTCTGACTGCAGGTGCCTCATCCACACTCCGGGCCTGCACCTGATGGGGCGGGGAGGCAGAGGGAGCCCGCGGCCACTGCCTTGGAATCCCCACCCACGCAGATAGACCGGGGCTCCCCACCTCCCCTCCGTGGGCTGGCGGGGCCTCTGTGGGGAATGAGGAGAGATGGGCGCTGGGCTGACTTAGTCAGTGAACTAAACGGATTCCCTGACACAGATTCAGGTTTTCATTCTTGTTTGAAATAATGCTCAGAAGTTTTTCTTAATAACGTGAGGGCCGGGCGCGGTGGCTCACGCCTGTAATCCCAGCACTTTGGGAGGCCGAGGCAGGCGGATCACGAGGTCAGGAGATCGAGACCATCCTGGCTAACACGGTGAAACCCCGTCTCTACTAAAAAATACCAAAAAAATTAGCTGGGCGTGGTGGCGGGCGCCTGTAGTCACAGCTACTCCAGAGGCTGAGGCAGGAGAATGGCGTGGGCCCAGGAGGCGGAGCTTGCAGTAAGCGAGATTGCGCCACTGCACTCCAGCTTGGGCGACAGAGCGAGACTCCGTCTCAAAATAAATAGATAAATAAATAAATAAATAAATAAATAAATAAAAATAACGTGAGTAGTTTTTTAAAAAACATTTTTTTCATGCCCTTGCTTTGCAAAATAAAAAAAATGACAGTTTTGGCCTGGCATGGTGGCTCACGCCTGTAATCCCAGCACTTTGGGAGGCCAAGGTGGGCGAATCACAAGGTCAGGAGTTCGAGACCAGCCTGGCCAATATGGTGAAACCCCGTCTCTACTAAAAACACAAAAGTTAGCCTGGCGTAGTGGCGGGCGCCTGTAGTCCCAGCTACTCGGGAGGTTGAGGCAGAAGAATGGCTTGAACCTGGGAGGCTGAGGTTGCAATGAGCTGAGATGGCGCCACTGCACTCCAGCCTGGGTGACAGAGTGAGACTCTGTCTCAAAAACAAGACAAAACAAAAGACAGTTTTATGATCTCTTCCAATTTGGGAGGAAATGCAAAAAGCCCAGGACCACGGTGACAAACCCCTGGCTGGCTGAGGCTGGGCTGGGAGGTAGAAGGGGGGCTCCAGTCCCTTGCTGGCTGAGCGACAGGCAGAGGACAGGGACAGCGTGAGGAGGGAAGTGTACTGGCTGGGCCCCTGCCAGCCTTTGGAGCAAGGTGCAGCCACGCTGGTGGGGTCCACAGGCCTGGACCCCAACTCGGGTGGCTGAGAGCTGGCCCTCCCAGAGAGGGAAGGGCTTGGGCTTGGGCCTGGGCCTGAGCATTGACCGGAATCCTGGGACTGGAGTGGGGCCTGGCGGAGACGGTGCAGGAGCTCACCTGAGCAGCGGGGAGGCTGTGGCAGGGAGTGCTGGCCGCAGCTCAGCCCAGCAGGAGGGCGGGTGCGGAAACCTGTGCCCGCCTCTGAGCCTAAGAAAGAACACAAGAGGACAGTCAGGGGACGTCCCAGCAGCTTGGGGTCTGGCTGAAAGCTGGGTATCCCGTGAGGAGGGTCCTGGCCAGGCAGGAGGTTCAGGGGGCCAAGGCAGCCATTGTCCCCTACCCCCAAAACAGGTGTCCTGGAGCGAGGCAAGATGCCCAGAGCAGGGGGCAGGTCAGGGCACATGCACGCACACACGCACTCACACACTCATACACACGTACACACACACACTCACACACACACACGCATACACACAAATAGATACACACTCATACACATACACACTCATACACATACACACTCATACATACACACAGTCATACACTTATACACATACACACTCATACACACGCACTCATACACACATACACACTCATATACACACACTCATACACACTCATACACACATACACTCATACACACATACACATACACTCATACACACTCATACACACATACACTCACAGGCACACATACACTCAGACATACACACACTCATAGACACACATTCACTCATACACATACACACTCATACACATACACATACACACTCACACATACACACACTCATAGGCACACATACACTCCTACACACTCACACACACTCAGACACACACATACACATTCACTCATACACACATACACTCATATACACACACACATACACATTCACTCATACTAACACACTCATATACACATACACACATATACACATACACATACACGCACACTTATAAAGTCAGACACACATACACTTATATACGCACTCATATACACATATACACAGTCATACACACATACACGCACTCATATACACACACACTCATACACATACACATACACACACACAACACTCACACATACACTCACACATACACTCACTACACATACACACTCATTACACACATACACATACACACACACGTGTAAACACATATACTCACATGTGCACACATAAACACACACCCCAGTACACACTCACACTCACATACACATACATGCACACACACGTTCACACACTGCACTCGGGAGGGCCAAGAACAGCATCACGCCAGGCTCTGGGAGGGCAGCGGCTCCCAAATTCTTAGCGCCCAACATGGCCTACAGGACCTGTGTAACTGGACCGGCCTGCCGGCCCTGTTCTCAAATGGGAAGCCCTACAGGACACCCCCTGCTGCACTGCGGCTGTGCTTGTGAATGGCGGTGGGAACGCCCATGGTGGGGGTTGCTCTTGACTCTTTTCCTTGTTCCCCGGTCTCCCCAGAGGACAGGCCTCCTCTGGCCACCTGGCCCAGGGGCAGCTTCAGAAATGTAAATTGGAGTCTGCCACTCTCCTGCCCAAACCCTGATTTCCGTTGGTCCTCGAATAAATTCCAAATGCACCTCGGCCTACAGGGCCCCGTGGGACCTGGCTCTGCCCACATGGCTGAGCCCCTTGGCCCCAGTAGGCCTCCGCCTGGAACTCCCCTCGCCCTGCCCTTCCTCGGCAGGGCACTCATGCGTGGGGCCCTCGCTGCCCCCAGCACCCGCACCTCATGGCCGCTCTCCTCAGCAGGCCTCGGTTTACGGGTCGCCTCCTCAGAAGACTTGCTCCCTCTTATCACCACAGTGCTCGGCACGTGCCGGCTGCCCAGTCAGATTGCACGGGACAAGTCACTCTCTTGCCGGAGGACTGAAGGCTGACTGTTCACTAGACCTAGACTGTGCCACGTCTACGGAACAAGGAAGGCTTGAGTAGGTCACCACCTAGCTCCATTCTAGGAACCCTAGGTCAACTGGCCGACTCCCAAGGTCTCTGCGAGTCCTGATGATGGTGCCTTACACTAACCATGCCCACCTTGTCTGTAGTGAGTGGCATCACTTGCCCCTAGTTCCCATCCCCAGGACCTCATTGTCCCCTTGCACTTAGGGATCCCAGCTCAGTGGCTGAGGCCACCCTACCTGCTTTTTAAGAACCCTGGATGTGCACTCACACACATTCACACACACGCACACATACACACACTCTCACATACGCTTACACTCACACATGCACACACGTACACACCCACACACGCACAGTCACCATGCACACTCACACTCTCTGTCACACTTACATGCACCGGAAGCAGTGGCTGTTGTTTTCATTTGTAGCCACAGTTGATGTGGCTTCTGAGCACCTCCTGGGGCCAGAGCAAGGGGATGTCCACTGTGAGGAGGGATCTGGAGTGGCAGGACACCTTCTCTGTCTTGGGCAGGTGCTGGTGCCCACACCTGTGCCCTCAGCTAGTCTTCATGCTAATCCTGCAGGGGGCGTCACCATCGCCCCCATCTTCCAGGGGAAGAGCTTGAGGCTGAGAGAGGGAATGGTTTGTCCATCCATCTGTTTGTCCATCTATCCGTCCAACACACAGCATGAGGCACCCTAGAGGCTACACGCAGCAGGACTCAGCCCAGCTGGGAGGGAAGAAGGAGCCAGGGAAGCCTTCCCCTCTGCCTCCCACCTTGCAGGTCCCCTTCCAATCTCACCCCAAACACTCACCCCAAACTTCCATGCTAAACTTGCCGTAGAATCTGCTGTGGTTGGGTTGTCGGGGACAGACCTGACCTGGGGAGATTTGCAGACCTGCTGCCAGCCTGTACTGGAAAGAGCTGGGGCTCCGTGGCCCCCACACCCTCTCAGGGGAAGAGAGCAGGGGCAAGGGCCCGTGTGCAGTTTATCTCAGCCTCACCCCATGGGGACTTCACCATGAGGATCTCACACACGCAAGCCTGCACCACCCCCAGCCCCCACCAGCTTCCCCAGGACTGGGAAAATGGGCCAAACATGATGGCACACTCTCCCCCCTCCCCCGGCCCCTCTGGCCTTCATCGTAGACCTTCTGAGCTCTCATGGCACCAATGAGGAAACTGAGGACTGGAGAAAGAATGTGAGCTGTCTGAGGTCGTTTAGGTCTAACTCCCAGAGCAGTGCTGCTGCTGCTCCACACACTGTCTGAGCCACAGTATCCCGCTTGGGAAATGTGAGGCCCACTCAGAGAGGCTGTGGGCTCTGTCTGAGCGCCTGGAGGAGAGCGGTGGGGAGGGCAGTGGGCAGCTGAGCTGTTTCCAAGCACTGATCTCACAAAGGAAGTGGTGAATCTGGGGAGGGTGGGCTGGACGCCGCTGCGTGCCTGCTTAGGTGCGTGTACCCATGTGTGTGGCACATGCATGTGTGTGCACACTCCTGTGTGTGTGAGCGTGCTCACCGCCTTCAGGTCGTCTGTGACTGCCGTCCCTGTGTGCT
Source organism: Homo sapiens (assembly GCF_000001405.40). NCBI lineage: Eukaryota > Metazoa > Chordata > Mammalia > Primates > Hominidae > Homo > Homo sapiens. The sequence goes on from NC_000002.12 coordinate 95,328,661, forward strand.
GGGGAGGGGCTCGGGTGCTATTCTTAGGGCAGCATTCTCAGTCTACAGTCAGATCTGCTAACTGACCGCCAGGGAGCCTGGCCTGAGCAGGCATTGCTCCCCAGTACCAGACTCTTGGGGTGGGGAAGAGTGTGCCCCAGCACACACCTTGGAGGAAGAAACACAGGTCAGATGTCTTTCAGTTCTAGCTGCCTCCGAGCTCTGGCCTTTGCTGGGCCTTAGCTATGCCCTCAGGAATGCAGGCTGCTGGCTGGGGCCAGGGACTCCTCTCAGTGACCCATGGAAGGAAGAGGGGAGCTGCAGAGGAGGGGAGGGCAGAGAATGGATGGGTCTCAGTGTAGCCCAGCGGTTCCTAGGAAAGGTGGGATGGCTTGGACTGCAGAGACCTTGGGCAAGTCACCATGCCTCTCTTGGCCTCCACTTCCTCATCTTTAACATGGGCTGTGATGAGAGAAGAAATTGTCTCTTTGGGTTACTTCGAGGATTAAATAGAACACGGCGATTAGCCCAGGAGTACTCCGTGCACAGTAAGTGCCTAGTTAGTGCTGTGGCTCCCAGCGCGGGCCAAGCCTCAGAGTGGCCCTACAACCTTCTTATCCCATAGCACTCCTATGGAGAACATCCCACTTTCTAGAGTAAGCTGATCCTGTACTTCGACTAAGCCAAAGGTCTGGGGTAAGAGCAGAGGCCCATGCATCTCCCTTGATACCTGCCCTCCACCTCTGGACCACCAGGCCCCAGGCCAACAGGACTGGCATTCGCTGGGCACTGGCCACCCTGGACACTGCACTGGGCTTGCTCACATGCCCTGACATGGGCATCACTAGCCCATCCTACAGGGGGGTTAAGCAGCCTGTCTGGTGTGATCAAGCTGGTAGGGCCCCCCTGTATCTGACTCCAGACCCCGTGCCCTGAGGGCACCTGCACCGCTGGGGCTCCATCACCGCTGGTCTCACACAGTGCTGGCCTGGCTGCCGGGAGTGGGGGGACCCGGGAGCAGGCTGAAGCTGTGCCCTCTGGCTGGCCTGACGGGGGTCTGCTGGGCATGGACCCCTGCGTCAGGTTTGTGGCTGGCGTGCACGTTCCCAATTAAGCCGAGTAAATATTTACAGCCATTACGGCCATTGATCGCCTTCGATCCTGGGTGCTGCTGTGAGATGCCCCTGCTTACTCATGCTTTCTTAAAAACAGCTCTTCCCTGCGCGTCTTTAATAATTCAACTCCTAATTGTCTCCAAACGCAAACCTGAAAATGCCAACTCAGGGCCTTCGCCCCCGCTCTGGTCCCCCTCTCGTCCCCTCTGCCGGAGGCCCCTCTCCCCATTTCTGCTGCAGATCCTGGCCTCCCTGCCCTGCCTCTGACCACTTCTAGGAGGGACTCAGGACGTCCCTCACCTCCGGCCGCAGCCACCGCCAGCTGCCGCAGCAGAAGTGAGCTGGGAGTAATTGAGTTGCAGGGCTGGGGTGAGAAGAGGCAGGAGCAGGAAGGTCTGGCCGCGGCTCCCCAGGGTGCCCTGAAGTGATACTGGGCAGGGAGGGGCAGGGACCTGGGGCATCTCGAGGTGACAGGGGAGGCTGATTCTGAATGGGTCCCTGGACAGGCCTCAGCCCAGACCTCCCCTGCCAAGGGCTGGGGGTGGAGGTGAAGCCAAATCAATATTTATAGCATCTCCTGGGCACCAGGTCTCCTGGCTGGGGCTGCTCCCCAGTGGCCTCTGAGGGCCATCCCATATGGGGTGGAGTCTAGGGGACTGCGTTGTGTCCCAGCCCTGCTCTCAGGGCAGGGTGACCAGGCGCTCCCAAGAGCTCCACTACCAACTTCACTTGCCTCTCCCTCGAGGCCCAGTCCGGGTCACACATTGGTGCTAAGGGAGACTCACCCGTCCGTACCCCCCAGGGCAGCTGCCCAGTGTAAAACTCTCACAGCCAGACAAACACCACAAGGGGCGTGAGAGGACAGGCACACAGTCACTAGAACTGCAGCTGGCCTGGAGCCAGTGGCCACCGATGCAGAGGGCCCTTTCAGCCAGGGTGCCGGGGCTGTGGCTCCCAATCCCAGTTCACTGGGCTGGCACTGATCCCTCCTCTGCTCTCTGGTCTGAGAACATCCCATTGTGAAGCCGTGGGTCTCCTTGCCTCCTCTGGCAGGCAATGTCCCAGGCTCTGGGGACACAGCAGGGAACCAGACAGAATAAAAACCCCTAGAGCTTATAGGCTATAAAATGAGATTGATGAGTAAACGATATATTGCAAGGGAATAGGGCTGCAGAAATTACCTAGGACTGGGAAGAAGGGAGGGGTGCCTAGGGCAGGGCCTGCAGGGCACATGGCGTTCAAATACAGATCCGAGGGGTGAGGGAGAGTGAAAGGGAAGCTGTCCAGGCAGGCAGAGGGGCAGCAAGGGCCAGAGCTCAGGGTGAGGTGAGCTGGCAGGAGAGGCCCCTCCTGCTGATGAGGGGTGGAGGCTGAGCCCGAGGGGTAGGCGAGGGAGTGGCAGGGATTTGTGGCTGTCCAGGGTGGCAGCGGAGGCGGGAGGGAGCAGCGGTACATTTGGAGGCACTCTGAAGATGGGACCGAAAGGATTTGCAGATGTCCTGGGTGTCTGTTGCGTGAGAACGAGAGGAGTCAGGCCAAGGCTTTTGTCCTGAGCTGCTGGAAGAACCAAGCTGTTATTCACTGTGGTGGGAAAAACAGAAGCTGGCCTGGCGTGAGGGGAGGAGGGGGCTTGGTGGTAGCATTTCAAGTCTGAGACATCTAAAGAGATCCTAGCAGAGGCTTCAAGGAGGCAGGTGGGATCTGCAAGGGTTGGAAGTGGAGGGATACATTTGGGGGTCATCAGCACATAGACGGATTTGAAGCCAAAAGACCGAGCAGAAGAGGCCCAGGACTGAGCCAGTCGTGCACGCTGATGTCTAAAGGCCTCCTTGCTCCCGCTGCCTGCGCCCATCCTCAGAGCTTGGCTTGGACATTTGCAGAAGGCTGCTATTGTTTCTTCTGTTCAGAAAGACACCTATCCACATTCCAAAGAGCGCCCCACATCCTGTTCTGCCATCGGTAGCCACGAGGGCTCCCAGCTTCTTACCCGATCCAGCTGGCCAGTCACGACAGGAATACCCACTGGCCAGGGCAGGTGCCCGACCCAGGCTGGGCCAAGGAGATCCCTTCTCAGATATTTTGACAGTGGGAGGCCCTGTGACTGGGATGCAGAGGCTGTGACATGCAGGCCTGGGCAACTTCTTGTAGCCAACCATGAAGCCACATGGAAGAAGCCACTTGAGTAGGGACGCTGACATGCAGCGTCTGCATGTGAGAGGTGAAGGACACGGTGTGAGCGGACTTTTCTGGTCATCCCCGCCCCGTTCTCTTCCAGTGGTTTGGTTTAAGGGCTAACAGGTCCCTTTGACTGAGCAAGTTCACTCAAGTTAGCCTTAATACAGCATCTCAGCATTCAGACAGAGAGAGGAGGCACAGGCCAAGGAATCCAGGGGCCCAGGAGCACAGGCAAAAGGCCGGTCCTCCTGAGCCCTCAACCAGACTGCACAGAGCCAGGCGAGAACATGCATGTGACACACAAATGGCCCTGGCGCTCTGGGGCAGATGCGTACCAACAGGAGAACGTATTGATGATCTGATTTTATTCTGAGTCAACTGTTTTAAGGTTTATATAAGTCTGGCCCGCCTTGGTGGCTCATGCCTATAATACCAGCACTTTGGGAGGCTGAGGCGGGTGGATGACCTGAGGTCAGGAGTTCAAGACCAGCCTGGCCAACATGGCGGAACGCCATCTCTTATTTTGAAAATATCAAAAAGAACTTAAAAGTCATGGAGGAGAGTTCAGCATGCTCATCTTTCATCTAAAAGGAGTCCCAGAAAACAGGTGAGGGGACGGAGAGGAGGAGGTGTTCCTTAATATTAAAGAGAACAAATGTAAGCATTATTTCATTTCGTCTTCAAGTGTGGGCCATGGGATATTAATATGTGTCATGTGGAAAGGTATTTTGTGGGCAAACACATTTGGGGAGTACTAGTCATATGAGGCTACACAAATTCTTTCACTACAGAACTTCTCAGAACCTTTACTATACACCCTTTATATTTTCAAGACAACATGGGGGTGGTGAAGAGCCCTGGCTTTGGAATCTCAGACCTGGGTTCTCAAGCCTTCCCTGCCTCTTTTTGTCTCTGTGTTTGGGAAGACCTTTTGTCCCTCTGGGCCTCAATTTTCTCATCTGTTAAATGGGAATCACAATTACATCCTTGGGGGTCTTCCAGACTTAGGGACAAAGGGACAAGACAAATGTGAAGATGCTTAATAAAATGTAAAGTTATGTGAATGTGAAATGCCCTGTCTCGCGTGAGTTCTGTGACAGCCTCTGCTGGGCCTCACTTGTCTCACCTGTGAAATGGGAGTTGGGGTAAAATCACTGTAGCTCCCCTACTCTGCATGCAGTCACGCTGCAGCTAGAGTGGTTGTTATAGAGAAAACAAAAACCAAACGAATGCTCCCTTGCTCTGAGGATAAATCCCCGGCCACAGACTTGGCCATGCCCTTATAACTGTTTGACTATCTGCCTGCACCTCTAGAGTGTAAGCTCCTTGAGGCCAGGGCCGCAGCTGCAGCATGTAGTGCCACATCTGGCAGGCACAGAGTCGACTTGGGAAGTATTTGTCAAATGAGTAAATGCATGAACCTAGGCCTCTTCTAACTCTGAAATCTTACATCCCTCCGGATTGAGAAAAGAATCAAAAGCCATTCTACCACTACTGCTGCGGGAAACAGACTGCCCTGGACCCTGACTCCTCTCCTGTGGTGGCCTCACCAGGGCCCGCCCTCGGTCAACCTAGCCTCGAAGAAGGGAATGCTTGGGTGTTTCCAGAGACTCCTCAGAGCACGTGCTCAGGATAGAGTCCTGATGCTTCTAGAGACCGTATGGGCAAGTCCTGTAGCCTCTGTTGGTTGCAATTGTGACAGCTCGTAGGAGCATGGTGAGGATTCAATGATACTATGTCAGTGAGTGCCTAGGACAGTGCCTGGCACATGGTAAGCAGCAATGAATGACACTGCTGCTATCCATTATTATTACCCAATTCCCTCACTGAACGCAGAGGGCATGATGGGTGGCTGAGTCCTCCCAGCTTCCTTGAGGCAAAGGTGGGACTTGGATAGGGGGCGTCTCACTCCTGCCCAGCACCCTGGCTGCTCCCCTGCTGCTTTCTGACTCAGACCCCAAGGTTGTGATTCCCAAGTCATTCGTCTGCATTCAGCTGACACAGGCCATCTGCAAGACACACACCTCTCTGAGCTGTCAGAAGACACTGCAGAAGCTGAGATCCTGGCATCAAGCGTCCCAGATGGAAATTCCCCAAGACACCCTTGGGCCCTCGGCTCAAGTTCAAACAAAGAAATGCTTATGTTCAGAGATCTTCACAGATCACCAGCGAGGATGTGACTTGAGAACACTTTGCGTCAGCATCATAAAACATGAGGATTGATGACCCGTGTGAGTGGGGCGAGTGCCAGGGGAACACAGGCTCTGAGTTGGCCGGCCGTGCTTCCTGCATACACTCTGTGCAGAGGGTGCCAGCCTAGACTGGCGGGGGGGTTAGAATAGCACCGCACTAGTTAGCATGTCCCATAGGACCCTGTTTACAGCACACTTGCATGGGCATGTGTGCACCTGGTTCTCATGACAATATGCAGGGTGGGCAGGGGTTAAGGAATGCTTCCCCACTTTGGGGATGAAGGAAACTGAGGCTCAAGGAGGTGCGAAGCCAGGCAGCTGAGGTCACACAGCCTTGGATCTCCCTACCGTCACTATCCTCCCCTCTTGCCAGCAGAGAGAGGTGGGAAAGCCACGTTCAGCCAAAACCCAGAAATTTACCCAGAGAAACTCACAAACCAACATGGTGGGCCTTGTACAAACTCTAAGAGTATGAAGAGAAGAGCTACAGCTGGCCTTACCCAGTCCTGCCATGCTGGGACTGGTCAGCTCCCCTGCACTGAATCTGGGTAGGGGCATGAAAAGACACAAGATGGGATGAGAAATCCTCCACATGGGAGAGGAAATGGGAACCTTTCATCACTGGGGACCAGGAAGCAGGGTGAGGGGCTCACAGGACAAGCTGGCCTCAAACGTTCCCCTTCCATTGCCTGTTCAATGTTACTAGATACTTGCAGACCTCTGGCAGAACAGATGGGGACTTGGATATACCTTGTAAGGGGATGGGGGCATGAAGACAGATTCGTTCCCCTGACCAAGGGGGAATCAAACAGGTCACTGAGCGCTCAAAGGAGAATATTCCCAGAGCTATGCAGTGAGGGGCCTGCTACCACAGTAACACTTGGGCATGTGTCAAGTCCCCACTTGGCCAAGTAGCTTGGTCTTCTCCTACCTTCCAAGTCTTTCCTGACCATGAGAACCATGGGAACCAGAACTACTTAATTAAGAACATGAAATTCCTTTCCTTTCAGATCACTGGTCCTGACTCTGGCCTGAGATGCTAAGAGATCCCACAGCTCCTGTGATGGGAAAAGATCTATTCCCAGAATGTGGTTCCCACATGGGAAATTTTACCTGTTCAGTACTTCTTGTGGAATGTATCTACTAATGATATATTCTCACAATTTTTACTTAACTTGGAATGCCTTAATTTACCCTTCATTTTTTAAAAGACATTTTTGCTGGGTATAGATTTCCAGGATGGCCAGTTACTGTTCTTTGAGCAATAGCATTTGAAAAATGTTCTTCCATTGTATTCTGGCTTCTGTGGTTTTTGTTGTGAAATCTACCATCATTTTTGTATTGTTATTTCTCTGAGTACAATGTGTCTGTTTTTCTTCTGGATGCTTTTAAGGTTTTCTCTTTACCTCTAATTTTCAGCAGTTTGACCATGCACATGTCAGAATCTCCACACCATAGCAGATGTACCTACCTGTGGTTTTCTTTGTATTTATCCTGCCTGGGGTTCATTGAGCTTATTAAACCCATGATATGATATCTTTCATCAGTTTTGGAAAATTTCTTCAAATTCTATTGTTATTTCTTTAAATTATTTTTAAAATTATTATCATAATTTATTCAAGTTCTAAGTATTTCTTCTAATTCTAATTCCATGCTTTTCTCTCTCTCCTTTTCTTCTGGGAGTCTAGTTATACATTTGTTAGACTTTTTTACTTCGACCCACATATCCTCCTTAAATTCTTTTCTGTTTTTTTCTTCCATTCATTTTTAGTCCATTCACATTTAAGGTAATGATTGGTATGATAGGATTTACACTGCCATTTTGCTACTTGTTTTCTATTTGTCACATGCCTTTTTGTTCCTCTGTTCCTCCGTTATTATCATCTGTTGTATTTGCACTTCCTTGTCTCTTGCCATGTCTTATAATTTTTAGTTGAACACTGTAGCTCTGTGACAGACAGTGTGAACTTCTTTTGCAGGTCACCCATGTTGTCAGGTTTGGGGGCAGTGAGAGACAGATGTGGATTCTAGTTTGTCCTTTTGAGTTCCAGTTTGTTCTCACTTTATCTTACTTCATGTCCAGTCTCTCTTCCCATTTTCTGGTCCTGCCAACCTACAGCAACTTCAGGCATATGCAGAGGCAACAGCCCTCAATAAGACTTCTTCCCCAGCTTCCACAACTATACAAAGTCTCATTCTTATAACAAAGCCCAGACTCCGTATCAGTCATAGTGGTTCCACGTCTCTGATCAAGCCTTCAATGATACAAGATCCAAATTCTCTGTTAAATTTTAAACTACATCTTTTCATTTACTTTGTCCATTTCTTTTTTCTATTTTTAAAAACATATTTATCATAGTTATTTTGAACTATGTCCTTATCTGCTTACTTAAACATCTGAGTCATCTCTGAATTTTATTTCTATTGACTTCATAATCAGCCACTTTCTCCCTCTTCTCATGTCTAACAATTTTTTATTGCATGCTGGAAATTGTGAGTGATATGTTATACAGGCCCTGGATTTACTTACCTCCCTATAAAGAGCATTGAGTTTTGTTTTGGCGAGCATTTAAATTCCTGGCAAATCACACCGTTCCTGTCAAAGTTTGCTTTTAGCCTTTGTTAGGGAGGGTCTGTTTCAGCTTTTTGCCTTATTCATAGAGTATAGCTCTTCTCTTAAGGTGTGATCTTAATCCTAACAAATGGCTTTTCTGAGGTCTCAACAGAAAGCCCAGGGTGTTCACCAGTGCGTGGGTGGGCCTGAACCTCCATATTTCCTCAATGCTCTCTGACCCCTGGGATCTTTGCTCTGCTCTCAACATCGCTGCAGTTGTTCCTGCAAGCACTCCAGAGTCTCTCCCTGCTAATGCAGAGCCTAGCAATTAGCCAAGGCCCCAAAGGATCTGTTCGTGCAGATTTTGGGGGCTACTTTTTCTCTGTGGCTCCCTCCTTTCCAGACCCCCATCATCTCAAATGTTAGCTGCCTTAGCAGCCTTGAACTCTGAGCTCTATTTCCTTTATCCAGTGTGACCGCCAGTGCTAGGAGACCTTGTATGCCCAGCATTTTGGAGAATATACTCAAGGATAAAGATGAAGTAAACTGCGGGGTCCATTCAGTGCGATTCTCTTTTCTCGAGGATCATTGCCTCGAGAAATGATTTGTTGCTGTCCAGTGCCCTCCTAGAGTTGCTGTACATACTCTGTCCAGGTCCTAGAGTTGTTTTCAGTGGGCAGATTAGTCTGATGCCACCTACTCTAACATGGTTGGAACCTTCTTTTCCTGGATTCAAGGGGGCGGGGGAGGGAATGATGTTTGTATGGTTAAAAATACAAATTTATTCAAACTTGTCTATGTTCCTGCTAGGTCTCTTGAGTGTGTCATTGGGATATAAGATGAATCCTTTCTCTGCCATAACAGTTGAGGCTATAGCCCTTATTGAGTACCTCAAATGGACCAAGGCTTTATTCTAAAGTGCTTTATACATCTAATTGTTGTCACCTTCCCACTCACTCTGAGACATATGCACTACTATCATTCCCATTTTACAGTTGCAGACATTGAGTGATGTTGAGGCTAAGTTACTTGCCCAAGGTCTGTTGGCTTTATTACTTCCCCCTGATGATGTCCTCACCTCTCCAGTCCTTCTGCCGCTACCTCAGTCCAGGCCACCCTCATCTTTCACCCAAGCTCTCTGCTGTCCTCATGATGGGCTTTTCTGCTTCTAGACTTCTCTGATAAGCAGGGTCAGAATAGAAAGGCGGGCAGCTAGGCTGGGGGTGCTGATGAGGACTGGGGCCAAGAAAGTCCAGGCCCAACCACGGGGCTACAGTGTGGGAAACTGGAGGTGGTGGGGGAAGCAGGAGAACAAACAGTGAATGTTTCTCAGTCAGGTATTAGGCCTGTGGGAGGAGACACGGGCCCAAGACTGATGGCCCACGAGGAGCAGGCAGACACCAGGCAAGGCAGAGGCCCCGAGGCATCGGCACAGCCAGGGCAGGAGGTAGGTGGGGAGGCAGGGGCTGTGGGGCAGCATGTCACTGTGGCACTGCCTTCAGGCTGAGTTCAAACCGCAGCTCTGCCTCTCACCAGCTGTGGACACTTGGGCACATCTCTTAGGCTCAGTTTCTCCACCTTAGACTCCATTTGAGGTTGATGTTAGCTTCGTGAAATAGAACACCTAATTATGGCGACTTAAATGAGACGAGTTTAGCTTTCTCAAGCAATGAGAAATCCAGACGTTTAGCTTGGTAGCTCCAGCCATCAGAGCCCAGGAACCTGTGTCCTTCTTTCATGGTTCCAGGGACAGTCATCATAAGCCCATCCCAGAAATGAGGAGGGAGAAATGGCAACAAGAGTATGCTAGCTGAGTCCTTCCCACTGCCATAAAGATGGTTTCCTAAAAGCCCTACCCAGTGGTTTCTACTTATGACCCATTGGCCCAAACTATATCACATGGCCATCTAGCCATAAAGACCCCGGGAAATGTAATTCTGTGGCAAAGAACACTGTCGCCCCCAATGAAATTAGACTTGATGTTAACCAAAAGGCAGAGAAGCAATTCCAACAAGATAAGGAGTCTACTCGAGCGGAAGAAGGAGAGAGGTGACGTGAAATCAGCAACCAGAAGTCTCTGTCTGCCACAGGGGTAAATGATGTCACTTCCTTTATCTGTGAGGTTGATGTGAGGAGGAAATCAAGACATATTGGTGTAAAGCACCTAACAGGTACTCGTTCAGCAAATGGCAACAGGTATTCTTGAGTTTGAGGAACTTTTCTAATGATCCCTCGAAGGCCCATCCCCAGAGAAAAGGCTTCATAAGTGCTTGCAGCATTGACTTGTCTAAGCCCCACCCAAAGAGAGACCCATCTGTACAGGCCGATGGGACACAGCCTGGAGCCTTTGTAAAGCCCTGCCTTGGAGGAAGCTGATGCTCTTTACTTGCTATCTTGACTCAGCGGGTGGAGGATGAGGCTCTGGGCCCTGTGCCTAAATATCATAAGGAGCTGGGAGTTAGTGCAGACACTGCTGATTATCTGCCCCAATCTATCCCTCTCTTCTTCCTCTTCTACAAGCTCTGCTTTTGGCCCCAATTTCAGGTGTCCCCCCTCCTCCTTCAGCCACAAGGGGAGCCAGGCCTGACTGATCTGATCATCATGCTTGTGGTAATTAGGTCAGGCCAGGCACGGTGGCTCACACCTGTAATCTCAGCACTCTGGGAGGCTGAGGCGGGCAGATCACTTGAGATCAGGAGATCGAGACCAGCCTGGCCAACACGGTGAAACCCCGTCTCTACCAAAAAAACACACAAAAATTAGCTGGGCATGGTGGTGCATGCCTGTAATCCCAGCTACTTGGGAGGCTGAGGCGGGAGAATCACTTGAACTCAGGAGGCGGAGGTCACAGTGAGGTGAGATTGTGCCAACGCACTCCTGCGTGGGTGGCAGAGTAAGACCCTGTCAAAAAAAAAAAAAGATTGAAAATAATAATAATAATGAAGTCAGACCAGGTGCTGTAATAGTGAGACCCCCAAAACCCAGTAGCATCAGTCTTATCTCTTCTGTTTGGTCCAAAAGCAATTGGCTTTTCCAACACTGTGAATAAGCCTTCAATACCTGGTATCTCCATCTCTCTTTCCACCTCTATTTCCAAATCGATAGCTCTTACTTGATCTCATCTCTTTCCTTAAGGCATAAAAAAAGTATATTTCTTTCTCCCTTTCTCCCTGGGTGAGAGTTCTAGATTGGTGGGAGGCTCTGTTCCATGCAGCCATTCAGGCACCCAGGCCCTTTCTACCCTGTGGCTGTGTTCTCCCCTAACCCCTAAGATCTGCATGAGTGAGGCTGGTCACCAACATGTGTGAGTTCCAGCCAGTGGGAAAAGAGAAGAGAGAACAAGTAGGAGAGTCACTTACCGTCTTAAAAACTCCGTCCCAGGCTGGGCACGGTGGCTCATGCCTGTAATCACAGCACTTTGGGATGCTGAGGCAGGTGGATCACCTGAGGTCAGGAGTTTGAGACCAGCCTGGCCAACATGGCGAAACCCTGTCTCTACTAAAAATACAAAATTAGCCAGGCATGGTGGTGCATGCCTGTAATCCCAGCTGCTCAGGAGGTGCGGCAGGAGAATCACTTGAACCTGGGAGGCAGAGGTTGCAGTGAGCTGAGATGGTGCCATTGCACTCCAGCTTGGGCAAAAAGGGTGAAACTCCATCTCAAAAACAAACAAACAAACAAACAAACAACAACAACAAAACCTCCATCCCCAAAGCAGCATTCATAGCTTCCTTTGGCAACAATGCACATCCACACTAATTACAAAGAGGCCTGGGAAATGCAGTCCCTGCTAGATGGTCACACGTGTAGCTAAGACTTTACTGTAGAAGAGAGAAGAATGGGTTTTGGTGGCAAGCTGGCAGTCTCTGCCACAGTGGTGGCCTCTTTTCTGTTGCCAGCAATTTCGGCATGGCATGTGACACAATCGTAGCCAATGAAACATGAGGGGATTTTTCATGAGAAGTTTATGGGAAAGTCTTTCTCACAGTAAGAGATGCCGGAAGAGACGGTTTCTTCTCCCCTTGGACAGTATCATGTCAGAATGTGATATCTGGAATTAGGCATCTGTTTTGTGATCATGATGGGAACAGGCTGTGGTTAAGGCAGATGCTCTAAAGCTGGTAGTGTAGTTAGATGCAAGAGCCCAGGTTCTTGCTGATACCACTGCATCTAAGCTGGCTGCCCCTGGAAGCCACCCTCTGGCTGGACTTTCCATGTGTGACATAGTACATTTCCTTATGATTTAAGCCAAGGAATGGGGTTTTCTGTTACCTGTAGCCATAAGCCTCCCAGATTTCATGTGAAGTTGGGCCAGAGCAGAGGCTGTGTGGAAGGGTTCTGTGCGGCCCCTGGGGGTCTGATTCAACGGTGGTATGGTTTGGGTCTGTGTCTCCACCCAAATCTCAAGTCGAACTGTAATCCCTAATGTTGGAGGTGGGGTCCCGTGAGAGGTGACTGGATCATGGCGTTGTTTCTCATTGATGATTTAGCAGCATCCACTTGGAGCTGTTCTCACGATACAGAGTGAGATCTTGTGAGACCTGGGTGTTAAAAGTGTGTGGCACCTCCCCCCTCACTCTCTTTCTTGCTCCTGCTCCTGCCACGTGAGATGTGCCTGCTCCCCCTTCACCTTCCACCATGATTGAGGATACCAGCACCACGCTGCCTGGTCAGCCTGTGGAACCATGAGATGAATATACCTCTTTTCTTTATAAATTACCCAGTCTCAGGGATTTCTTTATAGCAATGTGAGAATGGACTAATACAGAGGGCTTGGTCAATACTCTAAGGTCAAGATAGCTGGGCTCCCTTGGTGTCATTTCGTAGGTTGTCTTGGCTGTGAGGAAACAGGCTCTCCAGAAACAAAGTCCCTCTTGCGTGTCTTGAGATGCTTTCATATCCATAGCCCACTGTGCAACAGGCAGGTAAATATCACCAAGTGACTCCATTTTACAAGGAGGAAAGGAAGGCTCAAAGAGGCAATGTGCTGTGGCCAAGTCCATGAACAGGCTAGGGTTGGGACCAGGAACTCAGCCCTGGTTCTCCTGGACTCCCAGGCCTGTGCTCTTGCTAGTGACACCAGGGCATCCTGTGCTGAAACAATTGGGAAAAGGTGTCATGTGAACCCTATCAATTATAATAAATATTTATACAAGGCAGGCAATAGCTGTCCCTTTGGGAAGCTTGCAGTCTAGTGGGAGAGCAGAAACAAGTAAACACGTAAGCAAATATCTATGTTCCCATTGCAGTAACTGCAAGGAGGGAAAAGGACGGGGGCGGGGTGGAGACTGATGATGGAGGAGATCTAGGAAGGTGACTCTGCGGAAGTGACATTAGAGTGCAGACCCCAAGGATGATGAGGCATAAACTGGACAAAGACAGGGAGGTGGAAAAGTGTTCACAGTTCACGGAAGAGCATGTGCGAAGACCCTGAGATGAGAGAGTGCTGGGCTCATTCTGGTAGCTGCGAGTGTGACCACAGCCACACGAGAAAGAGAGAGGAGGGGCCCGGCCATGGGGGGCAAGGTTGAATTGAAATCACAGGCTTTGGAGCTGGACTGCTTGGGTTCAAATCCTGACTCTGGTTTATCAGCTGTGTGCCCTTAAGCAAAGCATTAACCACTCTGTGCTTCAACTTCTTCCTCCTTTCCAGTTCCTACCTTATCAGAACTGTGAGGAATGAAGAGATAAGTCATGTTGAAACACCTGGTACATAGTAAGTGCTTTAGCTGCTTGGATTAGGGGCCTTCTTAGGACTGTGGTCTTTGTTCCGTGAGAAGTGCAGAATGCATTAGTTAGGACCCTGTTGGCTGCAGGGGACAGCAACTCAACTCACATTGGCTTAAGCCACAGTTGGCGGATTGATTGGTTCATATGTCCGAAAGATACAGGTTTAGATGTGTCATGGGGCACGCAGCGTTGCCAGCTGGACTTGATCTCTTTGTCTTCATTTTTAGCTGTGTTTTCTCCTGAGGTGACTCCGTTCTCAGGCCCGCTGTTCCCACATGGTGGCAGCCTGGCCACTTATCTACTATAATCGCCTGCTTTTCCCCGGGGCCAGTCTCATGGAGGACTCTCACTATCCTGGCTCCCGTCTGGTGGCCATCCCTGAGCCAATCACTGTGGCAGCAGAGGGGTGGTATGGAGTGGAAAAGAGAAATTGACACTGATTGAGCCAACCTCCAAAGTCACTGCACTGAGGCTGGGAAAGGAAATTGGGGTGTGGTCACCAGCCACACAGGCAAACATGGCCATTGCTGAACCAGGAGGCCCCTGGTAGTTTCCAGTTGGGAAAGGGCACGGTCTGATTTTTGTCTTGAGATGATCATGCTGGTTGCTGAACCGAGAAGAGGTAGGAGGAGAACCACAGTGGAGGTGGGGAGAGGCACTGGGGACCCATGTTGGGAGTCCAGGAGGGAGAACAATGCTGTGGCTGGGCTGGTGGCAGTGGGGCAGAGATGGACGAGGAGGCACAGGGCGAGAGTGTGGTGACAGGCTGGACGGGGTGGGGACAGGCAGATATTCCAAGGTAAGAGCCAGGGTTTTGGCTGAACAGCTGAGATGGGGAGACTTGGGAAGTGGCAGGTTGGGAGAGGATGAAGAGGTCAGCTTTGGAGGTGCTGAGTTTGAGGAGCCTTGAGAGTGTGAAATTCCATTCCTGGGCATTCTTGTCTGGTTTCTATGAAATATGGGAAGAATAAATAAATTGAATAATGCCTGCTTTGCCCAGTAGAAAGCATTAGAACTAAACTAGAATAAGGCAGGCCTCCCCCAGCCCCACTCCGGAGAGTTGGGACTGGACCAGTGTGCTGAGCTGTTTTCACGGAATGGGTCCCTCAAACAGCATGCATCCAGCCCAGACCCGCCCTTATGAGTCAGGAGACCTCATGAAATCCCTGGGCAGCTAGGTGGTCAGGAACAGTTAGCATGGGACATCCAGGGAATGTCGGTCAAACTGACAGAGTCCCAGGCCTTGGGAACCACCAGTACAGCTGTGGTAACAAGATGGAAGATGCCGGGGCAGAGAGCCAAAATGCAGGGAGGAAGAGTGTGGCCCAGGCAGGTGTGTGCTAGTTCATAGGCAAAGGCAGTCAAGACAGGGCTGGTAGAATCTGGGTTGGCTTCTTGGAGACAGAACTGGATGGCAGCTTCAATATTCCAGCCATGGTTGTGACCTCAGGTGTGGGGTGCCTGTCCAGGTTTGGAGTGACCCCCCACCCCGACCCCAAAGCAATTTCCTCTGAAAACTTCCTAAACTAGAGCAAGATGCAGGACACCCCTGTCTCCTAGTCATCCTGAGGACTTCAGGAGAGGGCTCAGGGCCCAGCCTTCTCCAATCACCCCAAGGACCAGTGAACTGCTCCCTCCACATTGCCCCTCAACTTGTCCCCACCTCTGGGGCAGTCCTTCCCTAACTCCCCGCCCTGAAGAGGTTTTTTTGCATGTCCCTCACCTCCAGCCTGTGCTTTCCTCAAAGCAATGAGTGCTACCCATACACAGCATACTGCCACATGGAGGCACTTGGGATGTGCTGGGGACCAAGGAAATGCACGCCAGGGCAGACAGTCGCCTGGGAAGGCACTTCATGGGTGGCGGGGTGGGGGGGGGCACATGGGGCTTCAGGGCTCGCCTGCTGGCTTCCTTCTCCAAGTCCCAGGGAAGGGGAGTGTGATAAGACCCTCAGCCCAGCCTCAGTGGGCCTACGCTGGTGAGTGAGCCTGGGAGTCAGCTCCCCATCCATTAGGCCCGTAGCCCAGGTGGCTAATGCCACGTGGATACTCTGCTCTCAGGCCTCGTATCCACTTAGGCGTTGTTAATATTTTACACGGCACAGCCAGAGGATCGATGTCTTGTTTATAGCTCAGGGTTTATAGGCAGTCATCGAAGCTCTCACTGGGAACTGGGAAGATGCTCAGAAGCATCCAGGGAAACAGAGGCAGAGAAGAGGGTTGGAGGCCAGCCTCAGGACCCCCAAGATGGCCTCCTTTGCATGCTCAGTTCTCTGTCTCATCTGACACGTGCCACCCTGTGAAGCTGGGCACATGCAGCTCTGAGGGTGCATTGTAGGGGCCACTGGAGCCCCTGCCACGTGCCAGCCTGCATCTCATTCCATCCTTTCAAGCCCCCGGAGAGGCTGGATTATTGTTCCCATTTTATGGATGAGGAAACTGAGGCTTAGAGGGGTTATGTACCACTACACTTTTACAGGTCACTAATGGAGGCTGAGCCGGCACTACCTGGGCACAGGCTGGATCTTGTTCAGCACTTAAGTGTGTAAATTACATTGCAGGAGGCTCTTTAACCTTAAAAGCTCTGCTCCAACAGAGCTGTTTTCTCTGGGGATTGTTAGCCTCTCTGCTTAGGACTTTTGCCTTTGGTCAGTGGAGAATCACCACATCCCAATTAACTAGAATTAAAAGCTATGCATTTACAGTTCTTTAAAACTAACGCCAACGGCTCAGACATTTAACTAGGCATGTGATACAGTGAAGCTGCACTGCGCAGCCCCTCTCCCGGTCATTTCCCACCAGAAACAGGCTGGTGTCACGGGAAAGTCCCCGCTCCGGACTCCAGCAGGCCTGGCTGTCCCTGTGCCCCTCACGTAATTAGCCCTCTAGCCTAGGTTTCCTCCCCCGTAAAATGGAGGAAGAGGAAAGCCCACGGGGGGAGCCCTTTAAGAATCACACGTAAGCTCAAAGGCTTGGCACACGTAGGCGCGCTCCAGGGGGCCCTCGCAGCCACGCGCCGCGGCTCCCACCCCACCCAGGCAGCGAGCTCTGTGCCTGGGACCAAGCACCGTGTTACGCTCAACATCAGCTGAATGAATGGCCGAGTGAGTGGCAGAGGCTCCCTAGATGGAAGCTGCAATTGCTCAGGCCGTGAGTCCAAACAGGACTCGCGCTTATAGGCGTGGAGCGGAGCTGGATTTCTCCCTTGGCTAACACAGCGGGAAGGATGAGGTGCGGGCCGTAGCCGCGCTGCCGCGCTGAGTCCGTCCGGCGGGGATGCCCACAGTGCGCCGCGCCCGCTGGAGGGCAGCAGAGGGCCAGGCTCCCGGCTCAGGTCTCCGGCCTCGCGGCTCCAAGGACCCCGGGCTCCGCCCGGCCACGCCTCGTCCTCCCCTATTTTCTCCTTCCTTTTCGCGGCTTTCCCTCCTCTACCAGACCCGGCAGGAAGAAAGCCACCCACAAACGAATAAGCATGCCCTTGCCCTGCCCGTGCGTGGCACTCCGCATCCGCTTAGCTCTTCCCCGCCGCCCGAAGGCGGGCGTCTCCCCCTCTCTGCGGAGCAGGCGGCGGCGGCTGCGAGTCCGTGACTCGACCAAGGTCACGCAGCAAAGTCAGCGACCAAGCTCTGTTCCGCAGACGCCAGGGCCAAAGCCCACACTTTCCCTAAAGCCCCGAGTGCACGCGCGTTTCCAGAACGGGAGAACTTTGGAGACCAACTTCTGCATTTTCAAAGGGGGCCAGCCTGGGCCCAGTTTAATCTCCGGCGGAGGACCGGGGTTGCGGGAAATGCGCCGGGGAGTGAGGGCTTCCCGGATCCCCCGCCGCCGACTCCGCGCGGGCCAGCGGCGCGGGGCGGGCCGGGATCAGCGCCTCCCCGGGAGAGCGCAGCCGCCGCCCCCTCCTCTCGGGCTCCCGGCCCCTCCCCAGCCCCTCGGCCCCCATCCTGCGCGTGGGAGAAACCGCCGACCGCGCGGCCTCCAGGGGCTGGCGGAGCAGCGGTGGCGACGCGCCAGACTCCGTCCTGGGCTGGCCCGTGCCGGGCGGGGCGGGGCCGGCTCCCTCCGCCCTTCCCGGGCAGGCGCGGGGGGGCCGCAGGGACGCCTCCCGGAGTGGCCGCCGCGCCTAGGCCAATGAGCGCGCGGGGAGCGGCGATGGAGGCTGGGGCGGCCGGGAGCGCCCGGGACCCCCGCCGCCGCGCCGCCGCCGCCGCGCCCCCGCGCCCCGGCGCCCGCGGGGCTGGAGAGGGGGCGACAGAGGCGCAGCGCCCGCGCCGGGCATGGAGGCGCCGCTGGCCCGCGCTGGCCGTCCGCGCTGCGTTTCGCGCCGCCGCCGCCGCCGCGCCTCGAAGTTTGCCGGCTGACTCGGAAAGTTGCGCTCGGGCTCGGCCGCCGCGTCCGGTCCCCGCGTCCAGCCTCCGGCCTGACCCGCTCGCCGCCGCCGCCGCCCTCCACGGGGCCCCGGCCCAGCCAACCCAGCAGCCCCGCCTGCCGGGGGCATGTGAGCCGTCGCCGCCCCCGAGAGGCCGTGCGGGCTGCAGGGGCCCCGGTGCCTCCGAGGCAGCGCGTGGGCGAGGGGTGCGCCCGGGCCCCAGGGCCCCAGGCAGCCCGGCTTGCCATGGGCATCCAGGGCATGGAGCTGTGCGCCATGGCCGTGGTGGTGCTGCTGTTCATCGCCGTCCTCAAGCAGTTCGGCATCCTGGAGCCCATATCCATGGAAGGTAACGCGTGGCCACTTGCCCCTTCGCCGCCTCCGCCGCAGACCAGTGGTCTGGAGGGAGGGACCAGTACCCGCACGCCGGGGTGCACTGGTCTGGCGAGGAGCGGCCTGGGCCGCCGCCCCCTCCCGGCTCCGGAGGGTTGGGCCTGGGACTAAGGAGACGTAGTCCCAGGAAGCCCCAGAGGGGACGAAGCCGCAGCGCTTGGGCTGGGTGTGAGTGAGGCGCCTGGTGACACCTTGAGCGGACAGCTCCTGCCATCCTAGGCCTGCAGTCCGGGCGCCCCTGGTGAGCACACCGGCTTGGGTCGCCCTGTAGCGGGAGGTGGCGCAGGGTGCAGATGACAGGAAGGACCCTCAGCCCAGGGCACCTGGCAGCCGGCGGTGGGGAGAGATTTGAGGCCTCTGCCCTGTGATGGGGCCTCCCCTTTCGCCCCGCACCTGGTATCCAGTTACCCCTCCCCAAGCAAGGTTCAAGCCCATGGGATCAGTAACCAAACCCGCAGGCGCCACATTTCTGTCTCAATAAAATATTAACTGAGGAGACAGACCCACACTTGGATCAGACACTGACGGCCCCCTGGGGCCCTTCCATGGTACACCTGGTTCTGAAGGGGACCCTGAAGCCAGGGATGTAGCTTTTCCCCTGTTCAAAGAGGCCCTGCACCTCTGGCCGTGGGGAAGGGGCTAGCTCGTCCTGTTCTCGTCCCTGTTGCCCTCTCCGAGGACATGGGCATCCTGCCTGCCCCAGCACTCTGCTGACCTTGCCGGGCTCCAACTCTCAGTACTGAGACCCAGAGGCCTGAGAATGAGAGAGAGCGAGCTTGCCCCTGCCTGGGAGCTGCCCAGCAGCCCCTCGGGCATGGGGAAGTGCCCCAAGTTCCTGCGAAGGGCTGCTGAGTGCGGGAAGGGGCAGGAAGCAAGGCTTCCCTCCATTCTACCTTCGATGTCCAGGGCTGGCCCTTTTCCCAAAGTCCACAGCCACATGCCCCTCAGAAGCCACTGGGCTCTGCCACACCTTCTCTCTTGGTGAGTGTATGAGGCCCAGAGAGAACGGGCTTGCTCCAAGTGGTTCAGAGGGGTGCCACCAGGAGCTTTGGATTGGAGATGGGGGAGAAAGTGGCCCAGGCTGGGCCTTCGCTCGGCCGGATGCTGGCCCTGGCAGGAGGAATCTGTGACAGGGAACTTCGTGGGACATACAGGTGCTGGGATTGGGGCAGAGTGTGGAGGGGTGAGCGTCCTGTGCTGCTGTGCCTCAGAGGACCGTGCCTCCTGCAGGGATTGCCATCCCCTGTCCCCTTGCCCCATTTTCTTTCCCCATCTGGAGCCTGGGGTGGGCGTGGGGGGTGGCTGGTGCACAGGGAAGCTGTGATCTCTCCATTGCTCTTCCCTGATCCTCGGGGCCTCCAGTGGCCAGGAGCAACAGCCAGCCTCACTTCACTTAGTACCTCAGACCTTCCTAACAGCGGGTTCACCCACAGTCGGGGGCAGTGTGAGGTTTGCCTTTGTGATTTCTGAGGAGGTTTCTTTGCAAGGTGGACAGTATGCACAAGATGACAGATGGTTTATTCCACCTGCCAAAAACCCCATTCAGGCTCCCATGAGGCTCCGTTTTCTGTGGGTATGTGCCCACTCATACCCCTGGAGTTCTGGGGTCTTGATCCAGTTGGGGGAGCTCAGAGCCTCAGAGTCAGCCAGGCCTGTGCTGAGATCCTGTCACCTTCATAAACTGGCTGTAAAAATCCCTTAAACAGTCGAAGCCTCAGTTCACCATCTGTAAAGTGGGGCTGATAAGAATTCCTGCTCCCTAGGGCTGTGGCAGGCTTGAACCAGTCAGTGGGGCTTGCATGGATAATAAATGTGCAGGCTTTGTGAGCCGTGCTTATCAGGGATATTAGCAATGCGTATGTGAGTGGTACTCACAATAACAGCACTGATTCATGGTTGCAGCCATTCTCTCACTCAGACACCCCCCCCCGCCCCCCGTCAGAGGGAGGGCGTCGTGAGTTCCAGATGTTCTGTTGGTGGGGAATGGTGTCAGCCAGCCGAGGGCCTGGAAGCTCCCATTGGCCAGGCAGTGTCTAAGGAACTGTCAGATGAGCTGTGAGGAGCCCAGGCTGTCCCACCAGCCTGGATGTGAGCTATCCTCAGTGCCACTGGGGGCCGGAAGGGGACTGTTGCCCCAGCTCTGCTCCAAGTCTGCGTGTGTGCAGTCAGAGGGGTCTCTTGTCCTCTCTGAGCCTCCGTGGTTCTCATCTGTAATAGACCAGAGTTATGGTGCCCTGGGGATTGTTAGGAACTAATGGATCTGGGTTCTGGGGATGCAGCCTTCTAGAAATACATGCAGCAGTCAAAAAGCCTTCCTCTCTGCCCTGGGTCCCCCATCAGTCCCTTTCCCTTGATGACTTCATGGAAGAGTCACCTCAGTCACTTTTCCTGAGCAGTAATGGAGCAGGAAGCTCGCCCCTTGATCCATGGACAAGGGGGCTGAGCCCGGGGTGGTGGCATGGCTGTCCTGACCACCAGGGCAAATCAGTGGGCAGCAGGGCATGGGCCTGGCCAGAGGCCAGGCTAGCCTCAGTGTGACAGACCCTGGGTGGCAGAAAAGCAGTCCTCATCCTGTCTGCTTAATTAGGATTCCTCCTTCCCTGGTGACCTACGGGATATCAGAGATGAAGAAGCTGCCTGCCATCCACGAGCCTTGCTTCGGCAAGTGTGCGAGAGCTTGGAGCTGCTGGGACGGCCCCGAGGGCCATCAAGGGGATCTCATGTTGGCTTTGGGACCTGGACCCTGTAGGGCTGGGCTGGGGGTGGGGTCTGCATCTGAAGGGCTATGGTGCCTGACACTCCATGTTTAACACAGTGGGGTCCCAGTCCAGAAGGTCCATAAAGCTCCTGAAATTATGGGCAAGATTATGTGTTTGGTGCTTCTTCCTGGAGTGCTGAAATACGGTTCTCAAGGGGATCTGCGTTCCCAAAGTGTTCAAAGGCTCGCCCCTGTGGCTCTCCCTGGAGCCTTGCTGGTGGAGGGTGTTGGTGGGCCCCGGCAGGCAGCATTCCTGATGTGCTGGTGACATAAAGGTCCTCCTTGTCCCTCTGTGTCTCCTGGCTCCTAGCACATTCCTTGTAGGAGCAGAGACTCCCTTACACACTTGATTTTTCTCCACAGCCTTGTCACTCCCTTAAGATACTGGGTATCTCAGTTTCTTTATCATTAGTTTGTGGTTTGTCTCCCCCAGCTGCGGGTCACATGAGGGCAGGGACTTTGTCTTGGTCACGTTAGCACCCTGTGCCTAGAACAGTGCCTGGCACCAGGCAGCAGCTCGGGGAGGATTTGTTAAATTCATGAGGGAACCTGCTGACCAAGAGGGAGAACTGGAGCCTTCTCCTGTCCCCTCTGCTCCACCTCCTGCTGGCGAACCTGAGGCCAGGTCCTGTGAGAGCTACTGCCTGGATGGGCACCGAGCAGGGGGCCCGGAGCAGCAGGGGTGGGGGCTGCTGCAGAGAGCACAGAGGCTGGAGGTGGGGTGTGCTCGGTGTCATCAGGGTAAGTGGGTGGAGCCGAGTGAGTGAGGAGTGGTGGCAGTGGAGGTGGGGGGCCAGTGGGCTCTTTACCCAGCTGTACATTATCATTGTAATCACCTGGGAACTTTAAAAAATACCCGCTGTGCCCACCCTGGGGCATCGAACTCTAAATCTCTGGGTGAAACCCAGGCACTGGGATTTTTAGGAGTTTCTTGGGGGACTCTCTGTCCTGGGTCCCCCATCAGTGCCTTTCTCTGGGTGACTTCATGGGGGAGTCACTGCAGCCACTTCTCCTGAGCAGTGTTCAGTGTCATCAGGGGTGAGCAAACTCTGAAGCCAGAGTTGGGAGTTGGGCGCAAGGCCTTCGAGGACAGGGGCTCTGGGTCAGCAGCAGCAGCAGCCCAGGAGCTTGGTAGAAATGCATCTTCAGGCCCCTGCCCCAAACCTGCGGGCTCAGAAAGTCTGGGCTTGGGCCCAGCGGCTTCTCTCTTCCCCAGCTCCAGGTGCTAGGGACATACTCAAGCCTGAAGACTACTGCCCTGGCCAGGGGTGGACCTCCGCAAGGACATTGGCTTTTACTGTAGGAGAAACCTGGAGCCATCGGAAGGTCCTGACAAGAGGAGTGAAGTGGCTTTGCATTTCCGCAGGGTCCCACTGGCTGCTGTGTTGAGAGCAGACTTGGGGTGCGAGGCACCAGGGGAAGCAGATCCTATGAGAGGCATTTGCAGCCATTTAGGAGGGAGACAGCATTGGGGTTGGGGGAAGTCGCCAGTTCCAGATGCATTTCCCGGGGAGAGCTGTTGGTTTGCAGTGGGGCATGAGAGGAAGGGAGGAGTCTGGAAGACTGGCCTGAGCACCTAGAAGGTGCAGTGGCCATCTATTGAGATGGGGAAGCCTGGGGCGGGGTGCAGGTTTGTGGGAAGCTCAGCAGCTCCATTTGGACCTGGTAAGTTTGGGATGTATTTTCTATCACTGCTGTGACAGATTCCCACAGATGTCATGCCTGAAACCAAAACAAATTTACTGTCGTATAGCTCTGTGGCTCAGAGGTCTGCAGGGACCTCCCTGGCTCATGCCTGTAATCCCTGCACTTTGAGAGGCTGAGGCGGGAGGGTCACGGGAGGCCAGGAGTTCCAGACCAACCTCATCAACATAGCAAGACCCTGTCTCTACAAAACAAAAAAAGATCCAAGTGGAGCCATGAAGGAGGTGTTGGGGTGTACGTGTCAGGAATTTATGGGAGTAGTCTGGCTGAGAAAGAAGTTTACAGGCCACTGGCTAATGTAGGGATATAGCACTGTGAGACTGGGGGAGTCACCAGAGAAGAGGGTGGGACAGGCCAGGTGCGGTGGATCAGGCCTATAATCCCAGCACTTTGGGAGGCCGAGGTGGGCAGATCACTTGAGGTCAGGAGTTCAAGACCAGCCTGGCCAACATGGTAAAACCCCGTCTCTACTAAAAATACAAAAATTAGCCGGGCATGGTGGCGGGCGTCTGTAATTTCAGCTACTTGGGAGGCTGAGGCAAGAGAATCACTTGAACCCGGATTGCAGTTTGCCAAGATCACGCCACTGCACTCCAGCCTGGGCAACAGAGCAAGACTCTGTCTCAAAACAAACAAGAAGTGGGTAGGACAGAAAGGGGACCAGATTCAAGGGCCCAACGCTGGGGCCCTCCAGCATTTGTTAGCAGGTCAGGGAGAAAGAGCAGGGTCAGGAACACTGGAGAGCTGTGTCCTGGAGGCCAGGGGAGGAAGGGTAGCTGGGGAGGGCGGGAGTGACCCTGGGGTCAGAGGCTGCTGACGAGCTGGTTGTGGACCCCGAATATCCAGGCTCCAGGTCACCTGAGAACAAGACCCAGCACTGGACTTAGCAGCCCCTCCTGGAATCTCCATGCTCCCCGACCAGCCTTCCCCCCAGCCCTCCCTCTCCAGCCCTCTCTCCCTCCCTACCTCTCGAAGGAGTCTCACAGTGCTGTGTCCCCACATTTGCCAGTGGCCTGTAAACTTCCTCTGCCCTCCCTCCCCTGCCATTTCCCCTAGTCCTCCCTCCCTTGCCTTTCCCCCAAGCCCTTCCTCCCCTGCCTTCCAGTTCAGGGACATCCTGTTGCCAGTTAGGGGCTGGCCAGGGGGCCAGCCAGGGCCCTGACCCACTGGCAATGCCGGACCTTCCTTGGTCATCACAACTGGTGACCAGACATGTCCAGGAGGGAGACAGGAAGGCCAGATGCTTTCCTGTGTGGAGCTGTTAACAGCCTGGTCACCCTGCAGGAGGCCTCCAGTCCATGGCTGAAGAGGGTGTGCAGCTGTCAGGTTGTTGCTTCAGTGATTTGGGGGTTCCCAGGCATCTGCCCTCTAAACCTGGCACTCTATCCCAATGCCTATAGTCCCACCATTAGTCATATGGGTTAGCGAGCAAACACTGAGAGTGTGTGTTGGGGTGGGGGGCTGTAAGGGCCTCCCAGCTGGGCAGGATTGGATTCTGGCTGGGGCAGGAGTGTCTCCTAGTGGGAGGATTGAGCCCTATGCACAAAGTGAGTGAGTTGCCAAGACTGTACAGGAGGCAAGGCCCTGGGAAGAGAAAGAGATGCTTTCCATGCAGAGAACCTGGGTGGGGGCCTCTCCCAGCACTCCCCACACAACTGATCCCAGAGGAAGAGCAGCTGACACCAGGCCCCTCATCGGATGTGGCTGTGTGGTCCAGTTCAGCTCCCCCATGAAGGGCCTTCTGGGATCAGATCGGATTCAGAGGCCAGAGCGCGAGGCAGCCAGCATTGGGCTGGAGCCGGGCATCCTGACCCGCAGGCCCTGCCTGGTCGAGCACACTGGGTTTCCCTCCGTTCCAGCCCGGTTTGGCCACCTGCTTACCAGGTGACTTCTCTACGTTTAACCTCCTTGAGCTTCACCTTCCTCATCTGTAGAATGGGGATAATAATACCTCCCAGTATCCACTTTAGCCAGAGGGGGTGCTGAGCCAAAAACACTTTGGAAAAGTTGAAAGAGGAACTCAGATCTCAGAAATTCAGAAGGGGAGGGCAAGCAGAAGTGGGTGCAGGCGGGCGAGCCTGGGTGCTGTTGCGAGGCTGATGCAGCCCGACCCAGAGCTTTGTGACCACATCTGTGGCATGAGGCTCGGCTTTGGCTGCGGCTTCTCTTAGCTCGGCTCAGATTTCCACACGGCTCTCAACCAAGGGCAGTTTTACCCTGCAGGGACGTTTGGCAACGTCGAGAGACATTTTTGGTTGTCACAGTTGGGGAGGTGCTACTGGCATCTGGGGGTTACAGGCCAGGGGTGCTGCTCACCATCTGGCAGTGCACAGGACGGCCCCAGCACAGAGAGGTGTCTGACCCCATGTCAGTGGCACGGAAGTGGAGGATGCTGTTCTAAAAGCAGTGCTGGCCGAGGACTGGGAGTGCCACTTCACGTGGACAAGTCACTTCTGTCTGAGTGGTTTCCTCACCTGTAAGTGAGGGGTGGGGAGCAGAGGTACCATCTCCCCTGGGAACTCTCCCGGACCTTGCCCTCTCCCTGCCCCCTCAGGTTGTGTTAGATAACACTGCCCTCAGATTTTCTGTGTTCCTGTCCTGCCCTGCCATGGGCTCTTCTCAGAGCAGCAGGGGCGTGTGTCTCTATACTTAGGGCCTCACGGTATGCCCAACACTGCCTGGCAAGCATCGGGTGTTCAGTAAATGTAAGTTATATGCCACCATAGCACGCACTTATTGGACATGCGTTTTATGCCAGGCAGCACAGGTAACATGGAGTCTTGGCCCTACCTTTACAGTAGCTCTGGGACGGTGCCCTCTGCAGGGAGGGTCCCTCTGGCTGGGGCGGAGGCAGGGAGACTGGGTTGTGGGTCTGGGGACAGCAGAGGTGTGAGGTGTGATGGGGAAGAGGAGAATGTCTAGAACCAGGATGTGCAGGGTCTGGCCCACTGCCCTTGCTCCTCCATCCTGGGAGGTGACCCCAAACACTGCACATGCCCTCTGCGCACTTGCCCTGAAAGCGTCTCTAACTGCGGGGCCAAGGGGACTACCAGGGGCCTGGTCTTACAAAGGTGACCTTGGGGCCTGTTGGGTCTGCAGCTACCTCTTGGCTTGGAGCAGGCCCAAGGGGCCATTGTGATCCTTCCTGCTCGTTCTCTTGCTCTCCTTTCCCCCAACACCCTCTCCCACCTTTGCTGGGGCCAGTGGTGATGCTGTGGGTGTGCTGGGTGCTCTGTTCCCTGGCTGGGTCTGGTGCCCTTTGTAAACTGCCAGTCCCTCAGGTCTTGTGCAGCTCCTTGAGCAGGCTTTCCAGATCTGGGATGCTGATGACAGTGATAGGAACCAGCCTCTAGAGAATGCTCTCTCTTTGGGGGCACTTTATGCATATCCCAATCTTGTCCTCATGAGCAGGCTCGTTTCATCGACGAGGAAACTGAGGGCCGGGGAGCGGCAGAGTCAGGACCTTTCTGAACACCGGCACACCTGCCCTGAATGCATCCACAGCTGCAGGGCCTTGGGGACCACCGGAGATGGTTGTGTGTGTCCCAGCCTCTTACAGGACAGGTGTCAGGAGCCCAAAGTGGAGGCAGCTGCCCTGGTCCAAGTCCACAGTGAGAGGACCCACTGCCCTGAGCTGGTGTGGAGACTGCATGTGTGAGTGTGCACAGAGCTTGTAAGGCAGCGTCTGGCATGGAGGAGGCGCTTTCTTTCTTTTTTAATTATTATTATTATTATACTTTAAGCTGTAGGGTACATGTGCACAATGTGCAGGTTTGATACATAGGTATACATGTGTCATGTTGGTTTGCTGCACTCATCAACTCATCATTTACATTAGGTATTTCGCCTAATGCTATCCCTCCTCCAGCCCCCCAGCCTCCAACAGGCCCTGATGTGTAATGTTCCCCGCCCTGTGTCCAAGTGATCTCATTGTTCAGTTCCCACCTGTGAGTGAGAACATGCGGTGTTTGGTTTTCTGTCCTTGTGATAGTTTGCTGAGAACGATGGTTTCCAGCTTCATCCATGTCCCTGCAAAGGACATGAACTCATCCTTTTTTATGGCTGCATAGTATTCCATGGTGTATATGTGCCACATTTTCTTAATCCAGTCTATCATTGATGGACATTTGGGTTGGTTCCGAGTCTTTGCTATTGTGAATAGTGCTGCTATAAACATACGTGTGCATGTGTCTTTACAGCAGCATGATTTATAATCCTTTGGGTATATAACCAGTAATGGGATTGCTGGGTCAAATGGTAATTCTAGTTCTAGATCCCTGAGGAATCACCACACTGTCTTCCACAATGTTTGAACTAATTTACACTCCTACCAACAGTGTAAAGGCGTTCCTATTTCTCCACATCCTCTCTAGCATCTGTGGTTTCCTGACTTTTTAATGATCGCCATTCTAACTGGCATGAGATGGTATCTCATTGGGGTTTTGATTTGCGTTTCTCTGATGACCAGTGATGATGAGCATTTTTTCGTGTGTCTGTTGGCTGCATAGATGTCTGCTTTTGAGAAGTGTCTGTTCATATCCTTTGCCCACTTTTTGATGGGGTTGTTTGTTTTTTTTTCTTGTAAATTTGTTTGGGTTCATTGTAGATTCTGGATATCAGCCCTTTGCCCGATGGGTAGATTGCAAAAAATTTCTCCCATTCTGTAGGTTGTCTGTTCACTCTGATGGTAGTTTATTTTGTCGTGCAGAAGCTCTTTAGTTTACTTAGATCCCATTTGTCTATTTTAACTTTTGTTGCTATTGCTTTTGGTGTTTTAGTCATGAAGTCCTCGCCCATGCCTATGTCCTGAATGGTATTGCCTAGGTTTTCTTCTAGGGTTTTTATGGTTTTAGGTCTAACATTTAAGTCTTTAATCCATCTTGAATTAATTTTTGTATAAGGTGTCAGGAGGGGATCCAGTTTCAGCTTTCTACATATGGCTAGCCAGTTTTCCCAGCACCATTTATTAAATAGGGAATCGTTTCCCCATTTCTTGTTTTTGTCAGGTTTGTCAAAGATCAGATGGTTGTAGATGTGTGGTGTTATTTCTGAGGCCTCTGTTCTGTTCCATTGGTCTATATATCTATTTTGGTACCCGTACCATGCTGTTTTGGTTACTGTAGCCTTGTAGTATAGTTTGAAGTCAGGTAGCATGACGCCTAGGAGGAGGCACTTTTGGAGTGTACATTCGCTTTACTTCTTGCCCGAAATGACCCAGGCAACATTCCCCCACAGCTACACATCACTACCTGTGTCCTAGGAGTTAGTGGGAAGGGAAGATGCATGTGGCCCACACTTGGTTGTGTTGGGCTTTCTTCATCCCGTGCCCTGTAGGGTCAGGAGCCCAGAGGCTGCTGGCCCAGGGACTGCTGGGCCATGCTCGCCGGCGTGGGTGGCCTCTGCAGGAGACAGTGTGGGCTGGAGCTGGATGCTTGATGTTGCTCTAGGCTGGGAACCTGGGCAAGGCCCCTCCCTCCCCAGGTCAGCGGCTCTACTGTCACATACCTAGACACAGGTGGTAGCATCACAGCAGTCTCACCACAGACTTTCCAATAAGTCTTACAAGTCCAGTGCCCCTTGATGGGTAAAAGGGACAGCTCAGCTCAGATTCAAAGGGAGTCTTGCCCGAAAGGCCTCCCTTCACCCCATGGCAGTTCCTGGACCTTCTGTGGAACCCTATGGTTTAGTAGTGACCTGAGCAGCAGAGACTAAGTGAAGGCTGAGATCCCCGGCCTGGGACAGGGGTAGGGAGCCCCATTTCATGGTGTGCTGGATGCCCTGCCTGCCTCTTCCCCAAGCCCTCATGGACTGTCAGCCAGAGGCACCAGTGGGCAATTCCAGGGCTAACTGCGCCTCTGAGGAGCTGAGCTCCGGTCGTCTAGAGGCTGGACCCCTGGGGCGGTGGTTAGGGCTGCTTTCTTCCCTGGTCCCCACAGGCCTTATGGGGATTAGGCAGCCTTCCTGCCCAGTGCTCAGTCACTAAGGAGGGTATCATGTGAAGTCATGAGTGCAGGGCCACACCAAGGCTCTCAGTGGACCCAGGACTGCAGGAATTCCAGGGCTTCCCATCATTAAATTAAATTAGTATTGAAATGCAGTATCTATGTCAGGAAGGCCATGAGTGTTCCCCTTGGTGACCACATGTGTACTTTTGGAAATATCAGATCCAGTCACACCCCAGCCTGGTGCCCTGCCTTGCTGGCCTCGCCTTGCTGTGGCTGGAGCTGGAACTGGCTGGCTGTTGTCTGAGCCAGCTGTGTCCACCCCTGGCTTCTGTGTGTGTCAGGCACAGGCCGTGCGCAGTGTCACACAGGGGCATGAATGTGCTGCAGTGCACCAAGGGGACCTTGACCAGCAGCTTTGGGGAGTACTGGTGGGGGGAGCATCTGAATGGAGTGTGTTCAGGAGGGATGGGAGCCGGGGAACATGGCACCTCTTTGGAGTTTTGCCACAGAGGGGAACAGGATGGGTGACAGCTGTCAGGGGACATAGGCTCGAGAGGTTTTTAGAGAATCTTCCATTGCTTCTGCTTCTCTCCTATGTGGCAAGCTGCAGGAGGCCTATGAGGGGCTTTGCAGAGGTACTGGTGCAGCTCAGAGAGGTTTCACAGGCTTCACCCATGGGGTGGCGAAAAAGTGCCTCTTGCCCAGTACCTGGTGCATTTCAGCTTAGTGAATTAAAGATTTGGAGACACTTTGCTGAGCTTTTGCACAGAGAGGACTACATGGGGTATGGGACAGGACCTGGACTGAGACTTTTACACACTGGGAAGAAAGCCCTGCTTGTAGTCTGTCAGGCTGCTGTACAACTTTTAAACATCAAAAAGTCCTCATGCTTTTACTCCTTTGGCAAAATGCTTGTTGGATAGAGGAATTCAAACTTGATTGCAGCCCCCCTGGCTATCAACGGTGTATTAGCCTGTTTTCTGCTGCTATAACAGAATACCACAGAATGGGTAATTCTATTGTACAGAAATGTATTGGTTTACAGTTCTGGAAGCTTGGAAGTATAAGACGGAGGGGCTGGCATCTGGCGAGGGCCCTCTTGCTGTGTCATAACATGGCGGAAAGCATCACATGGCTGAAGGGCACAGGGAGCAAGAGAGAGTAAGAGGGGCAAAACTACTCTCATGGTAACAAACCCACTTCTGCAGTAAGGGCACTAGTTCATTCATGAGGGCAGAGCCCTCGTAAACTAAACATTTCTTAAAGGTCCCACCTCTTGCCAAGCATGATGCTGTGCACCTGTAGTCCTAGCTACGTGGAAGGCTGAGGTAGGAGGATCACTTGAGATCAGGAGTTGGACACCTGCCTGGGCAACACAGTCAGACCCCCCTTTCAAAAACCAAACAAATTTTTTTTTTTAAAAAAAGGTCCCATCTCTTAATACTGTTGCAGTGGCAACTAAATTTCAACATGAGTTTTGGAGGGGACAAACATTCAAACTGTAGCATTCTGCCCAGCCCACCCCTGGAAAATTCATGTCCTTCTCACATACAAAATATATTCATTCCATCCTGATAGCTCCCAAAGGTCTTAGCTCATTCCAGCAGCAACTCATAAGCCCAGAGTCTCATCTAAATCAGATATGGGTGAGACTCAAGGCATGATTCATCCTGAGGCAAATTCCTCTCCAGCTGTGAGCCTGTGAAATTTAAACAAGTTACATGCTTCCAGAATACAACGGTGAGACAGTTGTGGGATAGACATTTCCATTCAGGGAGAAACCGGCAAGAAAAAAGGGGGTAACTGGTCCCAAGTACGTCCAAAACCAACCATGAAGAGCAACATTAAATCTTGAGACTCGGGAATAATGTTCCTTGACTCCACATCACACACTGGGGCCCTGGGCACCCCCACCCCCATGGCTTTGGTGGGCTCGGCAGCCACAGGAGCTCTCCCAGGTTGATGTTGCTAGCCGGTCACGCTGGTAGCTCTGCAGTCTCAAGGGCAGCCCAGCCCCTGTGGCTCCACAAGGCATTGTCCTAGCAAGGACTCTCTGGAGTGGCTCTCCCTCTGCAACAGGTCTCTGCCTGGACCCCCAGTCTGTCTGATCCAGCCTTTGAAATCCAGGCAGAGGCAGCCACGCCTCCACTGCTCTTGAACTCTGTGTGCCTGCAGAATTAGCACCACATGGATGCTGCCAAGGCTTACTGCTTGCCCTCTGGAGCCGTGGCCTGAGCCACACCCAGGCCCACTTGAGCCACAGCTGGGGCAGCCAAGGAGCACTGTGGTGGAATGTGAGGAGCAGAGTCCCAAAGGTAGTCCAGGGCAGCAGGTCCTTGGAGGGGGCCCTTGGCCCATCCCCTAAAACCATTCTCCCTTCCTAGAGCTCTGGGCCTGTGATGAGAGGGGCAGCTTGGAATATCCTGAAATGCCTTCATGATAAATTCTGTCTTTAAGTCATTTCTTTCTTCTTTCATTTTACTATATGATATTAAAAGAAACCACACAGCACCTCAATATTTTGCTTAGAAATTTCTTCTGCTGGGTATCCCAGTTCATCACTCTTAAATTCTGCCTTCCATACTCCAGTCTGGGCAACAGTGTGAGACTCCGTCTCAAAAAAAAAAAAAAAAAAAATTCTGCCTTCCATAAACATAAAGCCACTGGGTGTGGACACAATTCAGCCAAGTTCCTTTTCACTATAAGGATGGGCTTTTCTCCAGTTTCCAATACCTTATTCCTCAATTCCCTCTGAGACCTCATCACCATCCATATTTCTGCCAACATTCTGATGACAGCCACTTTAATCTCCAGGAAGTTTCAGACTTTTCCTACAGCTCTTCTCATCTTCTGAGCCCTTAATGTTCTGTTCATGGCGACAGGCTTTTTTCTAGTCTGCTCTTCCAGACTCTTCCAGCCTCTACTCACTACCCAGTTCCAAAGCCACTTTCACATTTTTAAGTATTTGTTATAACAACACCCACTCTCAGTACCAGTTTTCTGTCTTAGGCTGTTTTGTGCAGAATACCACAAACAGGGTAATTTATAATGAACAGATATGTATTGGCTCGCAGTTCTGGAGGCTGGGAAGTCCAAGATCGAGGGCTTGGCATCTGGGGATGGCCTTCTTACTGAATCATCATTCCATGGCGAAGAACAGACAGACAGACAGAGAGAGAGAGAGCGAGAGACAGAGAGAGAGAGAGAGAAAGAGGGGGCAAAGCCACCACTGTGATAATGGTATTAGTCCATTCGTGAGGGTGGGGCCCTCATGGCCTGAACACTTCTTACAGGTTCCACCTCTTAATACTGTCACAGTGGTGACTAAATTTCAACATGAGTTTTGGAGGAGACAAACATTCAAACCACAGCAAATGGAGACTTTGATGGGGAGGAGGTGGCCCAGGACTAGCCCCTGGAGAAGGAGGAAGAGAGCCACGCTGGGGGAGAGGTAGAAAGGGAAATGGCTGAGTTCGTTGGCATCACAATTTTGCCCTGAGCAGTCTTCTACAAGTTAACATCTAAACACACAGAGCTGGAGCGCTGATCAATAGTAAAAAGCCCAAGTTTCCTATAGACAGTGCTCTAATGTTACGTTGAAAAGCCATGCAGCCATCTTCTTGCCTTTCTTCCATTTCTGGGTAATTTCTTCCATGTCTTGGTGGATGACACCAGCAGTCACCCTGTTTCCCAGGTCAGAAATGTGGAGTCATTCTGGACTCTGCCTGCCCCATCCTGGTCAAGTCAGCAGCTAGGAACTCTGGCTTCTTCATTCCTGACACCTCCCGCCAGTTCCCTTCACTCCATTCTCTTCACGTCACTGTGACACCCTGTGGCCAGAGTGACCATTCTGGAGTGGAAATCAGACAACCCTTTCTCTGCTTTGGACCCTTCGATAGCTCTCATGCCCACATGTGCCTTGGCTCACCTTAGACTCCATGCCCGGGTGCCCTTGACCCCAGTTCACCTGCTGTCACTGGACCTGAGTCTTGGAATATTATCTCTTTTTCTCTGATTCTCCTGCCCACTCTGTGCCCAACAGGTGTAAACATCAGGGAATGCTGGGGCCTGGGACAATCTGCAGGAGGCAGGCTCTGCCTAGAGACATTAAAATTAAAGCCCACGCCAGTACTCCATAAACTCACCCTAGGAAACATAGCTGGGAGGATCCTACCCAGCCTGCATTCCAGAGCACCTCCCATGCACAGGCACTGTTCCAGGGCTGGGTACGGCAGCGAGGAGACCCGAATCCCTGCTGCGGTCACCCTGTAGAGGGAGAGACCAACAATATACCAGATGTCTTAGTCTTCTCTGGCTGCCATAACAAAATAACACAGACTGAAGGACTTAAACAACAGAAATGTATTTTCTCCCAGCTCTGGAAAGAAAGTCTGAGAAGAGGGTGCCAGCAGGGTCAGTTTCTGGTGAGGGCTGTCTTCCTGGTGTGCTGACGGCTGCCTTCTTGCTCTGTCTTCATGTGGCCTTTTGCTGCATGCACGTGGAGGCAGACATAGCTGTCTCTCCTACCCTTTTTTTTTTCTTTTTTTTTTTGAGATGGAGTCTTGCTCTGTCACCCAGGCTGGAGCGCAGTGGTGTGATCTCAGCTCACTGCAAGCTCCGCCTCCTGGGTTCAAGCGATTCTCCTGCCTCAGCCTCCCGAGTAGCTGGGATTACAGGCATGCACCACTATGCCCGGCTAATTTTGTATTTTTAGTAGAGACAGGGTTTCTCCATGTTGGTCAGGCCGGTCTCGAACTCCCGACCTCAGGTGATCCGCCCACCTCGGCCTCCCAAAGTGCTGGGATTACAGGCATGAGCCACCACACCCGGCCTCTCTTACTCTTCATATAAGGCTACCAATCTTATGGGATAAGGGCCCAACCTTGTGACCCCACGTAACCTTGGTTACCTCCTAAGGACCCTATCTCCAAATACAGTCACACTGGGGGTTAAGACTTCAACGATGAAGTTGAGGGGACACAGTTCAATCCTATGCACTAGTAAACAGAAATCTGCATATGCACCCCTCGCATGCACAGTTCACGGTAGGGTTTGCGCTCCTATGAGAATTTAATGCCGCTGCTCATCTGACAGGAGGTGAAGCTCAGGCAGGAATGCGAGCAGTGGGGACCAGCTGTAGATACAGATGAAGCTTCACTTGCTCACCTGCCGCCCACCTCCTGCTGTGCAGCCCAGTTCCTAACAGACCACCGACTAGTACTGGTCCTCGGCCCAGGGAGTTGAGGACCCCTGCACTAGAGTGTTTCAGAATTACCATTGATCTACATATTTGCCAAAAAAACTTATTTTTTCATTATTATTATCTCTTAGCAATCTAGGAGGTACTGCATTCTCATGCTAATTTACGTGTTCCTGTTTATTACTGAAATTGAGCCATCTTTTGGGTTTGTATCCATCTTTCTGGTTTCCCTTTCTGCTGATACCTGCTCTAGAGATTCTTCTTTCATCATTTGTGAACACTCTACGCTATCTTCTTCTATTCTGTTGAGTGTCTCACTCTGACCTTTGTTGAACAGAAATCTTTAATTTTGATGTAATCAGATTCATCCTTTTTTTTCCTTGTGGTTTGAGCTTTTGGAGTTTTAAGAAATCTGTCCAGAATCTTAGGTTAACAGGAGGCTCTTTTACATTTTATTATAGCTCTATCATTTACCATTCACATTGGGGTCTCTAATGCACCTGGAACCTACATTTGCATGTGGGATATGGAAGGAGTCTAGATTGTTTTCTTTATGTGGTGATCCAGTTTTCCTAACACCATCTACTAAACACTCTGACCTTTTTTCCCATAGCTTTCATGAAATTCCCTCCTACACGTCACTCTCTTTTTTGAGCTCTCTGGTCTGTTTGTTGGTACGTTTGTCTGTTCTTGTACCAACCATACAATTTTTATTACAATGACTATACAACATGTACTAGTGTCTGAGAGAAACTCCTCCCTTGTTATTTTTCTTTTTAGGTTTTTATGAATTGTTTGTTTCTCCATATACATTTCAGTGTGTGTTTATCAAGCTTTCCAAAAAAAAAATCCAACTGAATTTTTTATTGGAATTGCACTGAATTTACTTACAGATTACTTTGGGGAGAAATGACATTAATATGTGGCCATAAGATGGAATGTCTCATGTATTCAGAATATCTTTCCATGTAGAGGTCCTTTGAGTTTTTATTACTACTTAGAGATACTCTTTAGTTTTATTGCTATTGTGAGTGTTTATCTTGGTATTTTTAATTATATTTTCTAGATGGTTATTACTGGTGTAGAGAACTGCTATTGATTTTTGTATCGATTAATCTTATATCTGGCAACCTTACTGAACTCTCCTGTCTGTTGATTCTTTTAGTCCCTCTGGGGACCCTATCATCTAAATAATGTTAATTTTATCCTTTACTTCTCAATTCGTACACTATTTATTTCTTTTCTAAATTTCCTAAGAGCATTGGCAGGACATTGATTAGTGGGGACTGTGGCCAAACTTGTCCCAAATATTAAAGGGAATGTATCTAAGCTTTTGCCATTAAATCCAATATTTTCTGTAATTTTTTTTGTAAATATGTGATTTGCAAATATAAGCAAATCACGTTAAAGAACTTCCCTTTGACTCCTGGTTTGCTGAGAGTTTTTTTTGGTCATCGTTTATTTTAATTATAAATAGACATGAAAGCTTATCAAATGCCCTTTCTGCATTAAGATTTTCATGTGATTTTTCCTCTTTATGTTCTTCCAGATAAAATCTTCTTGATCATGATGTACTTAAAAAAATGCCATTGGCTTCATTTAGCTAACATTTGGTTTAGGGTTTTGCATCTGTGTTCAAAAGTGGCATTAGGCATACGTTGTTCACTCTCACTCTTGCGTTTTCTGATATGGTTTGGATGTTTGTCCCCCCCCACATCTCATGTTGAAATGAATCCCCAATGTTGGAGGTGGGGACTAGTGGGAAGTATTGAATCACGGGCGCGGATCCCTCCTGAATGGCCCAGCACCATGCTCATGGTAATGAGTGAGTTCTCTCCATGAGTTCATGTGAAATCTGACTTTTATACAATTTATATAATACATTAAAGAGCCTGGCACCTCCTCCCTTGTGTCTCTTGCTTCCATTCTTGCCACGTGACCTGCTTGCTCCCTCTTCACCCTCCATCACGATTGGAAGCTTCCTGAGGCCCTCACCAGAGGCAGATGCCAGCACTGTGCTTTGTGTACATCCTGCAGAACCACAAGTGAAATAAACGTCTTTTCTTTATAAATAATGCAGTCTTGAGGATCACTTGAGCCCAGGAGTTTGAGACCAGCCTGGGCAACATGACAAAACCCTGTCTCTATTATAAATAAAAAAAATTAGCTGGTTATAGTGGTGTGTGCCTGTAGTCTCAGCTACTTGGGAGACTGAGGTGGGAGGATCACCTGAGCCTGGAAGGCTGCAGTGAGCTGTGATTGCACCACTGCACTCCAGCCTGGACAACAGAGTGAGACCCTGTCTCAAAAAAATAAAAAATTTACCTAGTCTCAGGTATTCCTTTCTAGCAATGCAAGAATGGATTAACACCTTGTCCTTATGTCTTTTTTTTTTTTTTTTTTTTTGAGACAGAGTCTCTCTCTGTTGCCCAGGCTGGATTACGGTGACATGATCTCAGCTCACTGCAGCCTCCGCCTTCAGGGTTCAAGCAATTCTCCTGCCTCAGCTTCCCAAGTAGCTGGGATTACAGGCGTGCACCACTGTGCCCAGATAATTTTTGTATTTTTAGTAGAGACGGGGTTTCGCCATGTTGGCCAGGCTGGTCTTGAACTCCTGGCCTCAGGTCATCCACCCGCCTCGGCCTCCCAAAGTGCTGGGATTACAGGCATGAGCCACCGCACTTGGCCCCTTATGTCATTTTTTAAATCAAAATTACAATATTGACCACATGGAGATCATCCACGATCCTTGTAAGAGCAGTTTTCTTGGAGTGGAGTAAGTTTGAGGGAGAACAGGAGGAGAGGAAGTGAAGGCAGGGAGTTACAGGAGGTGAGAAAAAGGCTTAGGGGAAAATATGGTCAAGGAGTTTTGTTGTTTTTAATGGAAGAAATAGCAGCAGGTTTGGAGTTTCTGTCTTATTTTGTTTCTTGGCCCTCGGGAAAGAGGATTAAGTTCATCCTACTCTGTAGTTCATGGGATATCATCAGCCTTGACCCATTTACAGCCTCTCATTTGTTTTTCCTCTTTTACACCCCTATTTCCCTCCTCCCCATAGCTAAGTATTCTCATTTTTTCTAATTTAAATTAATGTAAAATTTACCTTTTTGGCTGTCTAGTTCTATGAATCTCGATACATGCATAGTCATGTAACCATTACCACAATCAAGATGTGGAACAATTTATTTTAATTTAATTTAATTTTAATTTTTATTTACTTACTTAGTTTTTGGAGATGGGGTCTCTGTCGCCCAGACTGGAGTGCAGTAGTGTGATCCTAGCTCATGGCGGCCTTGAACTCCAGGGCTCAAGCAGTCCTCCCACCTCAGCCTCCTGAGAGGTAGGACTACAGGTGTGCACCACCACACCGGGCACCTGGCGATATAGAACAATGTCGTCACCACAAAAAATTGCCTTATGCTGCCTCTTTGGTAGTCAGCCCCCAGGCAGCCACTGATCTGTTCTCTTTCCCTGTAATTTTCTGTCCTTTTATCTTTTCCAGACTGTCCCATGGATGTTGTCAGACATGATCTGCCTCTGGAGTCTGGACTCTTTCACGTCATTGCATGTGCGATTCATTCATGTTTTGCGTGTGTCAGGAGTTTGTTCCGTATTGTTGCTGAGTATCTTTCCTTGTGTGATGTACCACAGCTCATCCACTCACCAGTTGGAGGGCATTTGTATATACAGTTTGGGGCAATTTTGAATAAAATTGCTCTAAACATTTGCCTAAAGTTGAATATAGTAGCTTTCATTTCATTTGGGTAAATAACCAGAAATGGGATTGCTGGGTCTTATGGGAAGAGCCTCTTTATAAGAAAGTGGCAACGTGATTTCCAGCATGGCAGTACCACTTCTCTCTCCTGCCAGCAACATATAGTGGTTCCCGTCGCTCTGCATCCCCCCACTGCAAGCGCCCGACATTGTCAATATTTGTTATGTAAGCAATTCTCATAGGTATATAGCAGTATTTCACTGAGGTTTCAATTTGCATTTCCTTAATGGAAAATGATGCTAATCCTCTTTCTTGTGCTTATTTTATCAGCGTTTTATCCTCTATAGTGAAGTGTTTGATTAGGTTTTTTGACATTTACTAATTTGAGTTCTTTGATTTCTTACTGCAGAGTTTTGAGACTTCTTTATATATTCTGTATATCCTTTGTCAGATATGCAGTTTGCAAAGGTAATATTTTCTCCCAGTCTGTGCTTACCTTTTTATTTAACAATATCTTTGTAATCCCAGCACTTTTGGAGGCTGAGGTGGCCGGATCACTCAGGAACTCCTGAGGTCAGGAGTTCGAGACCAGCCTCGCCAACATGGTGAAATCCTGTCTCTACTAAAAATACAAAAACTAGCTAGGTGTGGTGGTGCGTGCCTGTAGTCCCAGTTACTCGGGAGACTGAGGCAGGAGAATCACTTGAACTCGGGAGGCAGAGGTTGCAGTGAGCTGAGATCATGCCACTGCACTCCAGCCTGGGCGACGGAGCCAAACTCTGTCTTAAAAAAATAATAAAATAAAATAAAAATAAAAAAACCAATATCTTTATTCTTCTTTCACAAAATTATTTTAGCTATTCTAGTTCCTCTGTCTTTCTAGATAAATTTTAGAGCATGTTGTCTGTATGTACAAAAAAACTCTTGCTGGGATTTTGATAGGAATTGTATGAAATCTGTGAATCATTTTGGAGATAACTGGCATCTTTATAGCACTGAGTCTTTCAATCCATGAACATAGTTATGTTTCTTCCATCATTTGAATCCTCCGTGATTTCTTTCATCAGCATTTTGTAGTTTTTGGCATACGGATTATATACATGTTTTGCAAGATATATACCTAAGTATTTCATTTGTGAGATGAGCAATTGTAAATGGTATTGTTTTTTAAGTTCTGTCTTTTTATTTGTGTGTAAGATTTTTATTCTAATTTGCATTCCAAAGGAAATTACAAAATCCATTCACTTCTTTATATAAAAAAGTGACTTAACATTTTTTTTTTTTTTTTTTTTGAGATGGAGTCTCGCTCTTGTTTCCCAGGCTGGAGTGCAATGGCACGATCTCAGCTCACTGCAACCTCTGCCTCCCAGGTTCAAGCGATTCTCCTGTCTTAGCCTCCCGAGTAGCTGGGATTACAGGCGCCTGCCATCACGCCTGGCTAATTTTTGTATTTTTAGTAGAGACAGGGTTTCGCCATGTTGGCCAGGCTGGTCTCGAACTCCTGACCTCAGGTGATCCACCCGCCTTGGCCTCCCAAAGTGCTGGGATTACAGGCATGAGCCACCGCGCCCGGCCTGTTACTTAACATTTTAATGCAAATTATAAAACATGATAAAGTTGCAGGACAAACTAGGCTAGCTGCTTGGAGTAACAAGTTTTTAAGTCACCATTTTCTACTTCCATGCTAAGGATAACCTTCTAATTAGTGATCAGCTGTACTGTAATAGCAGAATAACCCTGAGACTTGAGTAAACAGAAAAGCTGAAGATCTTCTCCAGTTCCCAGCCAGGTAGTTTTCTATGCCTTCTCATAGTAGCAAACAGCAACTATGTCACCAAAAGTGAGGATCCAACAGCATAAGAATGACACAATGGACTTTGGGGACTCTGGGGAAAGGGTGGGAGGGGGTGAGGGATAAAAGACTATAAATTGGGTTGAGCATATACTGCCGGGGTGATGGGTGCACCACAATCTCACAAATCACCACTAAAGAACTTACTCATGTAAGCAGACACGACCTGTTCCTCAATAACCTATGGAAATAAAAAAAAATTAAGTGGGAGTCATAACCATTTTGCCATCCTTAATTTCTCTTACAAAATTTGTGTCTTTGCCATCCCGTTTCTGTGTGTGAACACTTTTGTCTCCATCCAGGCTAACAACAGACATACTCTACCAGTGTACAGTGTCTGTCATCAGCAGTGGTGTCTCTGTGTGAATGAATATGCTTTGAGTCCTGCTCACCACTTTGTCTCCTTCCTGACTGATAATCACTGTTGGTTTGGTCACATTTCCACCTGCCCAGTGGCAAAGCCTACACCTTTGATGACCCTTCATGTCGTCATCAGAGTTCTGACTGTCCCTCAGCTTCCAGGTAGCACAAAAAGCCCCCACCATCCTTCCCTCTCCCTGTTTAGCTCCAAAACAGATCAAAGAGACCGGAGCAAGACTCTTGGATCTTACTGCCACTGAAATTCTGGAGACACCTTTGCCTAAATTTTGATTTCTAATTGTTCATTACTGATCTGTAGAAATGTGATTGATTTTTGTATATTGACCTTTTTTCTTGGGGGGGAAACATTCTGTTTTTTACCGTTAAGAATGATGTTAACTATAGATTTTGTGTAGATGCTCTTTAATAATGTGGGGAAGTTCCCTTTCATTCCCAGTTATTTTTAATGAATGGATGTTGAATTTTGTCAAATGCTTTTTCTGCATCAATTGATATGATTATGTGCTTTTTTCTTTTTTAGACTATTAATGTGGTGGATTATGTTGTTTTATTTTTAAATATTGAATCAGCCTCATGTTCCTGGAAAACCCCTCTTGGTGTGGTGTATTATTCTTTTTATTCATCAAAGGATTCAATTTGCTAATATTTTGTTGAGAAATTTCACACCTGTGTTCATGAAGAATATTGGTTGGGACTATTTAGGTTATCTTTTTCACCTGGGATGAATTTGGGTAGTCTGTAATTTTTCAGGAATTGGTCCATTTTATAGAAGTTGTTGAATTTGTGTGTGAAGACTTGTTCATAATATCCCCTTTTTATCCTTTTAATGTCTGGAAAGTTAGTACTTATTTCCCTTGTTTCCTTCCTGATGTTGGTAGCTTATGTCTTTTCTCTCTTTTTTTTTCAATTTTTTCAATTTATTTTTTTTTGAGCTGGGGTCTTGCCCTGCTGCCCAGGCTGAAGTGCAGTGGTATGACCATGGCTCACTGCAGCGTCAATCTCCCAGGCTCAAGTGCTCCTCCCACCTTAGCCTCCCAAGCAGCTGGGACTACAGGTGCACACAACCATGCCTGGGCAATTTTTTTGTAGAGACAGGGTCTTGCTATGTTGCCCAGGCTGGTCTCGAACTCCTGGGCTCAATCAATCCACCTGCCTCAGCCTCTGGTGCTGGGATTACAGGCGTGAACCACTGCACTCAGTCCATCCAGTGAATTTTTAATTTTAGGTATTGTTTTGTTCAAGCTTAGAAGTTCCATTTTGTTCTTTTATTATAGTTTTTAATTTTTCTATTAAGATTCTCATCTATTATGCTTTCTTTTCTTTATTTCTTTCAAAGTGTTGATAATAGTTGTTTTAAAGTTCTTTTCTAATAATTCTAACAAAAGTCTAATAATTCTGCTTATCCTTCATCTCTTTATTATGGTCACATTTTCTTGCTTCTTCTCATGTCTTTTTATTTTTTATTGTATGTTGGACATTGTGAAAGGGATAGTGTAGGCAATGGATTATATTGTTTTAATATAAATGCTAACAAATTTTGGTTTGGCATGTAGTTAAATTATTGGCCAACTCATGTGATCTTCACAGACTTTATTTTAGGCTTTGTCAGAGTAGGTTTGTTTTGACTTTGTCATTGGGTCTAGAGCATGCGCTTACTCAAGGATGTGGTTCACAGTCCTAAAGCATAGCTTTTCTGGGGTTTCAGCCAACACCTGAGATGCTTAGGGAGGTATCTCCACTCTGGCTGAGCCAGTACTCCAGTTTTCCCATCACTGCATGAATTCTCACATGTCCTTTCAAGTACCTTTTCCTGTGCTTATTGGCCAGTTGTATATCTTTTTTTGTGACACGTCCTTGTCTTTTGCCTGTTTACAAAATCGAGTTATTAGTCTTATGCTGATTTGTAGAAGTTAATTATGTATTCTGGAAATGAGTCCTTTGTCAGATACATATACTGGAGATATGTTTTTCCAGCCTGTGACTTGAGTTTCTTAATGACTTTATTATAAGGTTTGTGGCTATGCTTATATTTGTCATTGATTTTTTTTTCTTTTTTTTTGAGACGAAGTTTTGCTCTGTCAACAGGCTGGAGTGCAGTGGTGTGATCTCTGCTCACTGCAATCTCCAACCTCCTGGGCTCAAGCGATTCTCATGCCCCAGCCTCCTGAGTAGCTAGGATTACAGGTGTGCACCACCACACCTGGCTAACTTTTTTTTTTTTGTATTTTTAGTAGAGACAGGGTTTCGCCATGTTGGCCAGGCTGGTCTTGAACTCCTGACCTCAAGTGATCCACCTGCCTCGGCCTCCCAAAGTGCTGGGATTATAGGCGTGAGCCACTGCACCCAGCCTGTCATTGATTTCTACTCTTGTTTTTATTATGTTCTTTCTTCTATTTACTTTGAATTTAATTTGCTCTGCATTTTTTAGATTCTGACTCTTAGATCTAGAAGCTTATGTCATTGCTTTTACACCTATCTTCTTTTCTAATAAAGGAATTGAAAGCAATAAATTTCCCTGTCAGCCCAGCTTTACCTGCATCCAGCAAATTTTGATATGCTCTGTTTTTTTAATCATTCAATTCAAAATATCTCAAAATGTGATCACCTTGCAGTTTATTCTCTGACCTATGAGCTAATTAGAAATGTATTGTTTAT
The DNA here is from genome assembly GCF_000001405.40 of Homo sapiens. Lineage (NCBI taxonomy): Eukaryota > Metazoa > Chordata > Mammalia > Primates > Hominidae > Homo > Homo sapiens. Next base: position 95,371,375 of record NC_000002.12, read on the forward strand.
TTCCAAATACTTGAGATTTTCTAAATATCTTGTCCTGAATTTTAACTTAGTACCATTGTGGTAAGAGTCTGTGTTCCAGCATCTGATATATATTGGTAACCTCAGGATATGCTCTTGAAAAGAATGTGTATCTACAATTATACAGTGTTCTATAAATATTAATTAGGTCAAATTGGTTGATGGTGTTTTTCAAACCTTTTATTTCGTCACTTGTCATACCATTTACTGGAAAGGGGTGCTAAAATCTTCCAATTATGATTGTGACTTTTTTGTTTCTCTCTTTAGTTCTGAATTTTTTGTTTTAGGTATTTTAAAGCTCTGTTACTAGGTGATGTCTGTTTTAGATTATTCTGCCTTCTTGATGAATTAATCCTTGTATCATTATAAAACATCCAGCTTTCTTAATGTTTTTCCATTCTTTTATTTTAAATCTTTTTTTTTTTTTTTTGAGATGGAGTCTCACTCTGTCACCCAGGCTGGAGTGTAATGGCGCGATCTTGGCTCACTGCAACCTTCGCCTCCTGGATTGAAGCGATTCTCCTGCCTCAGCCTCCTGAGTAGCTGGGATTACAGGTGCCCGCCACTGCACCCGGCTCATTTTTGTATTTTTAGTAGAGATGGGGTTTCACCATGTTGGCCAGGCTGGTCTTGAGCGCCTGACCTCAGGTGATCCACCCACCTCAGCCTCCCAAAGTGTTGGGGTTACAGGAGTGAGCCACAGCACCCAGCCTTAATATATCTTTGTATTAGGAGTATCCCTCTTGTAAACAGGATATAATTGGATCTTGCTTTTCCAGTCTGAAAAGTCTGCCTCTTAATCAAAGGATTCTTACCATCCATCCATCCATCCATCCATCCACGCTGCTGTGTGTACATCTGCTCCACGGCACAGTTCTCCCCAGTGTGCAGCCTCCATATTTTGCCTACCCATCCTGCCTGCCATAAACCCCTGAGTTGCCTCCAACTCTCCTGCCAAAAATGCTGTTGCTGTGAGCATCCTTGTGCAGGCCCCTGGGCAGGGGAAGAGTCTATGTGGGATGCTTGCCTGGCGTGGGATGCTGGTTTACAGGGTTTGCCTATACTTAATATGACTAAGGATTCGAGATACTACAGTATGTCTATATGGTGATGGGAATGATCCAGAAGAGGGGAAAAGGTGATGAGGAAAGAGTGGGAGACTTGGCTGGCACCGCTTGCCTGAGTAGGTGAGAGGGATCGGGACCCACTGCACAAGTGGCAGGTTTGCCTTTGCTGGGAGCAGGCACAGTTCAGCCATGGAGCAGGCAGGCGTGCAGACGTCTGGGCCAGGTGCAGGCAGGTGGGTAGGTGTGGGGTGAGGGCTTGGGGAAGTTTTCCTCCATGGCTTGTGTCTTCTCAGTGAAGTGGGAAGCAACCTGAGGGTAAGGATGGGAGAGGAGATACTGGAAACTTAAGGGGAAGGATGGTATGAAATAGTTATCTTGGAGATGGGGAGCATGTGTGGACCAAAGAAACAGCCCAATTGCTGAGCAGCTTTCAGGGTGCTCTTGTGGTTAGTGTGAGTGGGCAGTGCAGGCTGTCTTTCCCACCACGCTCTCGGGAGAGGCCTGGGTATGGAGCAAGCTCAGCACAGGACCAGTGCCCAGCACCATGCCAGGCACCACGGGCACAGGATGAGCTGTGCAGGACAGCTGCCCCTGAAGAGCTCACTGTGCAGTGGGAGAGGCAGCAGCCAGCACCAGAGTACCAGCCATGAGGGTGATTATGGATCACCACCATTCTGTGTGGCCCAGGGGAGACAGGGCGACGGTGCAGCGGGGCCCATGAGTCCTGGGTCTGTGGGAAGGTGGCGCTCTGTAATTATGCGAGGATGCTGCTCAGCAAGGTGTGGGCACTCAGTGCTGTTTCAGCCCTAGCTTTATTTTGCATTGTAAAAGTGATGCATGTCACACCAAAAGAAATTAGGAAAATGTTTTTTAAAATCATAAATAAAAAAGTAAAAATCACCTGAAATTGCACCTCCCCCTCAAATGTAGCCATGGTTAGTTAACAAGTTTGTGGTTTTTTTTTTTTTTTTTTTTTTTTTTGAGATGCAGTCTTGCTCTGTCACCCAGGCTGGAGTTCAGTGGCGCGATCGCGGCTCACTGCAAGCTCCGCCTCCCCGGTTCACACCATTCTCCTGCCTCAGCCTCCCGAGTAGCTGGGACTACAGGCGCCCGCCACCATGCCTGGCTAATTTTTTGTATTTTTATTAGAGACGGGGTTTCACCGTGTTAGCCAGGATGGTCTCGATCTCCTGACCTCGTGATCTGCCTCAGCCTCCCAAAGTGCTGGGATTACAGGTGTGAGTCACCGCACCCTGCCAAGTTTGTGTATTGTTTTTAAAGGACAGGTCTGATCCCTGCCCCCACAGCCCTGGAGGTTTAGCCTCCTAACCAGATGTGAATAACACCCCTCTGCCAACTGTAGCTGAACAGCATCGCCTTAGGCCTTGAGGGCCAAGGGAGGCACCCTCTCCATTCCTGGGGAAAGTCAGGGAGGGCCACATGGAGGAAGTGGTCTAGGAATTGGATACTGAAGTTCAAGTGTCCCTCATGCCTGTCTTGCTGTCTTTCCCCCTCCTATATCCCCTTGTTCAGTGCCTCTTTAGGACAAGAGCAGCTCCCACCTTGTCCCACTGTGCGGCTGACAGGGGGGCACACTGCAGGGGCTGCGATGGGGAGGCCCGCCCTGTGGGGGGCAGGAAAGCAGAGGCACAGCTCTTGTGTGGGCCACTCAGTCACACCCCCTCTGTGCAGTGCACAGCCTGTGTGGCTGTCCATGGTAGTCATGCAAAGAGAGTTCCTCCACCTGCTATTTTGGCCCATGCCCTGGCCACACTGGAGCAAGATGGAGGAGCAGGGCTACAGGCCTTACACTCTCTGGTCTGTGTCCCACTCCAGATAGCAGCGACAGTGAGCTGGAGCTGTCCACGGTGCGCCACCAGCCAGAGGGGCTGGACCAGCTGCAGGCCCAGACCAAGTTCACCAAGAAGGAGCTGCAGTCTCTCTACAGGGGCTTTAAGAATGTGAGTGTTCCCCATTCCCCCGGGAGAGGCCTTGGAGACCCTGGCTCAGGGAGACCTGGAAACTTCTCCATGCCACAGTAAATATCCCAGGGGCCTTTAAGGGGCTTATGTGTTGTGGGAAAGCTGTGTGGCGGGGGCAGGCTCCGGAATGGGCATCGCTGAGGCCGCCATGCTCCTCCCTCCGTGTCTTTGCTGCTGGTACAGAGGAGGAGGGTATGGGGGAGCAGTCACCCCCTTCCTATTCACCCCTCCTCCCTCTCACCCCACCTCTACCCAGGCTTTCCACAACCCAGGCCAGGGGGCCCCAGCAGTGCCACAGGCAGCAGGCAGCCCCCAAGGGGGTGGAGAGAGGCCAGCCAGGCACCATGCAGAGTCGGGCTTGGAGCTGGGGGTGGCCGAGGGCTGAGGGGGTGCCTTCCTGCTGCAGGAGTGTCCCACGGGCCTGGTGGACGAAGACACCTTCAAACTCATTTACGCGCAGTTCTTCCCTCAGGGAGGTGAGTCTGAGGCAGGGCAGCCCTGCTGTGTCCCAGTGTGGAGGGAGGGGACCCTCCTGCTGCCCCTTGCATCCTGGAGGCTTGGTGCTGCCCCTGTCCCGTGGGAAACAGGGACTCCAAGCCAGGACGCAGTTAGCACCCTCAGCTGGGGTTGCCTGGGGTGGGAGATGAGCCGCCAGGCAGCCCCGACACACCCCAGCCTCTTCCTTGCCCTCCCCAGATGCCACCACCTATGCACACTTCCTCTTCAACGCCTTTGATGCGGACGGGAACGGGGCCATCCACTTTGAGGTAGGTCCTCGCGGATTCCTCCCACGTGTCCTGCCCCTGTGGTTGCAGGAGTGAATCCTTACCCTGGCGTCACTGTCAGGGCTGTCGAGAGAGCCATGGTCCTGGGTGGGAAGGATCTTGTGAGTCACCCTGGGAATGAGTGGATGTGGCTGGCCCTGGGCCAGTGAGCTCTGGGGTGTTTGACTTTGCTGGGCCGGCACCACGTTCTCAGCCTTTTCTTCCATTTGAGAGTTTGCATCCAGCTCTGCCTGGTCAAGGGAGCCCCCGAGACACACACGGGTGGTAGTGACCCAGCGGGAATTTGCATTTTCAAAGGGATCAGGGCTTAACTCAGAGGCCTGGTTTGCTGACGGTGGGATGTGAGACCTCCATTTTCAGAATTTACTCCTTGTTACCCAGAAAATAGGCCAAAAATATCTAGAAAACATCCCAGCCGGAGCAGCCTCCAGGGCTCATCCCAGCTGGGCACTGAGAGCAAAGCCTGGTGTTACCCACTGGCGGAAGGAGAAGCCTGTCCCCCACCCAGACAGCTTCCCTGTGGGGTCCTGGCCTGGGCTCCTCCCCAGCCCCGCCACACAGGATCATTGGAGAGAGGCCCCATCTGCGGAGCCCAAGCCTCTAAAAATAGCTGCAGGCGAAAAGCTGAAACCGCTTTGGGGAGGAAAACCTTTCTGAGAGCCGGCTTGATCGATACCCCGACAGCTTGGCTTCCACTGGGCTAAGGGCAGCTAACAGGAAAGCACAGAGAAGCACATGGGGCCAGAAGGCCCCGGCCACACGGGGTAATAATAACTTGTCGATAAGCTGCGCGGGTTATTTTTATGCCGCAAGCCCGCCAGGCACACTGACGCTCCCCGCCTGCCCTGTGACCACAGGACCCCTCGACTCTGAGCCACACTCTGAGGGCTCTGCACATAGAAGCAGACCGTGTTTTCAAATCTTGTTTTCAGATTTGAAATACCAACCCCACAGCACACAGAAAACACCCGGTTAGCATGGAGGAGCCTCAGGGAGGACTCAAGGTCCTTTCCCTGCCCCTCTCTCCTGGGGTGCCCTTTAAGAGGCACCTGACACTTCAGGCAGTAAAGCATCTTTAGGAAACGGTGTAAGGGAGCAGGCGGGGTGCGAGTGGTTTTTCTTGTTCAGGAATGAGATGACTGAGAGGCTCGGCAGAGCCCCTGCTCATGGCAGTGCTCAGGAAGGTCACAGTCGCCCCTCACCTCCTGTGGCCATCACCCTCGCTGTCCTGAGGGACAGCCTTGTGGCCCTTTAAGGAAGCAGGTGGCAGCCCTCTGGGCTGGGTCTGTCAGTGGCTGTGCTGTGGCCCCTCTGCTGGGCACCTTCTCAGAAGATCACTCATCCCTGGCATCTTCCTGGGCCTTCTGCAGCTTCTCTGCACGTGAAACGAAGTCCTCTGGCTTCACGCAGGTACATTTACCTTGAGGAACTTCTCGATTTCAAAGTGTTCTGCTCTGGGAAGGAGGAGGGCACAAGCCCCCATGGCCCCATCCTGGGAGCCCCACAGACTGGGATCCCAGTGGTCACAAAGGATCCTGCCAGGGACGGAGGCACCAAATCTAGTCTGGAGAACACCGGGCCATCCTCACTGCCAGCCCTCAGAGCCTCCTACGTGCGTCTGTAATGCAAGGCAACCCTGCATGACACTGTCTGCAATGATTCTGTCCCTTTCTGTATATTCTTAGAGACAAGATGCATATTAGTTACAGTTTACTGATATGGTAAAAGGTAATACCCTCCCTCCGCTCACCAAAAAGAATAACCAAAAAGACCAAATCGGAAAACACACAGACCTCAACAGAGCCAAGCGGGCGATGCCATCCCCACACCCCACCTTGGAGTGGCTCCTGCTCCCATCCCCACGGACCTTCTGGGATTTGCCAGCAGCAGGGAGCCCCAGGTGAGCAGCGCCACACACAGATTTGCTGAACGCTCTGGCCACCAGGGCCTTTCTCGTGCAACTCATCTGGCTTGCCAGGACGTGCAGAGCTTCCAAAACGATTCCGTAGACTGTTGGGGCCTCTTCAGTGCCCAGGATCAAGTCAGGCCCAGTTTGGAAGTGGCAGCCAGGCAGGCATCTGGAGGTGCGGCCGCTTCTCTGTTACCTCCCCCGACAGTAAACTGCTCCATGTGCCAGTGGCCAAGCGGCATCCAGGGCCGTGTGAGGGCAGCCTGCAAGCCCAGCAACCACATGCGACTCCCACCCCCTCGCTGAGCACCTGCTCCGGGCTCTGCCGGGAGACCCTCCTGTGCACTCTTGTGCACCTTCACCTGGAAGTATGCTGTGTCACTGGAGCCCTCACCCTGCCTAGCCCCTGCCATGGGGACAGCCGTAGAACAGAGGCTGTGGATGTGACAGGGTTCCTACACTTTGGCATTCAGAGCATGGAGTTACAACTTGCCATGGTTGCACTGTGTATGGCCAAGGAATTTAGAACCAGCGTGCACTCAGACATGGGCTGGCTGGACTTGGGGTCATCTGTGTATTACCTTTATGAATGGAGACTAGCCAGTGGCCTAACAGGACATTCCCACCATCTCCTAGTACTGTCACTACTGTAGCCAACACACAGAGAGAGGCTAAGGGATACTGCATAGGGACATTCCTCAGCTGCTAGCAGCAGGCTCTGTGGCTGAACATGAGGGCTTCTCCGCAGCAGACAGACAGACCACCTGAGGGGCCCATGTCAGCTGAAGATAAGGTGGAGGACAGCGGTGCCTGCCCAGGGTCCCCAGGAGAACGGTGTGCTCCACGCCTTTGCTACCCACTAGGAAGGCCTGTCTGACCCAGGGCTTCAGGGATAACTTAGAATCTTCACTACTGTGTAAACCATGCCCAAGCTTCAGTGATTATTATTCCCTAAACTTGGGCATAGTAGAAATATAACAATGTTTCTCCTTGTTTTTTAATTTTTATTTTTTTTGTTTTATTTTTAGACAGGCTGGAGTGCAGTGGCACCACCATAGCTCATTGCAGCCTCGACCTCCTGGCCTCAAGTGATCCTCCTACCCCAGCCTCCCGAGTACCTGGGACTGCGGGTGCATGCCACCATGCCCAGCTAATTTTTTTATTTTAATTGTTGTAGATGCAAGGTCTCACTATGTTGTCCAGGCTAGTCTTGAAATCCTGGCCTCAAGCAATTCTCCTGTCTCAGCCTCCCAAAGTGCTGGAATTGCAGGTGTGAGCCACCACACCTGGGTGTTGCTTCTTTAAAATATTTTCATTGGCCGGGCTCGGTGGCTCACGCCTGCAATCCCAGCACTTTGAGAGGCCAAGGCGGTCAGATCACCTGAGGTCAGGAGTTTGAGACAAGCCTGGCCAACATAGCGAAACCCCGTCTCTACTAAAAATACAAAAAAAAAAAAAAAATTAGCTGGGCATGGTGGCGGGTGCCTATAATTCCAGCTGCTTGGGAGGCTGAGGCAAGTGAATCACTTTGAGCCCAGGAGTCAGAGGTTGCAGTGAGCTGAGATTGCACCACTGTACTCCATCCAGCCTGGGTGACAGAGTGAGACTCAATCTCAAAAACAAAAACAAAATATATATATATATACACACACACACACACATATATATATATACACACACACACACATATATACACACATATTTATATACACATATATATACACATATATACACACACACACATATATATACACACACACACATATATATATATATATTCATTGTCTTCAGTTATACACACACATGACTGGAGTCCAACACATTCGCAGGGTGCACGTTGGAAAACCAGCAGGTGACCACCACCTTGTCTGCTGTAGCCAGTCACCTGTGCTTGTTTCCATGTCCCCCAGAAGCTTGCTTCCACTTTTCCACCCCCTGCCACAAGTGAGAATTTGGGACTCCCTCAGACATACAACGTTCCCGTCCCCCCAGCCCCCCACCCATCCCCCAGGAGGCTGAGGTGGGAGGATCGCTTGAGCCCAGGAGTTCAGCTTTCCAACAGACTCTAGGCTTCAGGTTGGATAAGGCCTTGGTTTACTCTGATTTGTGAACTGGACCCCTCGCTGAGGCTTGTTGTCCATTGCGATGATCTTTTCCTTTCCTTTGCCTACGGTTAACATTGGTCCTGATGATTAGTTTGTCTGTGTTCTGTGACCTCATTATTCATTCAAGCCCAGGCCCTTCTCCAGTCATCTGAACCTGTTGCCCGGCATCTGCCAGAGGAGGCCCCCCCACCAGCCTCCCACAGCTCCATCCTCGCTGGGGCCTGGTGCCTCTGGGGCTTCCTCCCCTGTCTGCTGGGCTGGGCCTTCTGGTTCTGGGATCCCTGATCTGCCTTTCTCTTGCTTTACTCTCTGTGTGTTCAGGGGCTTACTGCCCAGCTGCTTCCTATAAAAGAGGATGTGAGCTGTAACTTTGGAGCGTTTGAGCACCTGGGAGTGTCTTTATTCTGTTTTTACTCTTGCTTGATCCATTGTAGGGACCAGCACCCCCAGGGGGAGCTGTTCTCCTTCAAAGTTGGGGGTCGCTTCGTTCCCTGGGCCTCCTGCCTCAGGCGCTGCTGCAGAGCAGGTGCCCCTGCTGACACTGACCCGTGATGGGTCCCGATTTTGCTTTTTCTGTTTGGCTTTGCTTTCCTCTCTGAAAGTTTATAGGATCCTCTGCACCCAATTTGCTGAAATTTCACCATGATCTATGCTTGCAGCTAAACTGCAGGCTGTTTTCATGCATTGTGCCAAGCCTTGGTGGACACTGGAAATCTCTGCTTCCATTCTGGGAAATCGTCTTTCCTGATTGCTCCTACCCACTTTCCTCTGTTTTCTCCCGTTCTTCCCGAACTGCCTGTGTCCCAGCATTGGCCCCTCTGGAGTGCAACTCTCATTATCCTCTGTTCTCCCCTATATTCCAGCTATTTGCCTTCTCATTCCACTTCATGGAAGATTCCATTTGCTCTCCCAACCTTTCTTTTTAAGTCTGTCATTTTGCTTTCTTATTTTTAATTTCCAAGAGCTCTTTCTTTTTTCCAGTTACCTCTTTTTTGGGACATCCTATTCTTATTTTAGTGATGGAAGATTTGTAATCTCTGAACCTAATAGTTGTTGTCAAATTTTTTTCTCCTGGGATAATTTTTGTTCTTCCAAATCGCTTTCCTCTGTCTCTGTCTCTCTCATGGTACAGACTTCTTCCAGTCCCGAAAATCTAACACTTGAGGGGCCTCGGGGCCTTGGTGCATGGCCCTGTCCCTTGCACTCTGACCGTCCTCTGTCCCACTTCGCTGGTACAGCCCCTTTCTCACCCCTTTCTTTCAGAGTAGCCTGGGAGGACCCCAGGGTGCAGGGAGGGTTTCACCTTTAAACCTTCCAAGAGGTAGGGGGAAAACCTGCTTTCTACCAACTGCTGTAACAAAACAGTTGAAGTTGTCACATGGAAACCATTTAAACAGCCATATTCTGTCATATTAGTAGTAAAGTTTCCCATGCCAAAGGCGATGGCCACACACAGCATGTCATGACTCAAGAGTTGAGCACCAGGTTTGGGCGAGGTGGCCCTGGGATTACACCTGTAATCCCAGCACTTCTGAAGCCCAAGGTAGGAGGATTACTTGGGGCCAGGAGTTGGAGACCAGCCTGGACAACATAGCGAGACCCCATCTCTATAAGTATAAAATAAATTAGCCAGGCATGGATTATTCCGAGTGGTCCCAGCTACTCAGGAGGCTGAGGTGGAGGATCGCTTGAGCCTGGGAGTTTGGGACTGCAGTGAGCCATGATGGCGACTGGTGACAGTCTGAGACTCTGTCTCTAAAAACAACAACAAACAAAAAGCTGAGCATCATTCCTCTAGCTATTTAATCTGGAAGTTTTCAAGCACCTTTGCCATGCAGATGCTTGGCAGAATAAACATAGAGCACCTCCTTTATTAAAAGAGTACCCCAGGCGTCTCCAGCGGCAGCACTGCATTAAATGGGTCTAGGACACCATATATATTTGAATATCTTTCTCTGGCATCAGTATCAGCTACCATGCCACTCCTGCCACACATGCAGACACATGCGCATGCACTCACACAGGTTCACACACTCACACAGGTGCACACACAGGTGCACACCCTCACAGGTTCACACATACAGATGCACACCCTCACACAGGTGCACACCCTCACACAAGTTCTCACACAGGTGCACACCCTCACACAAGTTCACACACACAGGTGCACACCCGTGCATGCGCTCACACACGGGCACACACTCACCCTGTGCTGACCTGAATGGATGCCGTCAGTCTCTTAGGGAGGCTCTGTGCCTGTTGGAGGCGTGAATTTCAGTGGAAGCCACACAGCAACTGGAACTAGAACCTGGGCATTGATTGGATGTCACGCCCCACACTCTCCTTTCCCCATAGGACTTTGTGGTTGGCCTCTCCATCCTGCTGCGGGGCACAGTCCACGAGAAGCTCAAGTGGGCCTTTAATCTCTACGACATTAACAAGGATGGCTACATCACCAAAGAGGTAGTAGGGGGCTGGGGGCAGGGATTGTCCCCTCCTCCCCTCCTGCTGCTCCACCCCTCCCGCCGCTCTTCCTCTCCCTGCTCCTGCTGCCCACCTGTCTTCTCCCGCTGTCCATCCAGAGACTGGCCCCAGGGACAGCAGCCAGTGGGCTCTCCTCTCCTGGGCTCGGTCCTGGACACCCCGGTGTGGAGTGTGGGTTCAGGTACCCTGTACCACACATCTCGGTCCAGCTCAGCAAGTGTTCTCGGTCATACTGTCTTACACAAAAGGCCTCGGGGAGATTTAAGTGGAGAAGCCAGAGGTCCTGGCCTTGGCCCCCATCAAGTGAAGGGGGCAGTGCGGTCCCTTAAGGCATGGGTGGAGAGGGGAGCCCTCGCACATGGGCCCACAGACAGGTTTTGTTTGGTCCAAGCACTTTTTCTGCTGCCGCGTCACATTTTGGAGATAAGCACATAGCAATCCATCTCCCACTTCTCTGGGAGATGAGCTTCCCCTAGAGTCAGAAGCTCGCTCTGGGTGCCCTGGAAGCGGACAGGCTTCTCTCTCCAGCTCGTCCGGCCCCTCGCACTCACTGCCTTGGAGGTGCCCTGCACCCTTGGATGCCGCCCGCTCCCTTTGGGCCCTCACAGCCACCCCGGCCTTGCAGCAGGCTCATGCCAGCCTCCCCCTCCAGGAGATGCTGGCCATCATGAAGTCCATCTATGACATGATGGGCCGCCACACCTACCCCATCCTGCGGGAGGACGCGCCGGCGGAGCACGTGGAGAGGTTCTTCGAGGTGAGCGAGCGCCAGCCCTGCCTAGGGAGGGGAGCCTGGCAGAGGAAGGGGCTCTCGCTTTTGGGGCCACCCCGGGCAAGTGGCTTGCCCCTCTGAGCCTCCCTACTCCCCATGAGGAGGTTAAACTTGCCCCTCCAGTCTGGCTGGTTGTCAGAACCCCTGAGAAGTGAACTACACCACTGCTCTGCCCTGTGGACCTCATCTGGGGGCCAGAGCTGGGGATCCTGAGGCAGCTGACCCTGGGCCGGAGCTCCATGCCTCCTGAGAGCTGTGTGGCTCCTCCAGGAAGACGCTCTGGGAGAGGAGCAGGTTGGGGGCCTTCACCTGTATGCATGGCGGCTGCAGGGGCTGCAGGCTTTGCCTCCTACTTGCTGGGGCCACTAGACATGGGCCATCCTGTGACTCAGTTGCTCCCTCTGCCCTGGCTGCCTCTCAGGGAGGTGAGGCGGTCAGATGAGCATGGGGACAAATTCTGGGAAACCCAAGCCCAGGAGGGCTCAGGGAATTGGCCTAGGGGAGCAGTGGGGAGATGCTTGGAGCCTCAGCAGTTGGTTGGGAGGTGGCTATGAAGGGTGGATTATGTGGCCTGGATCCAGAGTAGTCACAGGGGACAAGTTAGAGTGGAGGGAGCCCACCCGCCCATCCACCCACCCGCCCATCCACCCACCCATGACTTCTGCGTCCTCAGGCCAGGGGCGGGGCTGTCTCTGCTGGGGCACAGACTCACTTTGGGCATGGCTTGGGTTGCAGAAAATGGACCGGAACCAGGATGGGGTAGTGACCATTGAAGAGTTCCTGGAGGCCTGTCAGAAGGTAGGTGGCACGGGAGGCTGGGCCACAGTTCTCTGCAGGCTCTACACGGAGGTGGGTGGTTGGCAGCGTCTGCCCCTTCCCTCACCCCAGTCCCACCCCTGCCAGTCCAGGATGTGGCAGCTGTCCTTGGCCCCTTGCCACCTCCTGGACAGCCCCAAGCTCCACTTGCCCTCTTGTCTGAGTCTCCTCCTCCCCACCCACCCCTGCAGCCCACAGCATCCCCCCACTACCCCCACACCCTCCCTCAGCCCAGTCCCTGGAGAACCTCAAGTTAGGGGCAGACATGGGGCCAGCCAGAGGGAGAGGGTCACCGTGGGGAGGCACCAGAGCTTCCGCAGTGTTGCTGCTGGCCCTTCCAGAGAGCACCTCAGGGGGCAGGATGCTGGGCCTCCAGCGCCTCTATTGCCCCACTCCCAGAGCAGTCCTGGTTAGCGCCCACCTCCTCTGGAGGCCAGCCGGGATCGCCTTCATCAGCTCATCCCAGATGGGCTTGCAGTCAGGAGTGGGGTTGAAGACAGGCTGTGCCTCACCAGCTGGGGACCTCGGACCAGCTACTTCACCTCCCTGTCCCCCAGCTCCCTGCACCCAATAAGACAGACAGACAGGCAGTCGCTGCAGGCTCCGAGTCCCTGGCGGGAATCTGCTCAAGGGGGTCGGATTTGGAGCCCACCCAGCACCTGAAGGCCTCCCTTCCTCTCTCCATGCAGGATGAGAACATCATGAGCTCCATGCAGCTGTTTGAGAATGTCATCTAGGACACGTCCAAAGGAGTGCATGGCCACAGCCACCTCCACCCCCAAGAAACCTCCATCCTGCCAGGAGCAGCCTCCAAGAAACTTTTAAAAAATAGATTTGCAAAAAGTGAACAGATTGCTACACACACACACACACACACACACACACACACACACAGCCATTCATCTGGGCTGGCAGAGGGGACAGAGTTCAGGGAGGGGCTGAGTCTGGCTAGGGGCCGAGTCCAGGAGCCCCAGCCAGCCCTTCCCAGGCCAGCGAGGCGAGGCTGCCTCTGGGTGAGTGGCTGACAGAGCAGGTCTGCAGGCCACCAGCTGCTGGATGTCACCAAGAAGGGGCTCGAGTGCCCCTGCAGGGGAGGGTCCAATCTCCGGTGTGAGCCCACCTCGTCCCGTTCTCCATTCTGCTTTCTTGCCACACAGTGGGCCGGCCCCAGGCTCCCCTGGTCTCCTCCCCGTAGCCACTCTCTGCCCACTACCTATGCTTCTAGAAAGCCCCTCACCTCAGGACCCCAGAGGGACCAGCTGGGGGGCAGGGGGGAGAGGGGGTAATGGAGGCCAAGCCTGCAGCTTTCTGGAAATTCTTCCCTGGGGGTCCCAGGATCCCCTGCTACTCCACTGACCTGGAAGAGCTGGGTACCAGGCCACCCACTGTGGGGCAAGCCTGAGTGGTGAGGGGCCACTGGGCCCCATTCTCCCTCCATGGCAGGAAGGCGGGGGATTTCAAGTTTAGGGATTGGGTCGTGGTGGAGAATCTGAGGGCACTCTCTGCCAGCTCCACAGGGTGGGATGAGCCTCTCCTTGCCCCAGTCCTGGTTCAGTGGGAATGCAGTGGGTGGGGCTGTACACACCCTCCAGCACAGACTGTTCCCTCCAAGGTCCTCTTAGGTCCCGGGAGGAACGTGGTTCAGAGACTGGCAGCCAGGGAGCCCGGGGCAGAGCTCAGAGGAGTCTGGGAAGGGGCGTGTCCCTCCTCTTCCTGTAGTGCCCCTCCCATGGCCCAGCAGCTTGGCTGAGCCCCCTCTCCTGAAGCAGTGTCGCCGTCCCTCTGCCTTGCACAAAAAGCACAAGCATTCCTTAGCAGCTCAGGCGCAGCCCTAGTGGGAGCCCAGCACACTGCTTCTCGGAGGCCAGGCCCTCCTGCTGGCTGAGGCTTGGGCCCAGTAGCCCCAATATGGTGGCCCTGGGGAAGAGGCCTTGGGGGTCTGCTCTGTGCCTGGGATCAGTGGGGCCCCAAAGCCCAGCCCGGCTGACCAACATTCAAAAGCACAAACCCTGGGGACTCTGCTTGGCTGTCCCCTCCATCTGGGGATGGAGAATGCCAGCCCAAAGCTGGAGCCAATGGTGAGGGCTGAGAGGGCTGTGGCTGGGTGGTCAGCAGAAACCCCCAGGAGGAGAGAGATGCTGCTCCCGCCTGATTGGGGCCTCACCCAGAAGGAACCCGGTCCCAGGCCGCATGGCCCCTCCAGGAACATTCCCACATAATACATTCCATCACAGCCAGCCCAGCTCCACTCAGGGCTGGCCCGGGGAGTCCCCGTGTGCCCCAAGAGGCTAGCCCCAGGGTGAGCAGGGCCCTCAGAGGAAAGGCAGTATGGCGGAGGCCATGGGGGCCCCTCGGCATTCACACACAGCCTGGCCTCCCCTGCGGAGCTGCATGGACGCCTGGCTCCAGGCTCCAGGCTGACTGGGGGCCTCTGCCTCCAGGAGGGCATCAGCTTTCCCTGGCTCAGGGATCTTCTCCCTCCCCTCACCCGCTGCCCAGCCCTCCCAGCTGGTGTCACTCTGCCTCTAAGGCCAAGGCCTCAGGAGAGCATCACCACCACACCCCTGCCGGCCTTGGCCTTGGGGCCAGACTGGCTGCACAGCCCAACCAGGAGGGGTCTGCCTCCCACGCTGGGACACAGACCGGCCGCATGTCTGCATGGCAGAAGCGTCTCCCTTGGCCACGGCCTGGGAGGGTGGTTCCTGTTCTCAGCATCCACTAATATTCAGTCCTGTATATTTTAATAAAATAAACTTGACAAAGGAGAGGGATTCCTGTTGGCTTTATCCTAGCTCTGAACTTCAGCTCAGCTCTTCCCACCCCTGCTGCCATTAGCCGTGGATCCTGCCTGGTGCTGTGCTGGTAAATGTTTGACAGCTGGCTCTGGGGGCAGAGAATGCCGCTCAAATTCTCAGGCTCACAGTGTGACCTCACTGAGGCCGAGTGAGGCCGAGATGCACACAGTGGGCCTTTGTGGCCTTCATGGGAAGCGCCAGCCCTGCAGCCTCCGCACAGACCCCACAGGGCAGGAGGACTTCTTCCTGAGGCACCATGTGTATTTCACCCCCAGATAATTTTTCTTTCCCAGTTCCAGGAAGTCATTCTGGGTGTCCCCTTGGCTGGAGAGTGAGGGTCACGGGGCAGAAGAAAGCAATATTTGCCTGAACACATCTCCTGGTGTTTATTTTCAGAAGTATAAGCCCTGTGAGGACAATGCCAGGGAAGGGACAAGAATGAAAGCCTGGGAGGAGGGAGGAGGAGGGTTCCCCAACTCACCAGTTCAGATTGAAGAAATCCAAACACGTTCTAAGCAAGTGAGATAAAAGGGAACTCACCTAAACACGTTACGGTGAATTGCAGAACACCAAAGACAAAGAGATGGCAAAGACAGCCAGAGACAGATTGCCTGCCAGCTCTCCTCAGTGACAGTGATGCGGAAAGACGGGAATGGCATGTCCAGTTTGCCAAGAGAAAAGTAACTACCAACCTGGAATTTTACACCAGGCAAATAAAATATTTTCAATGTGGCATGGTGGCTCACGCCTGTAATCCCAGCACTTTGGGAGGCCGAGGTGGGTGGATCACCTGAGGACGGGAGTTCAAGACCAGCCTGGCCAACATGGTGAAACCCCATCTCCACTAAAAATACAAAAAATTAGCTGGGCATGGTGGCGAGTGCCTGTAATCCCAGCTACTAGGGAGGCTGAAGCAGAAGAATTGCTTGAACCTGGGAGACAGAGGTTGCAGTGAGCCAAGATGGTGCCACTGCACTCCAGTCTGGGGAGGAATAGACTCAAAAAATACATAGTCTCAAAAAATAAATAAATAAATAACTTAGGAGACTTTGCCACCAATAGATAATAGAGAAAAGGGCTTTACTTCATGTGGAAGCAAGGCGATCTCCCAGCTAAAAGTTCCAAGATGCAAGAAGCATGAAGGGTGTAGACAGCAGTAAATATTAAGGGAATCTAAAGAAATGCAATGTTACTTACAAAAATAGTAAAAAAAAATCAGCATAATTTCCAAAAATAGCTAATGCCATATTTCTAGCCTCACTGCTCTCCCAGACCTTATCGCTTCCTCATCAAGAGATGGAGACTAGTTTTCCTGCCCTCAAAACTCAGTAGGACTTCATGTGACTGTCTTGATGAATAGAACATGGCAGAAGTGAGGCTCACTCACTCACATGCGTGATAGCCGGTGCTGCTGGCAGTAAGCGGGAACATCAGTTGGGGTTGTTGGCAGGAAACATATATGGGCTCTCCATGTGGCCTGGGCTTCCCTACAATGTGGCAGCTAGGTTCCGGTTCCCAAGGGCAGGTGTCCTAAGAGAGAACCAAGCACCAGCCGTATTGCCTTTGATGAGCTAGCCTCAGAGGTCAAGCTGCATCACTTCTTCCACGTTCTAGTCAACAAGAGTCACATGAAGTCCTACTGAGTTTTGAGTGTAGGAGAACTAGTCTCCATCTCTTGATGAGGAAGTGATAAAGTCTGGGAGAGCAATGGCGCTAGAAATATTGCATTAGCTATTTTTGGAAATTATACTTTTTTTTTTTTTTTTACTATTTTTGCAAGTAACATTGCATTTCTTTATATTCCCTCAATATTTACTGCTCTCTACGCCCTTCATGCTTCTTGCGTCAGCCTCAAGCACACAGGACAGACAGAAGCTCCCCACGCACCCTTGTGACATAGTCACCCATCTGCCACAACACAAACCCCAGTTCACCATTCACCAGCTGTGTGACCTTGGGCAAGTCACACAATCTCTCTATGCCTCGGTTTTCTCATCTGTAAAACAAGCACAAGGAGAGAGCCTGCATTACAGAATCCGGCTTAGATGAGCACAGGATGTTCAGATACCACATCCAGCTCCAGCAATGGGTGGACCATCTCATGGCCTGGCTTTTGGGAGCGGACCATTCCCTGCCCCAGAACTGCTTCTGCGAAACGCGGCTGCCCTCTGCCTCGATTCTCTGTCATGTGCAGCATCTTCTCTCCGTTAGGGCACACTCCCACCTCCCCCAGAGGAGTTGACTGGACTGAAGATGGCCCTTTCTGCTGGGCATGTCTTTCCCCTGCCAAGCCTTTCAATGGCCCATGGATTGGCTTCCCATGGGACAGGGTCGGGGCTGGTCCAATCCGCTCTGGGAGCCAGCACTGTGCGGCTCCCATCCAGACATCAACGCAGAAGTCTGGGTGGGAAAGGGGCAAAGGCAGGGGAGTCCTCTTGCTCCCCTCACCCTGCCCTGAGGACAGAGTAGAGCTGTGTCCCCAGTCCACATCCCAGGTGACTGCTTGACATATGCCATGTCTCTAAAGCCTTGTAGCATCTAGGGCGCAGGGCAATGCTTCCATTCGGGAACTTTCTGTGTCATCTTGAGAATGTCAGTTTACCTTGCTGAGCCTCGGTTTCCCTTATCTGTAAAATAAGCAACGACAACACAAAACTCCTCTGCTAGGGCTGGTGTGATGATTTCGCATGCACATCTACTCGTCTCTTAATAAACACGGGCGTCCCTCCTTCCTAGCCACTGACGTGTGCCTGCATCTCTCCCTTTTTACGAAATGGTGACTCACACCCATAAGCCATCAGAGAGCGGACAGACATTTCAGGAGTTTCCAGGTATTGGAAACAAATCCGTGCTGGTCCCCAGTTTTCCTGGTAACCCCAAGGCCCGTGTGAGGACCAGCAGGCTGAGGAGGGGTAGTCTGGGCCATCGGGCCACAGCAGGCCACTCTCACTGCGCGGAAATAGGGAGGGAAGAGGGCCCAGAGCTGGCGCTGGCACCCGTGGGCCTGGCCTGTCTCATTCACCCCAACAAGGGCCCTCTCGACAGCGTAGGGTGGGAAAGGCGGGTCCAGAGACGGTGGCCAGCGTGCCCACACCCTCCCCGTTGTGCCCTGTAGCACAGCTTTCCAGAGAATTGGCCGCTCGGGTTTAGAAGGTCCCAGGCTTCTCGGCTGCAGGAGAGATTTCGCAGGAGACAGGAGTGAGGCGTTCGAGTGCTGCGTCCCCCACTGACCGCCAGGGGGCGACTGGGCCCCACCGCGGCCTCCAGCTCCTTCAGTCCTTCGGCCCGAGGAAGCTCCTTGGAGGGAGCTTGTCATTTCCTTCACAGCCCCAAATACACGTTCCTATTTCTGCCTCACTCTCCACATGGTTTGCCCCCAAAACTGAATGTATCAAGTAACGAGCGCACCGAGTGCACCAAGCTGGGTGCTGGGGACAGGCATGACGCGTGCCCCGGCCTAATTCCCCGGGGCGCTCCTAAGAAGCCTGCACGTGACCCGCTAGGCTTTCCGGACCGGACCGAAGACAGCTTGCGAACCCCACTCACACCCTTCACAGGCCCCTGTCGGGTCCGGAAGGCAGGAGACAGCGGCCTTCCAGGAGCCCACGGAAGGAGACCCTTGCAGATAAATGAGGCTCACAGACCTGGACTTTGGCAGGACCACGGCCTGCCCCAGGGAGGTGGAGACGTTTCTGCACTCTCTAGGGACTCTGTGGTCCCTAACCTGTGCCCCGTGGCCCCGAACCCTCAGGAACACCAACACCGTCCTTCAAGTTCACAGCCACCTCCCAGGCTCCCGAGGCTGCACAGTGCTTCGCCCTCCCTGAGCCTAATCATTGCGTCTTTGCTTCGGGCGAGGCTTTGACCTTCACTCCCCACGCCTTCCAAGCGCTGTGTTCCCAGCTCTAGGCAAGGCAGGTGCCATTCTCCATTTATTAAACACCTTCCACACACAGGGCACAGTTGCATCTTGAGTCCACACGGAAGAGGCCGCAGTTCCTGCTGTCAGGAAATTCAAGTCTTGTGGGGACAGCAGAAGGCAGTGAGAACAGGCCCTGATGGTGATGGGGTGATGCGGGAAGTGACCTCAGGGCACAGGCTGGAGATTGCACTTGTGGGGATGCGATGGATGGCACATACATCCCCTAGAACTGTGAATAGAATAGGAGTGAGCAGAACCTTCCTTGGTGTGGGACATGTCTCCCATGTGTTCAGATCACTGTGGAGCCTTTGATCCCCATCACCTGCCCTGACTTTCTGGCAGACGCATTCCAGGCGGAGTTGTCTAGAGTGAGTAAGGCTTTGACACCTACTGTGGAGGACCTCTCTGACCCAGTTCTGCCCTCCTCCAAAGGTGGTTCTTTGATCTGTTCATTGCCCTCATCAACCTTCTGTGTCCCAGACAAGCCCCCAAGTCCAGAGGCACTGCTGCCAGCCCAAAGTAGGTACTGGGCCCTCCCCCAGCCCTCTGGCCCTCTCACCTGGGTCCCAGCCCCTTGGGTTAGGGGCCTACCAAAGGCTGGGCATTCCTGGAGAGGAAATCACTGGTCATGTGTGGGCCAGCTGCGGTGGCCTGGACTTTGTCCCAGCCACCTGATTGCCAAGGGAATGTGCAGAGTCCAGCTCCCTGCAAGGTGAGCTTCACAGGGGTCAGAGATTGGGAAAGAGAGTTGGGGGCTGGGGAGAGGTGGGGCCCTGCTTCACAGGGAAGGGGATCTGAGGGCCGGTGACAGAGCCAGCATGGCCAGGAGTAACCTCATGCCTGTGTGAGGCCAAGATGGTACCAGGAAGAAACTCTCCCCACCCCACCCACACCCCCGCCACTCAAACATCTCATGGATCTAGAAGGGGAACATACGGGTCTTGTTCGCCTTTGGCCAGAGCTGAGAGGTCCTGGCGAAGGGGCTGTGTAGCGGGCGGGGACCTGTCAGGAAGGCCCTGTGTGGCCCTGGAAGGGAGTCAGCCTCCTCCTGCACAGCGCCAGAGTGCAGCCATCTTTAAGTGGTGGTGGCAGCACTCAGTGGACCACCATTGCCTCCCCTGCCCACCCCCACCCGACTGCTGCCTGGCCACCGAGGGCCATCAGTCTTAGCACTGGGCTCCATGCCAGCCCTGCGCACCTTTCTGTTCTCTCTGTTCCTCAAGCAGGAAACCCGGCTTCTCTGGAGCTCACCAGGCCCAGCCATACCTGCCTTTGCTCCTGCTCTTTGACCCGTGCACAGAGCTCCCTCTGTTCAGCTCTTGACCAGCTTTGAACATAATCAAACCCTCCACGGATAAAGGATCTATGTCTACCCCATCCCTCTGCCTGAGATAAAAGGCCCCCAGGAACTTCTCTCTTGCTTGTGGCCTTGGGCACCATGAGGGCAAGGAGGAAGGTCTCCTGACCGAGCACCACTCTTCTGCCTCCCCAGCCTCCTCCCTCTTCTACTGCCAGTAGCCCCCAGTCTCACTGGGGGACCCCTCCTCCATTCTCCATCCATGAAGCCTTGGAGTCAGCCCTCACCTCCAAGGAAAAAAGAGCAAGGCCAGGCCTAAGCCACTGGGTGCATTGCCCCCCTCGGGTCATAGTGATTGGTGGAGGGGCGGGCACATGACCTGATTATCGTCATTAAGGCCCAGGGAGACCTTTGCTGGGAAGGCTGGGAAAGATGCTCCCTCCTCCCCCATCTCTGAAGCTGCAAAGGTGTGAGTCCTGGAGCTGTTGCTGCCATTTTGTCACTGTGAGGAGCCATGGAAGGAAGCCAGCAAGGGAAGTCCTCACTGAGAGGAAACAAAACCTGGGAGAGCATCAGCCCTGCAACTGCACCTGAAGCCACCTCCTTCCAATCGCTGGACTATTCACTTATGCGAGCCAGTGGGGAGGCAAGACTCAGCCAGTGCTGCTGAAGTGAAGGTCACAGGGAGGGAGGCCCTGGCAGGGCTCCCAGGGAGGGGCCAGGCACAGGGCCCTGAGCCTTTGGGGTCGTGAGGCCAGCTGTGGGGTTACACCAGGGTTGAAGGCTCTTAGAGATATATCTGCTGGCAGGCTGCCTGCACTGGAGGGCCTCAGCCTGGGCACCCACCCCAGCCCAGCCCCTCCTCCATGTACTTTCCTCTCCCGAGCTCTCCTGGCTGTGTCCCAACCCAGGAACACAGCATGTGACGCCAGGTGGCACTTTTTCCCAGTTTTGAAAAATCACTAAATACAGTAAAACATCCAGAAACTAAAAATAAGGCCCCAAGGAGCCAGGCATCCGTTATTTCCTGACAGCCAACCAGGATTTAGAAATCCGCAAGTTTCTTGCTTTGTTGACAAACTTTCCCAGCAGAAAACTTCCCAAGTAGGTAGAAGTGTGTTCTGGGCAGAGCAAATGGGCCCCAGAGGAGAAGAATCACTGGTCTCCTCCTTTCACCCCCACCGTGCCCCCACCCCATTCCCTGCCCACTCCAGGGCCCCATTCCTGCTGCCCCTGCAGATGTGGAAAAAGCGACAAGACACTGTTTGGCAGGGACAACCATCTATCCCATCTATCCCACCCGATCCCCCGTCTGCCCATTGCTTCATTCATTGAAACAAAAACCAACAAAAAATAAGTTGTGCACCCAGCACTGTGCCAGGGAATGGGGATAAAATAGCAGAATACCTGCAAAGCCTTCCCTGGTGGAGCCTATACTTTTTCAGAGACAAGACGTTAATAAATTAAATCCTATGAAAAGTATAAATTTACACCCGATGTCATGATCAGGAAGATGAGGCCTATGGTTTGATGAGAGCTTTGGGCCAGGCGCCATGACCTGGGTGCTCCACCAGGGAGCAGCCTTTGAGCCCAGCTTGCAGGATGAGGAGGAAGGGGCTGGGGAAAGGGGTGAGGGATGGAAGGGAGACAGCACTGCCAGGGGCTGTGGCCAGATCCCAGGCACAAATGCTGGGGAAATGGGAGAGGCCCACAGGGCAGAGCCACCCTGAAGGTGTTGGCCTCAGCCTGAGAGCAGCACAGAGCCACTGAGGAGTATTAAATTAAATTGGTGTTTGAAAACCCCACTCTGACTGAAACATGGACACCAGATTGGAAAGGACCCGAGTGGATGCAGAGAAACCAGAGAGGAGGCTATTCTGTTTAGCTATTGCCACATAGCCACTGAGCTTTATCACATGTCACAAGGCCGGGGCTTGACTGGGCCCACTAGGTGATTCTTGGCACGGTCTCTCAAGCCGATTGCAATTAGATAGCAGCTGAGGCAGAAGTCAATTGATAGTTGGAGTGTTCATGGCCAATAGGCATGAGCTGTGGAGCCTCTGGAAGGCACTAATAGAACCATCACAGCTGGACTGCTAGGATTGTGGAGCCAGTCTAAACCGTCTCCTGGAGACAATCACTCTTATTTTGAGAAACAGCCTCTTGCTTTGCTGTTGGGCTTTGGTAAAGACTGAAAACCTAACCATGGGCTGTCAGGCGACCACATGGCCTGAGCTTCCTAAAACAATCTGTATTGTCTGACCCACCTAGTCATAAGCTGGACGTGCCATCAAGTGGTAGTGGCAGATAAGAGCTGGAGCTCAGGCAGTGGGGAGGGGATAGCTAAGCTGCAGGAGCAGGTGGCTCAGGTTCTTTTGATGGCAAGTTCAGTTGCATTGCTTCCTCTCCCTCCATCCCTGCCTATGGCTTTCTGCATGTTCTTTAGGATCAGTTTACTGAGGAAGAAGAAACTCAAGCAAGACTTACTAATGGATCTGTACAATCGGCCTATACCACCCAAAAGTGACAAACTGCACATGGCAGCCCCACTCAGGGATGACTCTGAAGGGCAGTGGTGAAGGAAGTCCTCCCATTAGATAGAACTTTAAGCAGTATATTTGGCTGTCTGGAGTAAGAGATGGCGGAAAGTATGGTGGCAGGAATGGGGTCTATGCATGGTCTCAACTATGTGGATTTCCCCTTCTCAAGGTGGACCTGGCTGACGCTACTGCTCAGACTCAGTCAGCCAACAACAGAGACCAATGTCAAGTCCCTGCTATGGCACCATTCCCCATGGAAACTGGCCAGCCACCTGGTGTCAGGTTGATTACACTGGACCTCCTCCATCATGGAAGAGGCAGAGGTTTTCCCCGATAGGACACATATTCTAGAGGGTTTCAACTTCCCTGCCCAGCATCGTCTATGGACTATAAGAAGCGGGAGTGCTTCTCTCACGAGTACATCTAATAACCTCACTTACAGCAGTTTTGTTTCTTGTCCTGGCCACTTTGAGCTCTGCTGGCTTGGAGATATTAGTACTCAAAGGGACAGTGCTTCCCCCAGGAGACAGAGAAGTTAAGACTGCTTCCTGGTCATGTTGGGTTCCTTATGCCACTGAATCAACAGGCAAAACAAGAGGGTTGATCCAGTGGCTGCAGCGATGGGTCGATCCAGTGGCTGCAGCGATGGGTCCTGATGACCAAGGGGAAAATTTGGTTCCAAGGGAAATATGGTTGCTACAATAGATGCAAGATTCCAGCGAGTTTCACCAGTGTAAAACTACAGCATCCTGTCTGCCGTCTCCAGCGAGATCTGGCTCTCATGGTCTGTGGGGTGGGAGCTTCTTCCTTGGGTGCTTCCTTGTATCTTAGGAGTTTGGCTGCTTTTTTTTTTTTTTTTTTTGAGACAGGGTCTCCCTCTGTACCCCAGGCTGGAGTACAGTGGCGTGATCATGGCTCACTGCAGCCTCAATCTCCCTGCCTCAAGTAATCCTCCCAGCTCAGCCTTCTGAGTAGCTGCAACCACAGATGCACACCACCATGGCTGGCTAATTTTTTTATTTTTTATTGTAGAGACAGGGTCTCACTATGTCGCCCAGGCTGGTCTCAAACTCCTGGGCCCACGAGATCTTCCTGCCTTGGCCTGCAAAGGGCTGGTATTACAGGCATAAAACACCACGCCCAACTTGGCTGCTCCTTATATCTAGTTCTTCCTTAGTCCTTAGAGTTCTCTTTACTTGTTACCAGCCTATCCCTCATGGCTCCAATCCCCTGTCATAGTTGCTACTTCCCTGTATTAAACTCAGTCTGTTCCAATCCCTGTGTGATTTCTCTCTCCTGATCAGACCTAGACTGATGCACTGTCCTGAGAGCCAGGAGGCAGCTGGGTCACTGATTAGAACCTAGTTGTGATGAACTGGATTGTGCCCTCTCCTCATCCACATGTTGAAGTCCTAACCCCAGTACCTCAGAATGTGACTGGATTTGGTGATAGCGCCTTTAAAGAGGTAATGCAATTAAAATGAGGGCTCTAGGGTGGGCACTAATCCAACCTGATTGGCATCCTTATAAGGAGAGGAAATTAGGACACATAAAGAGACACAAGTGCCATGTGTGCACAGAGGGACAACCATGTGCAGAGGCAGCCAGGAGACAGCCACCTGTAAGCCAAGGAGAAAGGCCTCAGAAGAACCCAGCCCACCGACACTATGATCTCAGACTCCTGGCCTCCAGAACTGAGGTGACAAATTGCTGCTGTTTAAGCCCCCCAGGCTATGGTACTTTTTGCAGCAGCCAAGCAGGCTGACAGGCTAGCTGTGGAAGGAATGCAGGGTCCTTCCCCCATACTCTACTTGTCAGAAGTGAATTGCTAGGTTCCGCCCGCAATAAAGGCAATGGACATGGAAGACATGTCAAATAATTTGAGGACATGTTTTTAAATCACCACAGAGGCCATAGTGGGAGTGCAGCCAGCAGGGTCAAATAGCGTCTTGGCCTGGATGGTGGGAAGTCTATTGGTTCAGATGATGTGGGGAGGTAAAGTTGCCAGGATGTGAAGATGCAAATGGGAATGACGTGGGGAAACGGCAAAGACTGAATTCTGGCTTGGGGTCTGCCCAGGTGGATGGTCAGAGGATGCCATGACATCCTCTGAGATACAGAAGAGGACCACATTTGATGTGGAAAAATCATGAGTTCATGTTGAGCTTGTGGTGCCTTTGAGACATCAAAATGAAAGTGTCCAATAAACAGCTGAGTTTATGGAGATGGACACATGTGAGTCTTCTTTCTGTACGTGGCAACTAAACCATCAAGCCTGTAGTTGATGTTGTGAAAATGTGGCCTGAGGGATCCTACTGAGTGAGAAGAGACATAAGTACCGTGCTTTGAGAGGCAGCAACATTTATAGGTTGGATGGAGGAGAGTGAGTCTGAAAAATGACTGAGATAGAGGAGGAAAATTCAAGACAATGTGATATGATGGAAGACCTATCAATAGAGACTATGTTTGGCTGCAAGTAACAGGGATCCAGAATAATAGTAGCTTTTAAAACCATAGATTTGTTTTTTCTCTCTTGCATAAAAGGCCAACAGAGCATTGTTTGGCATTGGTTTGGCAGCTCAACAATCCTCAGGGATCCAGCTCCTAGCTCCGGTAACCTGTCACCTCAAGGCCAGAGATGGCCCTTCATGCTCCAGCCATCACATTCACATTTCAGCCAGCAGAAAGAAAGAAGGGTGAAGAGTAAGGGACTGCGGATTCTTTTTAAATAATTCCTTTAACTCCCAAACTTTTCTATTTAGATCTTGCTAACCAGACTAACTCTCATGGTCTCATGTAGCCTCAAAGCATGACTGAGAAATGAATCTCTCTATTCTATGCAGCCACATATCTAGCAAATAAATGGTGTTTTACTGCTGAGGAAGAGGGAAAGAAAGAATACTGGAGGGCAACCAGTCACCTCTGCTGGGAAGCCATGGGAAGGCAGTATTTAAAGCACAGGGAAATGGCCCAGAGAGGCCAAGAGTGCTTAGAGGTAATGATAAAAAGTGTCTTTTGAGCCGGGCATGGTGGTGGGTGCCCCTGTAGTCCCAGCTACTTAGGAGGCTGAGGCAGGAGAATCGCTTGAACCCAGAGGCGGAGGTTGCAGTGAGCTGAGATCGCGCCACTGCACTCCAGCCTGGGTGACAGAGCGAGACTCCATCTCAACAACAACAACAACAACAAAAGTGTCTTTTGGTCTTAGCACCATGGAAATCACTGGGGACTTAAGTAAGACTTGTTTCAGTGGAAGGATGGGGGCAAAGGTCAGATCAGGATGAATGAGGAATGAATGGGAGACAAGGAAATCAAAGCGAAGATTCATATGGGAATTAAGCTCCTGTAGGAGACTTTCCAAGGAAGGTTGGTGAGCGATGTGGGAGGGGCAGCTGGAGGGAAGTGGGGCCAAAGAAGAGTTTTGCTTGGTTTTGTTTAAGATAGAGAGATCTGAGCATGGGGGAAGGACGTGCAGAAGAGGCAGAGCCCTGCTCAAGAGGAATACGGGGTAATTCTCAGTGTAAGGCAACCAAGGTGCAGGGGCTCCTGCACAGGACTTGAGGCCTGGAAAGGGGTCGTTCCTCATCAGCGGGGCTAGCACATGGCAGGTGCCGGTGTGGAGGGTCTGAGGGCATGGGAGTAGGAAATGGAGGGCATTCACCCCAAGTGAGGGCTTCTGTTTTCTCTGTTAAACATGCGAGTTACCAACCAGAGCGAGGGTGAGGCAGAGAGAGGAGCAAGCCGCCTGTGGGGCTGGGCGTGCATTGAGGCAGTGACAAAGAATTCATGGCAAAACCAACCCACATCATAAGGGTGGCCATAGAGAAAGCAGGGTTCAAAAGCTTTTATTTCCCCTTTGATTATTCAGCCACATTGTCAATGGAAAAAGTCACAAAATGTAGAAATTTAGCCAGGAGAGCTTTATCTCTTAGAAAGGGTTGCCACCTGCAGGATGGACATCCCACAGGTGGGGAAACGTGGCCTTTAGCAGAAACCAAAAGCAGGCACTTCAGAGGAAAAAGCGGAGAGGCTGAGGTGTATGCCCAAAGACAGGAACTATACATACATATTCAGTAAGTTATGAGACCCTTATGAATATTTATGAGGGGATCCTAACACATGCAACTGAATAATCCTGTGTGTTGCATACAACCCATGTTCACTTTGGGGTGGAAACATAACATTAAATGCCTAAAATTAGGCTCTATAGGTCAAAAGGTAGAAGAACATTAGCCAGGTGCAGTGGTGTGTGCCTGTGGTCCCAGCTACTTGGGAGGCCAAGGTGGGAGGATGGCTTGAGCCCAGGAGGCAGAGGTTGCAGTGAGTCAGCATCATGCCACTGTACTCCAGCCTGGGCAACAGAGCCAGGTCTGCCTTAAAAAAAAAAGAACACAAAGGTACTCAGTGCGCAGCCTCTATAAACTGGCCAGAACCAGCCCATGGTCAGTGGTGTCTTATCAGGAGAAAATTACTGAAGTCAGTCTCTTGTTCAATCAAACCTGTAGTTATGCTTTGTGGAATGGAGTCTGGAGTCTGGGGGCATCAGTTAGCATCTGACAATTGGTAAGTTAGAACATTTATTATTTTAGTGTAGGGGTATGTGACTTTTGCCTGGCATGGCCTTAGTCTTATTTATAATTTCATAATTTATAAGCCACAAAGACTCCATTCCATCAGTCTTATGATCTCTGTTTTACAACCCTGGATTTGTCCAGCTCTCCACCATCTCTTGTCCTAGGTACAAGCAGTTTCTCCAAGGAGGTGTCTACACCCAAACAACCACTGGCCTGTTTCCTGTCACTACACATTCATTTGCATTTCTAGTGTACTGTAGCCCCTTCTTTTTTTTTTTTTTTTTTTTGAGATGGAGTCTCGCTCTGTTGCCCAGGGTGGAGTGCAGTGGCGCAATCTCGGCTCACTGCAAGCTCCACCTCCTGGGTTCACGCCATTCTCCTGCCTCAGCCTCCCAAGTAGCGGGGACCACAGGTGCCCGCCACCACGCTTGGCTAACTTTTTGTATATTTAGTAGAGACAGGGTTTCACCGTGTTAGCCAGGATGGTCTCGATCTCTTGACCTCGTGATCCACCCGCCTTGGCCTCCCAAAGTGCTGGGAATTCAGGTGTGAGCCACCACGCCTGGCCTGTAGTCCCTTCTTATCCATGGTTTTGCTTTCTGAAATTTCAGTTACTCAAGGTCATCCATGGCCCAAAAATATTAACTGGAAAATTGCAGCAATAAGCAATTCATAAGTTTTAAATTGTGTGCTGCTCTGTGTACTGTGATGAAATCCTGCACTGTCCTGCTCCATCCTACCTGGGACAAGAATCATTCCTCTGTTCAGCTTTTCCATGACGTCTGCCCTCCTTGCCCCTTAGTCACCAATGAGCTGGCTCCGTGATTAGATCCACTGTCGTGGTACCGCAGTGCTTCTGTGCAAGGCACCATCATCTGACTTCATAATGGCCCCAGAGCAAAAGGGGAGTGGTGTCGGCATTTCCGATATGCCAAAGAGAAGCCTTCCTTTATGGGAACGCTCCTGACTTAAGGAAATAAAACAAAAATCACATAATGAGGTTGCTAAGAGCTACAGAAAGAACGAATCTTCTATCCATGAAATTGTGAAGAAGGAAAAAGAAATTTGTGCCAGTTTTGCTGTCGCACCTCAAACTGCAAAAGTTATGGCTACAGTGTGTGAGAAGCACTTAGTTAGGATGGAAAAGGCATTAGATTTGTGGGTGGAAGACGTGAACAGAAACATATTCTGATTGAACAGCAACCGTGTAGCACCAGGTTAACTTCATCTGGATTAAATTTGATCACTGGCATGTATATATAGGAAAAGACGTAGCAGATGTAGGGTTTGGTACTATCTGCAGTTTCAGGCGTCCTCTAGGGGTCTTGGAAAGTACCCCCCAAGGATACTCTATACAAATGAAATAATTCCATATGTACTCATTTTTAATCTCTTTTTCACTCTGAATAATTATCTTGATATATATCCATGTTGCATCAACAATTTGTCCCTTTTCATTGCTGGGTAGTATTCCCTAGTGTGGCTATAACAGAGTGTTTACACATTCACCTGTTAATGAAAAATTGAGTTGTTTCCAGTTTGGGGATTTTGTAAAAAGGCTGCTGTGAACATTTCTGTATAAGCCATTGCATAAGCATTTTTTTTAAATTTCTCAGGTAATTACTATAAAACAAAAAAACAAATCTGGATTATATAAGGAGCGAATTTATTCCAAAGGATTGTTGTGGGGGTGACCATTGCAATAGGGAAACGTTGCAGTGCGGCCACTCGCAGGCTTCCCATATGATCTGCAAGTGTCTCAGAGGTTAGGCAAAGGGCTGATCTTGTATAGGGAGGCGTAAACGTGGCTAGAAAGAACTGTTATGGGAAAGTGGGCTGAGCAAGAGTGTCACGATCGAGGAGGTCTTACCCTGCGGACAGCCTGTTCTCAGGAGGGAACCTCAGGAGGGCTGCGGGTTGGCACAAGCTGTGGGTGGGCCAAAGCTCAAGGGCTTGGAAAAGGAGAGAATCTGAACCAAGGTTTGGTTACAGGCTTTTGTTCTTATTGATCTGTGGGACAAGCAGCCCAGCTAATCATTTATGAGGCCAAGAATGGGAATTTAGAGGGTCTGTGTCTGGCCTGGTCACAGATAAACAAGGGAGCATCTGGGAGTCTTATCCAGGTTATATAGAAAGTCACTGGTTCTTTCCAGTAGGGGGTTTTCTGGAACAAAAGAGTGGTGGGATTCCTTAACCTTCACTATTTCTAGAAGCAAAGGGCTAAGGTAAAATTCAATACTGTCAATAGTCAGGATTGAAATGGCTACATCATATGGTAGGTGTATGTTTAATTCTCTTCATACACTGACAAATGGTTTTCGATCGTGGTGGTACTATTTTATAATCCCATCAGCAGTGTACAAGAATCCCAGGTCCTCCACATTCTTGCCAGTACTTGGTATAATCAGTCTTCTTTGTCCATTCTAGTAGGTGTGAGATGGTGTCACATTGCGCTTGCAATTTGCATATCCTTAATGATTAATGATGTTGAGCATCTTTTCATGTCCTAATTTTTTCTTTCTTTTTTTTTTTGAGACAGAGTCTTGCTTTGTCGCCCAGGCTGGAGTGCAGTGGCACGATCTCGGCTCACTGCAAGCTCCACCTCCCGGGTTCCCGCCACTCTTCTGCCTCAGCCTCCCCAGTAGCTAGGACTACAGGCGCCCACCACCACGCTCGGCTAATTTTTTGTATTTTTAGTAGAGATGGGGTTTAACTGTGTTAGCCAGGATGGTCTCGATCTCCTGACCTTGTGATCCGCCTGCCTCGGCCTCCCAAAATGCTGGGATTGCAGGCGTGAGCCACTGCGCCCAGCCTTCATGTCCCAATTTTCTGTCTGTATATCTTATTTGATGAAATGTCAGTTCAAATATTTTGTCCATCTAAAAAATTGAATTGTTTGATTTTATCTACTGACTTTTAAGCATTCTTTCTATATTCTGGATACAAGTCTTTTTATCAAATATAGCCTTTACAGATATTTTCTTCCAGGCTGTAACTTAGCTTTTCAGAAAGTCTTTGGGAGCTATGGCTTAGTGAAACCCTTGTGCCAGGTTCTCCTCAGCGAATCCCCCTGATCACAGCCACCCCCATAGGTTCCATTTCAATATCTGTGGTGACCTTCTGCAAGCTAGGCTGAAGTCCCAAGCTCCAGACCCATGTCTCCAACTGCCCACCGTTCAATGCCCTTTGGATGTCCCATGCAAATCGGAGCTCACCATCCTCTCCCCAGACCCGCTGCTCCTCCAGGAGCCCTGTCTCCATGAACGGCCCTGCACCTACCGAGCTAGAGACCCAGGAGTTGGCCTTGTACCTCCTTCCTTCTCACTTCCACCTCCTGTCATTCAGAGCTGTCAGTTCTTCCTCCTGAACATCTCTGGACACTCACCTTCTCCACCACGCACCGCACCACCATTGTTCTCAACCGCACCACCCACCCAGACACCTTTCCTCAGACGGGTGGCCAGAGAAAAACTTCTCAAATAGAAGTCGGGACATGGCACGCCACTGAGAACCTTCCAGCGGTCTCCTGTGCACGTAAACAAGGTCCAGACTCCTTCGTGGGACAAGTAAAGCTCTTGATGATCTGGTCCTTGAGTAATGTGGGGGCCACTTGTACAGAGCCCCTCACACTGTTCAAAGTCGGCAGCTGAAGAGCTGAGCAGTAGCTGTCTGTGGAGTTCAGCTGCCACTCCCTACACGCCTGCCCTCTGCAGGGGATGGAGTCCCGTTTCCCCACTTCCCCACCTGCGCCCAGCAGTGCAGGTGAAGGCCTGGCTGCGGAGAGTGGCTGGGAAACGCTGCGCTTTGGGGTCAGGAATGCCAGCTCCACTACTCACCGCCTGTGTCACCCTGGGAAAACAGCTCTGGCCCCAGGTTCTCCATAAGTAAAACGGGGGCAGTCATCCCTCCCCTCCTCAACGACATATGTCAGAATCAGAAGCCACAAATCATTCTCTGCCACCCAGCACGCTGCCTTGGTCTCCTA
Organism: Homo sapiens; assembly: GCF_000001405.40. NCBI lineage: Eukaryota > Metazoa > Chordata > Mammalia > Primates > Hominidae > Homo > Homo sapiens. The sequence goes on from NC_000002.12 coordinate 95,402,423, forward strand.
GACCACTTTCCCCAACAATGGGAAAGGCGCCAGGCCCAGAACAAGGCCGAGACCGGATGAGGCCAGCGAAGCGCCCAGGGACAAACCTTCGGGCAGCGCCCACTCTCGAGTTCAGGCAAGTGCAGGGTCCCTCCGAGAGAGAGCGTCTCCAGAGAACGCGGCTGGCGCCTGGCTGAACCCGTAGCCTGAAGACCCGCCGGAGCCGCCCGCCCCACGATGGGCCCGCCCCTCCGGGATTGGCGCCCTGCTAGTGGCCATTGCCTGTGACGTCACAGGATCGCGCCCGCTTTTCTCTCGGGTGATCCGGCCGAGTGGCCCTGGGTTAGCAGCTGCTGCATTTCCCCGGCTGGCTGCGGTCACTGGTGGCAGTGCTCAGGCGCCCGCCGCCCTTGACCTTCGGCCCCGCGAGCTCTAACCCTACAGCGCAGGAAGATCGGCCGCCGCGGCCAGGTAGGACGAGCCTGGCTGGGTCTAGGCCAGAAGGGTGTCCGTGGCGCCGGTCTCCCGCGGAGCGCAGAACTAGTACCGGATCCCCAGCCGCTTCTGACCACACAGACGGGGCGGACCTGTGTGAGCACTCACTAACTGTCGGGGCTGGAGCTGGGCATATGGGGAAACTGGGGGACCGGCACGGGTTCCAGGCGAGTGGACGGTGGGATGGAATCCGACGTGCACACCCATGTCTCAGGCTTTGTTTGATGGAGGCTACTGTTTCCACCTCATGTCGCCGCCCCTTTGCTTATGGACTCTTGCAGAGTTGGATTGAGCTCGGGCTGTGTGATATAGTGGTTGTTGCAGAAGCCCCAGGGCCACTTTCTGACTAGTACCTTGGGCACCTGACATCATCCCTTTGAGTCTCAGTGTCCTCTTCTTTAAAGTGAGGGCGCTCTACCTGAGGAGATTGCTGTAAGGTTGGAATGAACCTGCATGTGTGTGTCATGTGGGAAGGGAACAGTCAGTGGGGCCTGGGGTTCTCTTGGAGAGCTGGTAACCAGCCTCGTCCCTGAGGCAACAGCCAGAGGGCGCCTGTAGTTTCCCCACGCATGTCTGTTAGCAGTTACGGCCTCTGGAGGATCTCCTGTGGGAGGTCCCTACTTCTCACTACAATCTTTAGAGACTTTGGAGGATTTCCTATGGAAGGTCCCCACTTCTCACCACAACATTCTGGGTTAAAATGGCCTTGGTAGGGGGATGGGGGCTGAAGCTGGATTTTTTTGCTTGCATTACAAGCTTCTGAACCAAGGACTTCATGTCACCTGGACTTGGATTCACATCCCAGCTCCTTCCTCTCCTAGCTCTAGGACTGTGTAACCTTGGGCAAATCTCTTAACCTCTTTAAGCCTTAATTGTTTCATCTGTAAAATGAGGCTAACAGTACCTACCTTCCACAATTGTCGAGAATTAAATCAGACATTGTAGGTAGAGCACTTAATAGTTGGCATTCAGCGGCAGCAGTTACTGTTATGTTAGCATGTGGAGTGTCTGAGTGTGTGCACATTGGCTCGAACAGCCTTTTGACAGTGGCACAGTTGGTGCTTGTGTAAGACAGCAGGGCAGAGAAGTCAAAGCCCTCGGTTTTCTAGTCAAACTGGTGGGCCACAACAGTGGTGACCTAAGTCTAATGAATCTTCAACTGAACAAGGCAGATTGAATCTCCAGGTGAGGACCAAGAGTCTGGGGATCAGCTGCCTCCACATTTTTGGGCATAGAAGGCTGTACAATACCGCCTTTGTTGTAAGAGCAAGGAACCATTCAGGGAAGGCACCATGTGGTAAGGAATAGAGGCCAGACGTGGATTAAGAACAAAACAAGAGAATAGTGTTTGTCTTTAAGTGGAGCCTTGGACTCAAAACAGGATCTGAGCCCTGAGGATTTTTTTTTTTTTAATTGAGATGGAGTCTTCGTCTGTCACCCAGGCTGGAGTGCAGTGGCGCGATCTCAGCTCACTGCAACCTCCTTCCCCTGGGTTCAAGCGATTCTCGTGTCTCAGCCTCCCTAGTAGCTGGGATTACAGGTGGCTGCCACCACACTCGGCGAGTTTTTTGTATTTTTAGTGGAAACGGGGTTTCACCACGTTGGCCAGGCTGGTCTTGAACTCCTGACCTCAAGTGATCCACCCACCTCGGCCTCCCAAATTGTTAGGGATATCACGCATGAGCCACTACAACTGGCCCTTGTGGGAAGGCACAGCCATGTCTCCTGAAGTTAACAAGCACTAAGCTTTCCCAAGTAGTGAAATGTCAAGCCCCTGCTTCTGTCACTTATTTGTTCATTCAGCAGAAAGTCACTGAGAGCCTTCTGTGCACCAGGCACAGTGCTGGGCAGTGAAAGAGACAGACATGTGCCCTGGACCCAGGGAGATGACAAGTGATGGCTGTCAGGCCCAGACCCTGTTGTTTGTCTGCAGCCTCTTCCCTCAGGCAACTTGTTCTCTATCAGGAGAAACGAAATAATTATTATCTGGAGAGGCAGGTGGGGGCGCTGCTCCTAGAAGACTGGGACAGCCTGGTAGAGGTTCTAGCTTGATCATGTGAGCAGTGGAAACCATTTTAAGTAGGAGGTTAACAGGACCAAAATAGCATTTAAAAAATTGTTTATGGCCACTGTGAAGCCAGTTTCACCAGCGTCACTTGCCCATGCTGGGCTGCCACCCAGCTAATTCCTGGTCCTGCTCATTTAGCCCAGCTCAGCTCACATCACTTCCTCCAGAAACTAGAGAAGGGTAGAGCCCCTGACCATCTTCACAGCATTAGTCCTGATAGCTGAATCTTACGTCAGTTGTTAACATCTGTGACCTGTGCAGGGAGAATGGCAGGGCTGAGTTTCACCTACATTGTTTCCCCAATACCTACAGCAGAGCCAAGCACAGTGGGAACTTTCAGAAAGCACTGGTTGAAGGAACGCTGGAATCCCTGGGACTTACTGCGTAGCATGTAGTAGTTGCTCCTCTAGAAAAGTTTCACCTTATGAAGTATAGCAGGTAAAATACAAGCCTGGACCACTTCCCGTGTGGTATGCAGGGAACGGTTGATGGGGCAAAGGGCCTCGGGCTATAGCCCTAGGAATTTCAGGGAACCTGATGATGGCTCTGGGATCCTCTGTCTCCTGGATCCTGCATTTTTCTCTGCAGGCTCTGATGCTGGTGTCTGGTAGAAGAAGGTTACTCACAGTTCTGCTGCAGGCTCAGAAGTGGCCCTTTCAACCCTCCAGAGACATGAGACTAGTGCAGTTCCGGGCACCCCACCTGGTGGGGCCTCACTTGGGCCTGGAGACAGGGAATGGTGGAGGGGTTATCAACCTCAATGCCTTTGACCCCACACTCCCGAAGACGATGACGCAGTTCCTAGAGCAGGGAGAGGCCACCCTCTCAGTGGCAAGAAGGTAAGTAAGTGGGCAGCATCGCCCTGAAGCAGCTGCCCTGGTCCCCCTGCACCCTCCCCGCTCTGGGAAACAGCACCAGCAGGTAGCTCTTTTGCAAGGGAGCAGAGTAACCCCACCTTTCCTTTTCTCCCGTTCTCTTAAAAGATCCTTAGAAATCTTACATAATAACATCTTCAGTTTTCAGAGGAGAAAACTGAGAGCTAGGGGAGGTGATTAACAATTTGAAGGCCATACATGTGGTGCTGGAACCAGGACTCTATACTTCATCACACTGCCTCCTCTGGGAATGAAGTCCTGGACTGACTGACGGGTCTGGGCCCGGGGGTCCTAAAAGGCATCTTATGCAGCTGGGGGAGTGATATAGACTCCCAGCTCCTACAAGGAGAGAGGACTGCAAGGAGGTTTTCTATAAGACACTTGGTTCCTGGGTTTGGACTAGATTAGGTGAGAGTGTCCCTGAAGCCTGGACCCCTATAGAATCTGGTCTAAGGAGCTGATGAACAATAAATTAAAAATACTTTAAGATGTCATTTTCATCTATTAAAATGGAAAAAAATACAAATGTTTCACAGCTCACAGTATTAACAGTATGTTCCCATATTGCCATATTCTGCAAAGACTGGAAATCTCCATGCCCCTCATTAGGGACTTGGGTATATCTCTATAGAGCAGTAATATGCAGCCACAAGAAATAAAGAGGACACTCTCTATGTATTGTTACATATTGTTAAGCAGAGATCTCCAAAATCAGTTGTTTTTTTAAAAGATGTAAATAGTATGCTATCATTTGCATACAAAAGGGTGGGAGAAGAATATCCATAGAGTAGCTGCGAAGAGCCAGGGGAACGGGGTAACCGGAAGGGGAAAGGGAAACCTTTCCATGTATTCCAGTTTGTATCTTTTACATGGACATGAGTTACCTAAGGGGGAGAGGAAATCAACACTGGATAAATAAAAGCCCTGCTCTGATAGCAAAGGACAATAGTCAGTGATTTTCACACTGACTCTGATGGTTGATAGAGCTAGGAAATAGATTTCAAAAAGCAAAACCTGTAGCTGCTGCAGGATCTGCCCAGCCTGCCCGGGATTGCCCACCTGTTCCCAGCCAGACCCTCTCACCTGCTCTGGTCTCTACAGAGCCCTGGCTGCCCAGTTGCCAGTCCTACCACGGTCGGAGGTAACCTTCCTGGCTCCAGTCACACGACCAGATAAGGTGGTGTGTGTGGGCATGAATTATGTGGACCACTGCAAAGAACAGAACGTGCCCGTGCCCAAGGAGCCCATCATCTTCAGCAAGTTTGCCAGCTCCATCGTGGGGCCCTATGATGAGGTGGTCCTCCCACCACAGAGCCAGGTCAGTGTCTCCCCACTGCCCTCCCTAGTCACTGGGCCCATCACAAGGGCATTCTGAGCTCAGTATTGAGCCTACTGGAGCCACCTCTCGCTCAATAGCGCATTCAGCAGAAACTCTACAGGATTGTACACACAGTAGTAACACTGGCCTTGGAAAAAAAAAGTTAATGTACGTGTTTTCCTGGTTACAAAAGCAATGCACCTTCACTGTAGATAATAAAATAGAGATAAACATTAAAAAATTATGTCACCCATAATCCCACTGCCCATGGCTCGGAATATTAATGTTTTTCTGTCTACCTTCCCAGTGTTTCTCCGCTCCTGTATATGTTTATACTGTACATATACTTACCTTTTACTTAAGACTCCATCAGGAGCATTTTTTCATGCCATTAAGTATTCGCCCTGACACCACGGAGTTTGTTATGTAGATTAGTTTATTCCTGAGTACCTTACTGCTGGATACTGTTTCTAGTTTTTGGCTTCTATAAATAAATGTTGCAGTAAACATCCTTATGTGGAAAAGGCTTTGCATGTCCATTAATACATTATTATTTCCTTTGAATAAACCCTTTGGAATTTAAATATGTCAGCGTATAGGCAGTATTTCAAAATTTTTGAAAAATTCTGCCAATTGGCCTTTTAAAAAATTGTAAAAGCAACTTACACATCCACCAGTAGTGTATATACCCTTTCTAACACTGGTTACTTTTTCTCTCAGATTTTTATTTTAGAAATGTCTTGAAAATTATAGAAAAGCTGGGAAAATAATACAGTGAACACTCAGATAACTTTTCCACCTGGTTTCATTGTAAACATTTGGCCATATATCCTTTTTCTCCCTTGTCTTCTCCCTGCCCTCCACATGGCAAACACACATTTTTTTTTTTTTTTTTTTTTTTTGCAGGGTATGGGGTGGAGGGGACCTTTTAAAACACATTGGAAATATTAAGACAATTTAGTCATAAAAACGTAAATAGGCATCTTCTAAGAATAAGGACAATGGCTTGCATGACCATCCCACCATTATCACAACCAAAAAAATTAACTTGAATAATATTTAATATGAAATCCAATTGCCCCAATTCCCAATCGGAAGTACTGCTGACTTCCCCAAAGATAACTTCTAATTTGGTTACTTCGTTTGTTGCTCCATGATCAACCAAGGCCACACACTGTATTCAGTTATATCTCTTTAGTGGTTTCAATCTAGGACAGGGTTCCATAGACTTTTTCTTAAAGGGCTGTATTAGTCTGTTTTCATGCTGCTGATAAAGACATATCCGAGACTGAGCAATTTACAAAAAAAAGAGGTTTAATTGGACTTACAGTTCCACGTGGCTAGGGAAGCCTCACAATCATGGCAGAAGGCAAGGAGGAGCAAGTCACATCTTAGGTGGATAGCAGCAGGCAGAAAAGAGCTTGTGCAGAGAAACTCCCATTTTTAAAACTATCAGATCTCATGAGACCCATTCACTATCATGAGAACAGCACGGGAAAGACCTGCCCCCATGATTCAGTCATCTCCCACCGGGTCCGTCCCATAGCACGTTAGAATTATGGGAGCTACAAGTTGAGATTTGGGTGGGGACACAGAGCTAAACCATATCAAGGGCCAATTAGTAAATATTAGGCTTTGCGTGTCATATGTTCTGTTTTGCAACAATTCAACTCTGCTGTTATAGTGTGAAAACCACGATACAGAAATGAATGATGGGTTTCCAATCAAAGTTGATTATAGCAGATGTTGAGCTGGCCATAGTTTGCCAACTCCTGCTCTCAAACAATACCCCCTGCCCTTTCCTTGAAGAATCCAGTTGTCTCATAGCATGTTTCACATTCTGGGTTTGTCTGGTTGTTTCTTCATGATTAGTGTCAGGGTAAGCATTTTTATCAAGAGATCTACAAAGCAGATGTTATACATTTTCCATCGTATCCCACTGGGAGGCTCATGTCAGTGGTCCCAGAATTTGACCACTTGGTTTAGCTGACATTCACTAGGTCCCTCCATTGTGAAGATGCATTTCTATTTTTGTAATAAGCAATCCATGGGTGGTAGTTTGAGATCACATAACTATCTTATTGCCCCATAGCATCTCATCCAGGGATCCTGTGGTCATCCTGACTGAATCTATTATTGCACTGGGGGTTAGAGAACAATGACCTTTTTTTTTTTTGAGACAGAGTCTCACTCTATTGTGCAGATGGAGTGCAGTGGCATAATTTCAGCACACCTCTGCCTCCTGGGTTCAAGTGATTCTCCTGCCTCAGCCTCCTGAGTAGCTGGGATTATAGGCGTGTACCACCACACCTGGCTAATTTTTGTATGTTTAGTAGAGACGGGGTTTCATCATGTTGGCTAGGCTGGTCTTGAACTCCTCACCTGAGGTGATCCACCTGACTTGGCCTCCCACAGTGCTGGGATTACAGACGTGACCCACCACTCCCAGACAAGATCAATGACTTCTCAATCATGCCTTCTGTTTTTATTGGCTGGCATTCTTCTATGAAGAAAAGCTGCCTCCCTCCTTTTTATTCCTGTCTTCAATATCACTGTGAATTCTGTTTTTACTCAATTGTTTGTAATTCATCATTTACATTCTTTAGGTGACCTCAGTTTGGCCAGTGAGGGGCCTTCAAGTTGGCTCCATTCCCGTCACTTTTAGTATATCCTAGCTTTCTGGCCAAGATGTTCTAGGCTTATCATGTACTGTCTGTCTTGGAACTGGAATTGGCCGTTTCCCCAAGGAACCCAGTGCTCCTTAGTGGGGAGTGGTATTAGAGACCAACATCTGGATGTCGGGTGTACTTACACCAACTCTGGTTATTATTAGAAAGAGCCACCAATTTTAAAGGCCAAATTATATCTATTTTATAGTGTATTTTATGGATTATGGGAGAGGCTGAGCATTTCTTCATGTTTTGTGGCCATGTCCGTTACCTTTTTGTGAATTGCTTACTCAAGTCCTTTGTGGGAGTTAATAGATTAAAACACTTAGAACAGTGCCTGACACACAGTAGGGTTACATATTGCTAGGGGATATTACTTCGTATTTATCCTTTGTTAAAAGTATCCAGAGTGACTTTTAAACTCAGTGCCCTGGACACGTGTTGCTCTTCTGCAGTCAGTGGTGTGGGGACCTGTGCCTGCATCCCATGATGCTGTCTGCCACTGCCCAAAATGTATGGGTCTACAAGTCACACCTCCCTTGTCATTCACTGGGCTCTGGTTCGTGGTGATGGCAAACATGGGATGGCAGCGAAGCCATACTGACAAAGGTTGAGGCCCTTCAGCATGGTGTGCAGCCTCTCAGCATGGACAGTGGGCCCTGAAGCCACTGCAGCTCACTGTTCCTCTCCCACCCTACAGGAGGTAGATTGGGAAGTGGAGCTGGCCGTGGTCATTGGAAAGAAAGGCAAGCACATCAAGGTGAGGTGGAAAGGGTGGGCTCCCAGTCCAGAGTGCAGCAGAGGCCCCAGCTCCTGCCTCTCCTAGTTCTGACCCCACTCACCAACACACGGTGCCAGCTGTCCCTGACACTAGGAAGCAGTCAGCCTCCTTGCTCCCTGACACTGCCTTTCCCTTCACCCACCTTTGGCTGGCTCTGGCTACTAACATGGGATAACAGCTTAGAGATCCCTTGCCATAGGTGTTGGTGTCACCCATGATCTAACCTCCTGTATGGCCAAATCCCCTGCCCCCATAGGCCACAGATGCTATGGCCCACGTGGCCGGCTTCACTGTGGCTCATGACGTGAGTGCTCGTGACTGGCAAATGAGACGTAATGGGAAACAATGGCTGCTGGGAAAAACCTTCGACACCTTCTGCCCTCTGGGCCCTGCCTTGGTGACCAAGGACAGTGTAGCAGGTAGGTCCCTGGTCCCTGCCCCCTTATACCTACCATTGCACAGATGAACAGCGCTTCAGGGAGGAGCATGGGTTCAGGTACATGTGGCACCTGCCCTCCCTGGCCGCCCTTTCACTGCTGACTCCATACAGGGCAAGTCTCTTATCCTCAGCCACGAGTTCTCCCATGGGCTTCCTTCCCAAGCCCCCTAGAGGGAACACAACTGCAGAGGATGTGAAACTGCATGCGTGAAGTAAATTACAAAGAACACTGAGCTGATGGGTGGATCGGGCTTCCTGCGGCTGCCACCTCTGAAACAATCTAAGTTGAGCATCATGGAGCATAGTTATCCCAAGGCCAAGGCATTTTCCACACTACAGGAGATGAAAGCCAGTGTGACTCACCCAGCCACTGTGGAAATAGAACAGCACTGACCACACACAGTCAGGATACAGCGCCAGGATGGGGGCAGTGCCCCAGAGGGCAGAGCGCAGCCTCTTACACAGCCACCCACAACTGTGGTGGAGGTGGGGGGTGTCCACATGGGCCAGCCATGCCAGGATACCAAAGACCCCAGTGCCTCAGCACCCCATGCAGAGTCCTCAGCAAAGTTAAATTGTGTTTCAGCTGCTCTACTTAAGGGGGGTAGAACACTAGGACCACCACCAACAGTAAAAAGTGCTGGTTAGCCAGGATGTTCTTACAGTAATCCATCCCCTGCCAGCATCCAGTACACGAGGCTTCTCTGTCCCGGCTAGAACCATTGCCTCACTGCTTTATAGATGCTGAGTCTTTTTTTTGCCATGGTCTTACTGTGTCACCCAGGCTGGAGTGCAGTGGCCCAATCCCAGCTCACTGAAGCCTCAACCTCCTGAGTTCAAGCAGTTCTCCCGCCTCAGCCTCCTGAGTAGCTGGGACTACAGGCACGCACCACCACGCCTGACTAATGTTTTTATTATTTTTTGTAGAGACAAGCACTCACTAAGTTACCCAGGCTGATTTTGAACTCCTGAGCTTAATCAGTTCTCGCCTGCCTTGGCCTCCCAAAGTGCTATGATTACAGACATGAGCCACCACGCTTGGCCCTGCTGAGTCAATCTACAGGTGTCATCCTATGCTGTAGACAGATGCCCTTATTTTTTTCAAGGCAAAAACCCTAGCCATTTTTCTCTTCCCCTTCAGAGTCTGAAACATCCTCTCAACCCATCCCTGTTACTACTGCTTGGTGCTCTTGGTGGGGATGCGGGGAGGCCTGAGAAGGCCAATGTCTATACAGAAAGTTCTAACATAGAGCACTGAGTCAATGTGGGCACTTTGAAGCCCTTTCACCTGCCAAGTCACGAAGCACCCCTACAGTTGTGTTTGTAAAATATTGGGGGGTTTGAGGGGGAAAAGGGATAACTCCAAGGTACCATCTTTGCATTTCAGATCCACACAACTTAAAGATCTGCTGCCGAGTGAATGGGGAAGTGGTCCAGAGCGGCAACACCAACCAGATGGTATTCAAGACAGAGGACCTGATAGCCTGGGTCTCCCAGTGAGTGACAGGGGCTGTCCTGCCAGCCCCGCTTCACCTGCCACACATGTGGAGGCTGACCTGAGCCCTCCATCTTTGGCTGTGGCCACCTCAGCCAGCCCCTGGTCTCACCGGGTCCTTCTGCTTTGATCCAGGTTTGTTACCTTTTACCCAGGGGATGTCATCCTAACTGGGACCCCCCCAGGTGTCGGTGTATTCAGGAAACCTCCTGTCTTTCTCAAGGTAGGTTAGCGAAAAGCAAAGAGCAAGGGCCCCAAAGGCCTGGCAGGCTTGCCTCAGACTTGAGAAGTACAGGCTTGTGTATGTGTGTCTGACGGAAGGGCTGACACTGTCATGGCCTGCTCTGTTGCAGAAGGGGGATGAAGTCCAGTGTGAGATTGAAGAACTAGGTGTCATCATCAACAAGGTGGTGTGATGGCTCCTGCACAGGCCCTGCACATAGGATGAGGGCATCTGCTCCCACTCAGCCTAGCCCAGGGAAAGGCCCAGTGACAGGTGTGGACAGGTGCCAGCCCTGCAAGCCGCCTCTTCTCGGTAGAAGGGAGAAGGACAGAGCTCTCTTCAATAAATTCGTCAGGTCAAAGCAGCAGCTTTGCTTCTGCTGTTTGTCTTCTTTTGGGCTTTGTTTCATGGGACAAGTTGGGGCATTTTGTGGGACTGGGGAAGAAGAGAGCAAATACACACACATATGCCAAAAAGATGCTGCTGGGCTGGGGAAAAGACAATTCGTGTCGTCCCCTTGTTTATCACATCAAAGAAGGGAAAAAGCAAGAGATGGCAAGGGACAATCAAGCCTCAATGATTATATTTATAGCTAAGGGTTTGCAGCCTCCTCTCCATCTTCTGGCTCTAGGACACAGCTGTGTTCTGGGGCTCAGAAGTCTCAGCACAGGCTCCTTCTCACAGTTCTAGCTACAAGTGAACTGCCGGATGAACTGTTCTAGTTTTTCCTGATTGTCCAGGCTGGCAAAAGTAGGGGACAGGTGGAGCCTGGGGCCTGCAGGGCTCGGCGTCTGCTGCAGAACCTGGGCCATGGAAGATGGGCCGTGAGTGCACTCACCACAGGGACTGTGTCCACATGGCCCAGGGGCCAGGCCTGTCCCCCAGAAACCTGCCTTGAGACCTCTGACCCCTTAGGCCTCAGTGTTTGAGTGCAAATGCTGCCTCAAAGCAGCCCCAATACCCCACCTAGAAGGATGAGCCAGTGATTTGGGAGACCAAGAGGCAGGAAACCATCCCACCTTCTCCAACCCATCACCACGTCTATTGCTGGAAGACACCAAGTAAATCCCAGGGTCTTAATGAGGCACCATCAGGCCAGCCCTGTGGGGTGATGGGAACATAGCTGGGTTTCCCTGAGCCACTCTATTGGGGTGGGAGCAGGGGGACAGAAGATGGTGACACTGGCTCCTCTCACCCCTAGGTCTCTGAAGGTCCAGATAGCACTGATGGCAAGCTTTGGGTCTGCACACTCTGGAAAGAAGAGAGAAGTGAAGGCTCTAGGTAGGGAGGACAGGGAGACACTGGGCACAGGCTTCTCTCCTCTTGTTTAAAGAAGCCCAGGGAGGGATAGATCTCCGACTGGACAGAAGACTACTCTGCAGCCCGCCTTCCTAGAGTTGGGTTGTCACTGTCCGGCAGGGGGCAGCAGCCACCAGCAAACACCACTGCCTGCAGGAGCCTGGGCTGACTGGTTGGGACTCACCAAAGATCCCTTCTTCCTGGGCGGTGGCCTGCAGGAACTGGAACAGCTGTTGGAGAGGAGAAGAAAAAGAAGACATCAAAAAGAAAATCTAGTGCTGGGTGGATATAGAGTATGAAGATGTGGAGCTGGGAAAACAGAGGATGTGGTGGGATGGGGAAGGAAAGGTTGTGGAAGGCCTGCACCCCGTCTCAGTTCCTCCACTGCTTCGTCCCAGATTCTGTTTTTGTTTTCCTGAATCAGACTTAGTCTCCCTCCATTCTCCCGTCCCCTGTGTGCCCCCATCCTGGTCCTGCCTCACTGGACAGCCTCTCCGCGGCCTTCCTCCTCCCTGCTCCAGAATTCTACTTGGTGCCCCCCAACCCCACTCGACTCATTGTCCACCTGGCCTCTGAGGCCAGGCACCCTCATTCCCCTCTCCCACCCACCCCACCCAAGGAAGCCCAGCACAGACCATCTCATCTCACTCCACCATCACTTCTTTGCCAAATGCATTTCCAAACACCCTCATGAGCTTTGCTGATCTCTTTGCCATCTCTCCCTGCCCCACTCCGATGGCTCCTCCTGCCTGGTGAAGACTGCCCTGGGTATCCCAGAACTGAACCTGCAGCAGCCAGCACAGCTGACCTTGGGGCGATAAGCAGCCAGGGAAAGGCTTTCTTAAAAAAAAACAAAAAACAAAACCAATAACTCAGTAAGCAGATTAAACAAAGGTAGAGACGGAGCCCTCCACCCCTCTCACACACTCATCCTCACACCCAGCTATACCACACCCCACAAATGTTGCTTATGTTTCCTTGGTCATTCTGTCCATCCTCCTGTCTGTCCAAAGCCAAGGACACTGCTCTACTCTAAATTTTTTGTCCCGAAGCCCCCAAATACTGCAACCCTGACCCAATGCACGAAGCCACCCCAAAATACAGCAGAGGACACCAGGACTTTCATTTTCCCTCAGTATGGCCCATCCTTTGGGTATGCCAACTCCATGTCCACCAAGCACTGCATGTAGGACAGGGCACAGTTTGGAGGCCTTGGTCCAGCCACTGCCCCAGACCCACCTTGGCTCTCTCCTCACTAACACCCGAGAAGCCCAGACTTCCCAGTGTTTAGCAACAGATTAAACTCTAAGCCAACAACAACAGAACAGGGTGGAGTGAGTGGAAAGCAAATGAAATGTTAAAAAAAAAAAAAAAGCAATACTTGCATTCTCATTAGTAGGAACATGTGAGATGAAGCATGTTATGTTATTAGGCATTCTCTTGATTCGGTAAACACAAGCTGAATAAATTTATAAATATCAGCATTAAGCGAGATTTAACGGGGAGCTGTTTATCTTCTGCCTGTCAGGCAGGCGGCAACACTCTCCATGTATCACTCGCCAGCCGTGCAGTCCTCACTCTCTTGCCCAGGTAAGCTGGGGAAGAGCCTGCTGCCGCCCAGCTCTGGTTGTGGAAGGGCTGGCACCAAGGAGCTGCGAGCTTACCTCAACTCATCTCACCTCACCATGCCGGCTGCGAGGCGGCCCGTGCAGTCCGTGCGCAGGAGGTCACACTCCCATGCTGCATCCCAGCCCCTCCAGAAGCAGAGCATGACCTGGGTGACTTTGAGGATGCTATTTAACCTCTCTAAGCTAAAGCTCCTCGACTGCAGCATCAACAGATCAGTGCCGACCTGTTAAGGCCGTCGAGAGCATCAAATGCTACTGTTCAGCAGGTGCCTGACACATAGTAGGTCCACAAGCAAATGATTTTCCTGCTTGCATCATTTCTAGCACAGAGCTGGAGGAAATGGCGAGGTGCAGGTGGCCGCTGGGCCCTGCTGTTCTACATGGGAGCAAGACAGCTGCTAGGTGAAGGGGAATGACCAGGCAGCCACAGGGAGGACATGTGGCCTCAGGAAGCCTGGGTGTGTATCCTGGTTCTGCTAGGAACACGTGTGGGGCTTTGTGTGGGTGACTCTCTGGCTCCCCAAGCCTCCCTTTCCTACTGTTATATCCTTAAAGTGCCTCTGAGGCCAAAGCCTTTGTGGCAATTGTCAAATGAGTCCATATGCAGTGAGTACCGTGTTGAGGGAGGACAAGGTCACCAAGAGCTGAGAATGTTTCTCCGACTGATGAGACCTAGATATTGGGTACATGGAGGTCCCCGGTCCCTTTGTGATTCCTGCAGCCTGTTGCCTCCTTGCCTGGACCCCGCCTCAGCTCAGAAAGCCAATTCCCTAGATTCCAAAGGCCTTCCCAGACCAATTAGCATGTCCTGCAGCTGTCAGCTCCCTGTGCCTAGCCTGGACCTCAGCTCATGTCTAGCACCCAGTCTCCCAACCCCACACATATTCACAAATAAAAGAAAATAACAAATGACATGAATTCTTCACTCCTGGTCTGGCTTGCTGTGTGTAAACTGCTATGACAATACAAGACGCAGAGGCGGGTACCCAATAAAAGCTGTTGAAAATGTGACTGACACCGAGTTTCAGCTATCCAGGAAGGCACGGATCCTTACAAGGTCCAAGCAGAGTCCTCGAGAATAGTTGAGAATTCTTGGGTTCCATATGAACTAGGAGATACCCACACAAAGGCTTGGATTTCCCAATACATAACTACCCCTGAACACTCCTTCTTTCCCTCGTCTCTCTGCTGAGACCTCTAGACCCTAAGGATCCACCCAGGACAACCTCTCCAAAGGTACCCTGATATGCTTTTCTTCCAGGCAGCATTTCCACAGAGCTGTGGGTGAAAGTCACAGGATGAAAATGTGCCATGGGACTGTATCTCCCACCAACACACTGCAGGCAAGGGGCACACAGAGTGCCCCCTCTGCCCATCCCAGGAATGGCCATCTAAGAATGATGCAATCTTTTCTAAAAAGAAAGTAAATAAAGGCAGGTGCCATATAAGAAGACCTTGGGGGACTATAGGGATGTTCCTTAATGTCTCAGAACATCTGCCTCCATCAATGAAATGAAGGATTCAAAGCAGCTCATCCCTGAGTTGACCTTAATGCTGAATCCTAAACATCACCCTTAGGATGCTATCTGGCTAGGCAGGGAATGAAGGATCTGGGAGCTGAGTTGCAGGAAGCTGCAGCAGCTTCCCATTTACAGATCCTCTAGTGCCAGTTTTTCAGGCTTCCTGACTAAGAGAAGCAGCCAGGCAAATTCCACCATTCAGCTACATTTACAGGAAGCTGGCTATTTGGGAGGCTCTCTACCAGAGGCTTTGGGAAAAAAAATGCAGAATTAATGTAAAGATCACATATTTACCTATGAGAGAAAAGATATCCAAGGATGCCCTTCGGCCTCATTTGATCTAAAACTAGGCCTGGAGCTACCTAATTGTCAAGTCAGTTCAGGCTTCTATAACAAAAATACTATAGACTGGGTGGCTTAAACAACAAACGTCTATTTCACATGCTGCTGAAGGGAACAACCATGGTCAGGAGCATGATGAGGGCCCTCTTCCTGGCTTGGAGGTGGCCATCTTCTTGCTGTGTCATCACATGGCAGAGAGAGAGACAGAGAAAGAATGAGAATGAGAGGAAGCAAGCAGTTTCATATTTTATCTTATAAGGGCACTAATCCCATCATGAGGGCTCCATCCCCATGACCCAATAGCCTCCCAAAGGCCCCATCTCCAAATACCACCCCACTGGTAGTTAGGGTTTCAACATACATTTGGGAGTATACAAATATGCAGTCCACAAAACAAATACCCCTAAGTTGTCTGCATATGTATGCTTGTTCTGGTGCTGCTTTGAGTATCTCAGACGATAGAATCGAGTGTAGATCAAACTTCTCTAGGCCTCAATAGGGTGAATCTAAAGATTGGGTCACAATAATGGCAATAAGCCACAATTCACTGGATTAATCTCACCTACTCCTTCAGGGGCCTATCCACATTCAAAGTACCACAAGTACCTGTAGAAGTCTCTGAGCAGTATCACAAAGACTGACATAGATACAGGCAAAATAGAAAATGGATAGATGGTAGTATGGGGTTGGGGGTGGTTGTGTGTGTGTGTGTGTGTGTAAGGAAAGAGGATGTCTTGTACTTGGGATACATGGGGATATATTGTTTTTGAGGCTGTTTGGTGGCAATACTTGCCCTGAGCTCAGGAAACAGGCCAGAGAGATATATCTGTTCCCTACTTAGAAGAGAGCACTGATGCATGAAGGTTGGGAGGAGGCCAGAGAATAGTGTATTGAAAGAAGAGAATGTGACCAAGGCCCCAACATTAAAAATGAACCTTGAATTGGAGATGGGGAATGAAGAAAAAGTCAGAGAAGAGGGCATACGTGGAGTAATCTGAAAGACAGGAAGAGCCACAGGTGTGCACAGTAACCGGGATGTGAGGTTAGTAGAGAGCTTCAGGAAGGAGGGAAAAGGCATTCATGACAAACACTGCAGGACACTCACAAAGATGGGGAATGAGTAAAAGCCATCGAGCTTGGCATTGATGACCTTCATGGGAACCATACAAGGAGAAACCTGTGGAATGAAACCTAACTACACAAAGCCAAGGAATTAGCAGTAAGGACATTAAGGCGGTCTTATGGGTTAAATCATACACACCAAAAATATGTCAAAATTCTCATCCCAGTACCTAGAAATAGAATCTTATTTGAAAATAAAGTCTTTGCAGGTGTAATCAAGTTAAGATGAGGTCATTAGGATTGGTCCTTAAGCCAGTATGACTTGTGTCCTTGTAAGAGAGAGAAAGATGCCAAGTGAAGACACAGACATACAGAGAGAAGACAGAAGATGGAGATGGAGGCTGAAGTGATGCAGCCACAAGTCAAGGAACTCCTGGGTTACCAAAAGCTGGAATAGACAAAGAAGTATCCTCCCCTAGAGCCTTCAGAGGGAGCAAGGCCCTGCTACATCTTGATTTTGTAAGCCAGGTCTCCAAGATTGCAAGAGAATGAATTCCTGTTGTCTGAAGCAACCCAATTTGTGGGACTTAGTTATGGCACCCCTAGAAAACTAATAGAGGCAGTAAGGGCACTTTTATAAGAAATGTGTTCATGAAGAGATGGAGTTAAATGCTTTTAATAAAGAGAATGTTTGCTTTTCATGGACATACTTGAGAATGTTTACAGACTAAGAGGAAAGAATCTAGAGACAGAGAGAGAGAGAAGTTGAAGATTCAAAACAATGGAAGGATGGTTAATAAAATATGGAGGAGGAAGAAAAAGATTAAAAGGAGAACTCAAGTGGCATAATTGGCCTAAAAAGGTGAGGGACACTTTGTCATCCTGGGTGAGGTGTCTTGGCCTAGATCCTATAGAAAGTAGAGCCTGAGGCAAGGATTGAAGTGCTGACATTTTATGTGGGGGAAGGGTGCAAGTTCAGGACAATGAAAGTGAGGAATAAATGGAAGCAGATGGAAGGCCCTGTGATGAAACGCATTGCTATCCTAGTGGCAACTTCACACCAAGCTGCAAAGATGCTGTATTAGTCAGAGTTCTCCAGAGAAACAGAATTAATACAACGTAGAGATAGAGATATATACATAGATATAGAGATAGATCTCTCACATACAGACCTATATATCTATACATGGAGAGAGAGAGAGAGGAACAGAGTGGGGGCAGGGGCACAGAGAGAGACACATTGAGAGACAGATTTATTATAAGGAGTTAGTTCATGTGATTATGGAGCTGAGAATTCCCAAGATCTGCCATCTGCAAGCTGGAGAACCGGGAAAGCCAGCAATACAGTTCTACAGTCCAAGCCCAAAGGCCTGACCACTAGGAATTCCAATGCTGTAAGTTCCAGTTCAAAGGTAGAAGACTGATGTCCCAGCTCAAGCAGTTAGACAGAGGGCAAATTCACTTTTCCTCTGCCTTTTTGTTCTATTCAGGCCCTCAATTGATTGGAACTTCTACATTAGGGAGGGCAATCTACTTTATTCAGTCAGCTGATTCAAATGCATATCTCATCCAGAAACACACCCACAGAAACACCTGAGAAATAATGTTTAGCCAGACACCTGGGCACCCCATGGTCTAATCAAGTTGATACATAAAATTAACCATCACAGACATACAGCAGGTCACTCATGAGACATGCTTGCTTGACATGCTGGGCTTCTCTGTAGGATTTGCAAGGAGAAATCATACCTTAAAGTATTTGCAGGAAGGAGGAGGAGGATTTATCTGACCATCTTCCTCCAGTCTCCCATTTCCCACCAATCAAGATTTACCCAACAGTGAGCAAATCCCCCTGGGCTTCTGGATTGCATCATCCAGTCCCCATTCACCACAACACCAAATCCCATGGTGTGATCCAGCCTGGAAAAGGAGGGAAAACTCAGAATTGTCTGGGCACCTAACGAGAGAAAATAGAGGCAGTTGAGGAAATCCAAGAAAGCACACAAAGTTTGTGTCCAAAATTAAGAGAGAGATAAAAAAAGAAAAACAGGTAAGTGAAAATATAGAGACATTTTTAAAATAAAAAGAAGTTGAGGAAACTGACTTTGAGTGGTAGGTGATGTTCAGAGAGATCTCAAGTAAACTATGGGAAAGGAAGGAATGGGGAACATGGCTATGACCCCATAACCTTAAGGACCTGCAATATGTTTTTAAAAAGTAAAAGAAGCCTTGTTATTACTGCAATACTATAGAATCCTAGAAATTCAGAACAGACATTACACAACACTTTCCTTAACCTTTTCACTTTAAAGATGAGACAACAAAGGCCGGGAGAGAATTAATGGTAACTAACTTTCATAAATGTACAATGTTTGTTGTGAATGAACCTCTGTGTGTGTGTGTGTGTGTGTGTGTGTGTGTGTGTGTGTGTGTCCCCAGGATGTCATCTACACATTTCTCCACCTGGTGGCTCCTGCCTGAATGACAGGCAGAGTCCAGCCAGTGGAAAGAAGCAGCAGAGGACACTGTCTTGGAATCCCAGAAGAAAATCTTAAGAGCTGAGACCTGAGGCCTCCTTCACAGACCCAGGCCAGCTTCTCATGGACTAGCCTTGGTCCTCAGAGACTCAGAATGTTTGCTGCCCCTCTCTCCAGTTCTGTGATCCCTCCTCTGTAGCTCCCTTTTCATACAAGAAAATACCAACCAGGGGGAAAGCAACGAACAAAAGGTATAATGTTTGACCAGTGGTCGTGGACGCTAATTCTTTGAAGACTTCCAAGATGGTAAATGGAAAGAACAACCCACATGCATGCACATACATATACATATACAAAATGCAAAGACTAAGACCCAATTAGCCTCTCTCTCTGTTTCTTTTACAGGAAGGGAAGTATCACCGGCCTGAACTACTACTCCCCATCCCCTGCAACTGCCATTCTTTCTGACTTGTCTCTAGAAAAGGCCATGTGACCTCTCCCTCAGGCTGACGCATTGTCCCAGCCAGAATGTCCAGCCAAAGCAGAATAAAGCATCTACTGGACCTAAAAGAGTGCCCCTGATATCTCCCAACTGGGTTCTGAAAGGATTCCCTGAGGGGATTTTATCATAGACACATTTAAAATGCCAAGAATGAATCAATGTGTCACCAAATTTCAGTGTCAGTGCTAGAGGCAGATTTATGGCTCAAATGAAGTCGGTTTAAAAAAAAAGAAGAAGAAATTTCACTTTATTCTCTAGCTGTGAAAATATTCTCTGAGGAGTCTCCTGTCAGAACACCTATATGACCAAGAGTGGAATTTATCAGAGCAGATGTGAGAATAAGAGTTTAGTGTTAGTTCTCTATTGCCATGTAACAAATTACCCAAAACTTAGAAGTTTAGAACAACAAATATTTATTATCTCAGACATCTATTCCTGAGGGTCAGCAATCCAAGAGCTGCACAGCTGGGTGATTCTGGCTCAGGGTTTTTCATGAGGTTACAGTCAAGCTGTCAACCAGTCCTACAGTCATATGAAATCTTGACTGAGGCTGAAGGATCCACATCCACAATGTCGCCTAATTTCTGACTGGAGGCCTTGGGTTCCTAATGGCTGTTGGCAGGAAGCTTCAGTTTCTCTCCACATGGGCTTCTCCATGGGGATACCTGAGTGTTCTCATGACATAGTAGTGGACATGTGATCCAAGAAAGAGCAGGACAGAAGCCTTGTCTGTCAAAATCTAGACTCAGGATTGATATACCATCAATCTGCTGTACTCTACTGGTCGTATAGACTAACTCTGATAACATGTGAGAAAGAAATACACAAGGGCCTAAATAGTGGGAGGCAGGGAATGCTTTGCCTTTGGGATTCTCTAGTGGCCACCTTTAAGGCTGGCTACAACATATTAGGTGGTAAATGCAATGGAATTCATGACTCCAATATATAGAATAAAAATAGAATGACTAATAAATACTGAAGATTGGTGGTGCTCAGATTTGAGCAGGCATCAGAATCACCTGTGTATTTAGCAATACACAGATAGCTAGAATCCACCCCTAGAGTTTGTGATTCAGTAGGTCTTAGGTGGGGTTGAAGAACTGGAATTTCAAGTAAGTTTCCAGATAATGCTGATGCTGCTAGTCTGGGGGCCACACTTGTTGTAGATAAGTCTGTCAAAATTTCGAATTTGAACATACCTTAAAGGTCTTCTGATTCAATGGTTTCCAAGTCCAGATGACCATTAGAATCACCTGTGGGAGACTCTTCCCCACCCCAACTCAAGAGTCTATGATTTTTTAAACTCCTCTAGCCAATTTCATGATCAATCAGGTTTGGAAATCCCCAACCCCAAAGTCTCCTCTGCTTAGCATCCTCAGCATCAACCCTCCTCTTAAAGAAGACTCTTAGCAAATTGTGGTGTATGTATATACCATAGAATACTACTCAGCCATAAAAAGGAATGAAATAATGGCATTCGCAGCAACCTGGATAGAACTGGAGATCATTATTCTAAGTGAAGTATCTCAGGAATAAAAAAGCAAACATCATATGTTCTCACTCATAAGTGGAAACTAAGCTATGAGGATGCTAAGGCATAGGAATGATACAATGGACCTTGGGACTCGGGGGAAAGGGTGGGAGGAGGGGTGAGGGATAAGACTACACAATGGGTACAGTGTACACTCCTTGGGTAATGGGGGCACCAGAATCTCAGAAATCACCACTAAAGAACTTATTCATGTAACCAAACACCACCTGTTCCCCAAAAACCTATTGAATTTTTTTTTTAAAGAAGACTTGTAGCATAGCAATAGGCCATTAACTCCCTCCTAAGGCAATGCCCATTACAGTGTGGGCAGATCAACTGCCTCAAACGTGCTACTCGGACTTAAGCAAAACTGACTTGTCCACGATGTTCACACATTGCTCACCAAGCCTATGGATTCTCTCTCCTCATAACCACTGTCTAGTTTTCTAAAAAGGACTTTTATTTCACCCTCAGTCTTCTATTTTTTAGGCAAAATATCCTTTGTTCCTGTAATTCATCCTCAGTGGGCATGGTATACACTGTTCTCATGGTTCCTAGTCCTCTCTGTTTCTCTTTCTCAGTCTCCTTCTTTGTAGGTAATGGTTAGAATGGAGCTATTAACCCAAGTGTGGTGCAACTCAAAGAAGTATAGAGGAAATATAGCACTTTTATCTTGGATGTGCTTTTCCTATTGGTCCCACCTAAGAATATAACAACCTTTCAGTCAGTCCCAGCACACTGGATAGGAAATTATGACAAATAGATATTTAGAAAACTCCCAAGCCATCTGAGAAAGCACCCTCAATGAGTATCTTCGAGATGTCTAAGCAGCCCAAAAGATCTTGACTTCCTATTCTCTGAGAACTGCAATCTTTATTCACAAAAATGAACCCCCAATAGCCTCAGTGAGAGTGGACTGGACCAGGGTGTCAAGCAACACAGGCTGGGATGAGGAGATTCTCTTTGATGAAAGAGGAGTGGTCACTCTCTTCATGAGGATCTAATGAGTAATCTCAGGACCTGCCTTTTGCCTGATGGAAAAGAGAACTTCCCTGCAGAGATACAGAAAGAGAAGCCAATGCTCCAATAGAAACAGAGGGGGGAGGAGGCGGAAGAGATGGAGAGAGAGAGAGAAAGAGAGAGAAAGAAAGAAAGAGAGAGAGAGGGAGGGAGGGAGGGAGGGAAACAGATGGTCAGCAGCCCAGTGAGTGACCTTCTGGGTCCTAGTTCTTGTCATTTCTGAAACTCAGCTGCATCATTGACCTTGGGTTCCATAACCCATCTCTGCATCTCTATAACCCATCTCCTATATTTTTTGCCTAATCGGGCCTAATTGTTTGCCATTTTTTCAACTAAAGAATGTCAGTGAATAGAATACAATTTCCAGAAGACCTTTGGCACTGCTTGTGCTATTATGTCTGCATTGGGTGGAAACAAGCCTCCCTTGTGCAGGGTTGGTATTTATTCCTTGGGCCTCTAGACCCATCAAGACCTTTCTTTTCACCTAAATCAGTTGAGGACCTGTCTGCACTCCATTAAGCCCAGCAGCTTTCCCACCCCTATCACAGCCCACTCCAGGGTCAGCCCAATTTTATATTCAACAATAAAATCAACAAAACCTTTTAAAAATTTTTTGGAAATGTCCGTTTTGGGGTGAAGAAAGCACTATGAGAAAACTGGAGCTTCAGCTCACACTGACATGTTCACACCACCTCACTCCCTCTCACACGGCTCCAACCCTAAAGTGAAATTCACCTACATGAAAGCTGCCTTCCAGTCTGCTCTCCTACTTCCATACCTTCTCTCTCAACTATTTCTTCTTGGAACACTCAATTACTACTTACTGCTTCTCAATAT
Source organism: Homo sapiens (assembly GCF_000001405.40). Lineage (NCBI taxonomy): Eukaryota > Metazoa > Chordata > Mammalia > Primates > Hominidae > Homo > Homo sapiens. The sequence continues at coordinate 95,424,983 of NC_000002.12, forward strand.
TGAGAACCTACGTGTACCAGGAGCTGTGTAGGTCAGTGGGGACACAGAGAGGATAAGGCAGTCCCAGGTTCTGGCCTCAGAGAGCTTCTAAGAATGCCCTCCTTGCAGCCTTCCGAATCCCACCACTCACAGAGCTCACTGCTCAGATACTTGTCCTCATCCCCTTCCCATTCCCAGCCTGCCTGCATCTCCATCAAATTGCACCTAAAGATCTATTCCCTGACGGTCTTGCTCTCTGGTTTCTGAGTGATGGCAAGCTCATTGAATGGTCCAGTGTCTGCTAATAACTCTGCTGAGCCTTTGGCTTAATATCATCACACTACTCCCAACAAAAATATTTGTGTTTTAACACATCTCTAAAGTCATAGTGCCTGAAATAGAGAAGAGACCTGACCTATTGAGTGTCATTTCAATCAAGATGCTTGTCTTATTCTTCCAAGTGACCTCTTCATGAAGATTCCACTTTTCCTGGGCAAAGCCTGGGGATTCAAGGATCTTGTCCAGATTCCAGTTCCCTTCCTGATGGTGTTCCCTAGTCCCAGAGACAGACTCTGGAATTGGAAGGCCTGGGTCCAAGTCCTGATTTCTGCACACAGTCATTAAATGACCTGACCTTGAGTATGGTGTTTAGCTCATCAGAGCTTCACTTTGCTCATCCGTAAAACAGATCAACAGTAACCTTATCAACTGCTCATGAAAATGATATGAGATAATGCTATTAAATTACTCTGGGATACGAATGCTGCCATTATTTCAAGCAGTCTCTCTGCCTTCCCCCAACTCAGCACAGCACCCGTGGCAAAGGAGATGTGAGACAGGAGAGCTCAACCCACTCTGGGTGCATGGCTGAGAAAGTGCTAATGAAACACTTTTATCTTCTAGGTCCTTCACCAGCGGGCAGGGAAGGGGAAGGAGTGACTAAAAACGTGCTGAAAGCACACCTCTAAAATAAATCCTAAGCTCATCATTCCCTTTCTTGTCCCTGGACCTAGGTCTACACTGAACCTAGAATAGTATTAACTGACTGTCTTTCTGGGCTGACTCCAGACAGCAATGGTGATCCATTAGGCTCCCAGTTCCAGAGGCTCCACAGAGCAAAGTGAAAGGAAATGTTGCCTGCTTTCCTCGGGAGTATCATGGGAGGGGCTGTGGCATGACCCCTGGTGTGTACTCTTTGGAAGACTACAGAATGCTGGTGGCTAAGGGATTCCACACCCCTTCCACCTTTTCGTCCACATTGTTTCCTCCTCTGTCTTTTACATGGGCGTCTACATCTACTTCTGAGCCCAATCTATGACCCATGCATTCATTCATTCACTATGTATTGGTTGTCTACTCTGCATCAGACACTCTGCATGGAAATGAAACACAGCAACTCCCATTACCACCCCCCACCCCCATGATGCCTGTCTCCTAGTCCAAGGAAGAGAAATTTGTAGGAAAGGACCATCCGAACTAGCTTGCAGAAGTGAGGGGGAGGGGGTGGGACTCCTGAGTCAGTCTGGGATAACGAGTAAAAACTTAAGCAGAACTGGAGAAGCCCGTCCTGCATCTCCCTTTCCTTATCTGTAAGAATCAGGCCTCCTTCCTGCTCTTGTCCCTTGGCTCCTAAGACCCTGGGGCAGCTGGAAGGGGTGGATGTTGGCCTGGGGATGGAGAGGGACTGGAGTGGGACAGTGAGCAGGCCAGGAGCAGTTTACAGACAAAACCTCAGGTAGGTTGAGGAAGCCAGAACCATGAGACAGAGGCGACTGGAGTCAGAAACAAACGCCATGATCTGGAGTCTCCCAGGTCTGTGTCTGAGCCTCCATCAGAGCACAAGTACGTGGAGGGAAAGGAGTCTGGTCTCAAGCAGTCAGCTTCCTCTCCTGAATGGGAAACGATGGACCTGGGAGACCAGCTGGCTGGGGTTTAAACCCCAGGCCCGCCTGTCACCATCTACATGGCCTTGGTGAATTTGCCTGATTATCTTAAGCATCAGAATGTTCATCTGAGAAAACAAACAAAAAACATTCGTAAGGATCTGCCGCTGACAGTTCGTGTCCTGCTTTTCTCTAACAATCAGTGCCACTTCGGGTGAAACATTCCTGCAGTTTTTAACCACCTGCTACCTGATGTCATAGTTCTTTGTGTAGTCACCAATACAGATTCCTCCTGAGGAGCTATGAGTTCCAGGCAGGAGTTGTGACTGTCCTTCCCTGGAATACCCACGGAACTCAGTCCAGTGTCTGGCACACGTAGGTGATCAGAAAACAGCTGTCTTCCTCCTTCTTTCAGCCCACGGAGAGGCGGGCTGTGAACGCGCTTTGCCAGGGGGGGATGGGGAACCTGCTGCGCCTCTCCTGGCGCCTGGAGGCCCAGCCCTGCGGGGCGGAGGGGCTGGAAACCTGACAGCTCCCGACCTGTGAGGGCCGCCACCTGCGGAATCCCACAGGGCAGCGCGGGGAAGCAGAGCGCGCGCTGGGCCCTGGTGTCCCGGGACGCTGCAGGACGACGCTCCGTTAACCTCCTGGCTCGTTCTGATACTGAGGCTGCATAAAAAGAAGGATCCCATACAAATGAAGGCCAGTGTAGCGGAAGGCTAAATACTTTTAATTAAAGGAAGGCACCTGGAGACCCAGCCGCTGGGAGGAGTGAACTAGAGAAAGTCCGCTGTGCTCTGGGCGGGGAGGGGGAGAGACACCCTGGCCCTGGAGGGGCTCGCCGTTCCTCCAGGGCCCTTCTCCTCTGCTACCCCACCCCTCCTCCCTACTCCTCCCACCTTCAGCAGGCAGAGGGGACAGGAGGTGGCCTGACCCAGAGGAGTTAAGGGTGAGGCTTGGGCGCCTGGAGGAGAGGGGACTTTCTGTCCTTTGGAACAACTCTGACATTGTGCCTCTGACCCAGAGCCCTGGGGACTCAACCCTCAGACCCCGATCTGAAGGTGCGGAAGGAGAAAGTGATTGTCCCCAGGCCACTAGGCAAGTGAGAAACACTCAGGCTTCCCAGGACTGCCAGCATCAGGGCCTTCTTGCTGCCCTGCTGCAAATTCTAGGCAGCAGTGAAGCCAAGGATAACACCTTGGGGAGCCTTTAGAGCACTCGCATTTCTTCTTCATCATCACCGGCATGACTAAAATTTGCAGAGCTCTTAACAAGCCCTGTGCCATGCGCTTCATCATCTCATTTAATCCTCACACAACTCCTGAAATGAAGGTGTTCTCATGATCCCCATTCCACAGGTGAGGTCACTGGGGGTCCAGAAGGGCTAAATCACCTGTTAAGGTCCCACAGTAACTTGCATAGAGGAGTCTCCAAGACAGTCCAACTCAGAAGTTCAAGGTTGCAGACCTTTTTCCTTAGAGATAAGGCACCAAGAATGGTGAAAATGTTGGACACGCCACGCTTTGGACAGCATCTGACACATAGTTGGTGCTTGCTCATAAAGTAGGTGTTCAGTCATTGCAGTGGCCTCCTCCTTTAGCCAGACCTCCCTTCCCATGGTCAGGGTGTGTGTGTTCCCCTGGAGGATGACTCTGGAGAGACAAAACATGGGACACAGGGACCACCTGCTGGCCCCCAAGAGCCAGGGTCAGGGGCAAAGGCATCTCAGATGCCTGGGTCCTGACCTCTAAACCAGGGTCTTTTCTGCAAGTGAAGATGGGAAAGGGTGAGTGCTGGCGCAGTCTCTTCCTCTCTCTTTGTGGAAAGGTATGATGAGGATTGGGGATAAAGCAGAACTGATATCTCTGAACCTGTAACTAATATCCAGAACCCAAAATGGCCCTGGTTGGCTTTAAGCTTCTTGATTCAGATTCACCTTTTTTTAGCACTCACTACATGCCAGGCACTCAAGTATCTTGCAATGTGCCAAGCAAAGGTATATCCTTATTCACTTGCCTTTTAGAACCAAGGTTCCTGTGGACACCAGGCACAGTGGCTCACACCTGTAATCCCAGCAACTTGGGAGACCAAGGCAGGAGGATGGCTTGAGCCCAGGAGTTCGAGATCAGCCTGGGCAACATGACGGGACTGATTTCTACTAAAATAAAATAAAATAAAATAAATTTGCTGGGTATGGTGGTGTACGCCAGTGATCCCAGATACTCAGGAGGCTAAGACAGACAGATTGCCTGAGCCCAGGAGGTTGAGGCTTCAGACTGCAGTGAGCTGTGATCAAACCACTGCACTCCAGCCTGGGTGACAGAATGAGACCCTGTCTCAAAAAAAAGGTTGCTTTATTCAAATTGGATTCTACCTCATCATGCCATCTCCTGTGCGGTTACTAATAATGAAAAAAATAAACAGCCTAAGCAGGGACTTCCTTGCAGTCACTGAATGGTCCTGTGGAGTGAAACCTACCAGTGACCTTGGCCTGAGTGTCAACAGGGTACAAAGCCCTGTAGAACTCCTTGCTCCTAGAAGGACAATAACAAACACAATCTTGTACAGACCAAGAGTTCAGTAGCACCAAATCCTTGTCTAATGGTCTGCTGAGAACCAGTTCTGGGAAGGAAGATCTTCAAGAATGGATAGTGACTTGATGGGAATTTCTGGACCCAGTCATGACAGAAGGGAACCTTTTGGACTTCTGAAAAATCAGCAAGTGCTCAACAGTCTTCACCAAGCAAAGCAAATGTTGGAGGACAATAGTCAATGCCAATGTCATCAGGAGTCAAACAGTAATGATCTTGTCTACCACTCCTCATAGGGCCTGAAGCTAGAACGCGGTTATTTACTCCTTCTCCCATCTACTTCTCCCTGGATCTCAGCGCAGGCCAGAGTAAGTGAGCCCCACAGAATTGACCTCATCCTCCCCCAGGGCCATTAGAACAATACCTCCCCCTTTGGGGCACCTGTAAATCAGGGCCCCAAAAGGGTCTGGCAGTGCTGGAATGAGGTGTGGCTTGGCAAGGAGACCTGCATGTTTAGTACAATGGCGTGATTGTGTGGATTGTTCCAACCCAGCAGCGCTCAAGTGGTCACATGTTCCCTGGGCAGCAGGTGCTATAACCTTTGCCCAGAGATTTGGAGCCTTCGGTGGTGAGACTGAGTGCCGACGAGGAGGAGAGCGGCCTGGCTGTCTCCCACTGCCCTTGGGATCTGGGGAAGGTCACTCCCTGACCCTGCCCATGGCCTGTGCCCAATTCTCACCCATATTCTACTCAGAGGGTCCTCAGCTATCCAGAAAAAAGAGAGAGGCAGGCAGCATGCCCAGGTAAACAATAAAAGGCTACTGAGTTTCTGCTTCTGCCACTAGCTGCCAAGAACCAAAGAGCGGCAGGCACAGCTAAGACTTCAGTCCAGTGTTTATCTTATTAACTGCTGTGTGCCCAGCACCCAGCACCACACCATCACAATGAGGCCATTGTGTAACCCTTGCCACTCAGTCATTCCATCGAACACTCATGTAAGCACAAGCTTTTACTGAGCATTGTCTCTGTGCCAGACACTGTTCTAGGCACTGGGGATACAGCAGTAAGCAAAACTACCAAGAATTCCTGCCCTCATGTAACTTACCTTCTACTGGGGAGAGACAGATGATAAATAAATAAGTGAAGTAGACAATATGTCAAATGGTGAAGAGAAATAAAGCAGAGTGAAAGGGATAAAGCCGGTGGCGGCGTGGTGGGGGAGGCAGCGTTGGTTTGCAATAGGGGGATTGGAGAAGAGTTCCCTGAGAAGCTATCTTGGAGCCAAGACTTGGAGGTGAGGGCTCAAGCATCTCATCAGCCCATCTATGGCAGTATTGGTCCTAGACCAGCATCCCCTCCTCACTTCTCTGATCTGACTGTCATCAGACAGAAACTTCCCCTGGGCCACTGGAAGATTTTGAGGTGGGAGGAGCCATATCTGCTTGCAGTGACTACTGGGCTTGGGGAAGCTGAAGCTCACCAAAGGACATGGGAAGATAGGATGGGGCTTACACTCATTCTGGTCTTCACAGGGCTGCAGCCCATCACCAGCAGTCAAGGATAGAATTGAGAGTCGAAAGCTGACTATGACAATATTTCCCCACCCATCCCCATCACCACTTCCCTCTATCCTCAGGGCTGCCATCATCCCTTAGAATTATGGGAACACAGTGCCCCACCAACACCCCACCCTGCCTACAACCTGGCCTCCTGCAATCCATTCGCCACACTGTAGCCAGAAAAAGCTTTCCAAAACATGTCTGTTCCTTCACTTTCCCCAACTAAGATCCCTTTGCTTTTTAGTATAAAGTCCACATTTCGCAACATGCCTACAAAGATTTTTGTGATCTAACCCAGCACACTTTCCCAGACCCATCTCTCAGCTCTCACTACAGATAACACACACACACACACACACACACACACAACATGCACTCTATTACTGTACTTTATTTCCCACTACACTGAACTTAGTTCCCTAAATGTACCTGGCCCTGTCTGGATTCTGGACCTTTTTCTGCCAGTACCAAAACATTCCACCTTTACCCTTCACATTCTCACATTTGCCTGGTGGATTCCAACTTTTCTTTCTAGTCTCTGCTTAGAGGTCTCTTTTTCTGGACAGCCAAGACTCTGTGGGTTACCCTCACTGCTCCCCACACCTCCACCTCTACACTCTAGCCACATTACAGCACGAAGCATACCTCCCTACCAGGACCTGTTTATTGGTTCCATGAGGACATGGTTCTTGTTTCAGTCGCCACTGTGTTCCCAGGCCCTAGCAGATAGTCCAGCACTTAGTAGATGCTCAGTAAATGCTTGTACAGCTAAATACGTCAAAGGGGAGGAGATCGAAAATAGAAAGGGCTGTCCTGGTGAGGGAACCATGGCATTATATTGATCATCATAATTGCCTCATCCCTTACTTTTCTCCATTTCTTAATAGTTTACAAGTCATTTTCACGTCACCCTGCTAATAAGATGTGGCTGTTACATGTATAGTTTTACTAAGTGTGAGAAACCCGAGAATTTGAGGTCAATGCTCAGAGCAGAGCGGTATCACGAACCCAGGTCTCTCTGACTTTGAGTCCAGGGTGCTTTCCACAACTCACAACTCCTTGGGCTCTAGAATGGAGAGACTAAGTTTCAAACATGGCAGTACAGCTATCTCTTGAATCCTGAACAAGAGACCATAAGACTGAACTCAGTCACCTAATTTGACTTGTCAAAGTGGCTCGAGGATCTCAGGGGGTCAGCGTGTACCCTCTCTTTATTTCCTGGTTACCTGTGGGCAGTCAAGGCTGCTTTCAGGATCAGGAGCATTACCCAGTCAGGACGTGCATCCTAAGCTTCTGTACACCTTGGTCACTGCCTGGAAAATGGCAATGGCCCTGGACTGGGGAATCTCTCCAGGTACTCCCTTCTTACGCTTCCCTACCTGCTTACCTTTAGTCTTTAAAGGGATATTCAAAAGCTGCAAAAAGACAAGACAGACTAGGTTTATGGGAAGCTAACTTGTCCATATTCATTCTAAAGGTGCCCAACCTGTACTCCCACAGTTCCATTTGTCACTTCTCATCTCTCCAGGAAAATATTTATACATACAGTTCATTACAGAACAATCTTTTTTTGTGGAGTACACTATCTTGGCTCACTGCAACCTCCAACTCCTGGGTTCATGGAGAAACTGAGCCTGGGACGCCATGGCTCTGGAAGCCATGGGAATGGTATCTTCTATTCTGGATTCTGCTCTCCAGAGTCACAGGTCCCTGGTAGCATGGAACACTCTCTCAGAACTCAGAGAGTTCTCAGACAGTAGAACTTGGCAGCCCATTGAGCTGCTGGAGTAGGCTCTAGTCTGTGACTGTAGTCTTGGATGCCGTAAGAGAAGACTCCTGAGCCCCAGAGAGTGCACAGTCAGATCTAGGATGGAAGGGAGGAATAAGGTCACTCACACCTGAGAGACCACCTCCTCAGTTTGTCCTCATTGCTCCTTCTCCCCAGCCGCCTTGCCCCACTGCCATTTTTGGGACCTCTCTCTGTCTCTCGGTATACCTGGTATAATGACAGTGACACCTCACCAAGGTCCATGAGCAATGCTTCTCTGCCATCTTTCTTGTGGCTAGTTTGACTTTCAGCCACTAACATTTATTGAGCACTCACTGTGCTCCAAACACTTTGTCTGCCTTAAACATCATAATATCGTACAAGAGAAGTGCCATTATTAGTCTCAGTCTTCAGACATAGAAACTTTGGCTCAGAGAAGTTGAGTGATTGGCACAAGGTCACACAGCCAGTATGAGAATGTGCCAGGGTTCTGGCTTTGGCCACCAGATTCCCAGCCCAGCAGTGTGAGCCCTATGGTCTCTCTGCATTATGGAATAAAGGGTACCAGACCCCAAATAGGAAAAAAATCATTCTCTCAAGACTCTAGGCCATCTTCACTGGAGCAAGTGATTCTACTTAAAAAATAAAATCTCAGAGCAGATGGGATCAAAATCTATAAAGTGCAGGGAATGTGGACAAAGTGGACAGAAATTACCAGAGACACAGCACACTCCAGGAGGTTCAAAGGAGTGGTGTTTGGAACAAATAAAAGGAAACGCTACATGACATAAAATATGGTAGGCCTAAAAATAGAAAGAATTTTAAAACAAGTTTAGAAAATGTGTAAATGGATGACTCACTCATTCTTGCCACAAGTGTGTTCTGTGTCTGTGCTTTGCAAGCCCAGTAGGAGTTCAGTCGGAGAGCGATGGGATTCACCATGACACCAGCCTTTGATTCCTTTACATTCTTGCAGTTACCTACCCACTCTGTGGGCCTAAAAATCATACATCTCGTTACTGGGGTCAAGCTTCTTCTCAACAGTCCACTAGTGGCCCCTAACACTGACACGGTTTTTAAGTTTATTTTCTAGTTTATTCTAATGCTTCCTTGGAGTTATTACAGTTGTCCATGCCTTGGAGCTACTCCATGGGGTAGTGAAGAGAATGCTGGTTCAGGTGTTAGATGGACCTGAGTTCAGATCCTGGTTCTGCTGCTCAGCAAATGGGTGACCCAGAGCACCCTCTGCGGCACAGTTGCCTCAAAGCCCTGGCTTCACTGGGTGTTGTGAAAGATAAATGGGGCTGTGTAGAAGGCACTCCACAGTTCCTGGCATTAAGTAATACTTAGTAAATTACAGTAGTAGTAGCTGTTGTTGTTAGAAGGAAATACCATGCTTAGCATTCCCTCGGGGTAATGGTATGTCCACCCTGGTGTGGGGGCCATAAGCAGCAAGGATAGCCACTGAAGCATAGAGAGGAAAATGGGGTTCCAGACCCCTAAGCCCTCCAGGCTGCTCCTTCAGATGCAGGGAAGGCAGGCGCTGTGTGGTCCACAACATGACACAGGAGGACACAGCCCTGTAGTGAGCCTAGCCCCATGAAGGAGTGGGTGAAGCACCCAAGTTTGCTCCACTCAGAATGTGCCAGAAGCCCTCCTGGGGTAAGCAAAAGGCCAGTTAGATCTCTTGAATCTTCTCTATGCCTCAACCTCATTCCCTTGCCCCACTCAAACCTGCAGAGTCCCTGGTCCCTTCAACGGTCCCTGGGCACTGCCAGGAGCTGGGGAGGATAGGCCCTGTTCCGTGGTTTGTGCCCACAGCAGGAACCGCTGGCATTCCAAGGCCACAAAGAACAAAAGCCAATCCTGAGTCTGCTGAAAAGCCCTGGGCCTGGGTTTTTTCCTTGGCACTTCCCCAAGAACAGCTGTCAGGAAGGCAGCCACTCCAGGGCCCTGGCACTGGTTGGAGAGGATTCCTGCGCCCTGACTCCTGCTGCTCTGGGCTGGACCACAGGGGCCTAGCTGAGGGGAGGGCATTCCTGCCCGGTGAGCTGCTCTCATTCTTATGGTTTTCATTGAAATGTGCCTGTGGAAGAATCACCAGCAGAGTATCATAGAGAAATATGACCCTCCAGGATACCTCTAACAAGGATCAGATAGTAATGGGCAGATGATGTAATGCACCACTCTCTCAGGAGCAAATGAGATAAATGGAAATGTTCATGGAGGCTTACTGAGCAATGGAGGTTTCAGCAGTGGCTGTTCCCACCTTCACCATAAGGTCTGTCCTCAGTGTAGTTGTGAATGGAGTCAGTGTAGTTGTGTGGAGTCAGTGTAGTTGTGAATGGGAGCTTAAATGGAGGGCTTTACTCTGGGCACACCAACTCTCTTACAGCAATGGGGATGGAGCTGGAGGCTGTGATCCTAAGCAAATTAATGCAGAATCAGAAAATTAAATGCTGTATGTTCTCACTTATAATTGGGAGCTAAGCATTGAACACACAGAGACATCAGTATGGGAAAAATAGACTCTGTGATCTACTTGAGAGTGGAGGGAGAGGGATGGGTTAAAAAAACTACTTAACTTGGGGCGGCCTCTACAGCCAGCCCCGCTTGTCTCTCACAGGATCCCTCCTCCTGCTCCTGGCATGCTCCTGGCAGCCATGAGCCCGCCCGGTTGCATGCCCACTCGCCTCTGCCTGGAGGAGTGCTGCCGCGGGGGCGCGCCCCAGGTCCCCTACCCTGAGCCCTGATGCCCAGCTCCAGCGTCAAGATGCCAGAAGAACAAGAACCCAGCGCCGGCCTGACCTACCCAGCGCCTGCGCCCCGGCCTGCAAGACACCACGCCCTCCTCTGCTCTGCGTGGTGCGTGGAGGGGCCCCTTCGGATCGATCGCAGCCGCTGCCACCATAGCCGCCACCATAGTCGCTGAGGCAGGCGTCAGTGGGAAGGACCTGAGAGTGGCTTTCCCAGCCGGCTGCCACACAGGACCTCTGGATGCTTAGCCCGCCCGGCCGAGAGCTCTAAAGTCAAGGCATGACTTAACAGCTTATCTTGGAGGAGAACAGCTCAACTCAAAGGCAGATTGCCAGTTCGGAGTTTATTACAAGCAGAACTGCTATGATGTGCTTTTAGCACTGAAGTGAACTCCATTGTAAGTACAGAAAGTGGCATCTCTGCTTTCCCCCAGAAGCACAATCGTATACACCTTGCAGACGAATCACTGAAGATGTAAGCCAACTGTTACTCTGAGTTTCGGAGACCCCCTGTGGACAGCATGAAGCCTGTCCCTGATCAAAGTCTTAGTAAGCAGGAAGGAGTCAAGGTTAAGGAATGCGTCTGATTACCCTGAACTGTAGTACCTTGGAAAGTGAACCAAGGCTTGAGTTTTGTTCTGGAAGCCTGCCTTGCCTGCTTCTGTAATCTGGCGCTCTGCATGTGAATCTTGGATCTATATGGACACTGCTATATGTTACTGTCATGATTCTCTGCTCTTCCATGAGCTCAGACTTGGCACCTTATTTTACTTCTGAGCCACCTCTACCGTCCAGAAAGGTGGTGGACCTGTAGAACTACATTGTTCTGCCAAACCTGTGACCACTCATAGCTCATGGTTGCATAATGGAAAAAAGGATAGAAATATGGAACATACAAAGCTTCATCAGGGGACTTTGACAATGCTTTCTCTGAACTTCTCTCTTTTGGGTTTCTACCAATCCATTGCCAACAATAGCGTTGGTATTATTTTGAGTGGCCCTGTAACAGTATCCGTGGCAGTTTTTGGTGATTTTGGTTCATCCACAAAGTATGTTATTACAGAGGAGGAAAAAGTGCTGTCAGGATAATAGAAACGATGTCAGCTGTGATCGTGCAGAAAATCCAGAAGAGTTCAGCAGAGGAGACAGCTGTGTCTATTCAGAAACAGACAGCAACATTTTACGTTGGAATCCTCTTATTCTGCCACCTATCTCAGAGGACTGTGCTGAAGAGACAACATGGCCTCCGCCTGGTGTTCCTTTGCACAGCCCCTCAGGGGTCCTCCAGCAGCTCCAGGAAACTGGAGGATGTGCAAACAACCAGTCATGTTCCAACTTCAATCCTGTAACTAACTGCACAAAACAGGCCTGGGAGTGAACTGTTTGAAGGACCTTAATTCAAATCAGAGAAAATGACTATTTTTTTTTTTTTTGTAGCATAATGTCATGTCAATGTGTCTTAAAGTGTGAGCCCTTTTATATTATTTATGCCTTAAAAGTTTTCTTACCCATTCCTTCCTTCTTTCAGGAAGAAACAACCTTGTTTTGCATAGCTTTCAATCACCTGGAGGGCAGAGGGATCATTCCATGTTTTCTAACAACCATAGTGGCAGTAAGAACTCCTCATGCAAACGATTCCGTCTCTTGGATGCTTCTGCTCAGAGGAAATGCAGAGGCCAATTGAAGGTTGCCACCAGTGAGGTTTTCAGGTGGAAAACTGTCTTTTAATAGTGTATTATCAAACTTTCTGAGAACACTTTGAAGTCAACCACAGTTTTGACCCAGTGTTTATAATAGCAGACCTGGCCGTTGAATTTTTTAAGAGTGCCTTCCACCAAAGTGGTAACGTGACCAGACGACTTTCTCTCTATCTGCACGTAGGCACAAGTGATGTTCAGTCTTCTAGGCGCTAGTCATAAGTGGTGTCGTGGACATGGTAGAGTGTGAGATGTAGTTGAATGATTGCAGTATGCAGAAAAGGAACCAAGACCAGAGAGACAAATAATGCCTTACTATCCCTCTGCTTTAAAATTCATTGATTGATAAAATGGCTGGTATGGGGCTCTTTTTGACTGCTTCTAAGAGTAGGAACAAAATAAGACTTTAAGTCGTGGCTTGAAAAGAAAGATACACATTTTCAGAAGAAAGAAAGGGGAGGGCTGCAGGGAACCTGTCTTGGAGGGAGCTCTTCAGTCAGCTCCATTAGCCTAGGAGCGTGCTCATGGTGTCACACTGCCAGTAACTAGTCACTCTCTCACTTCCAACAGGGGCAACAGCCTGAAGGTGTGAGTGTCAGAAAATACTTACTTTGGAAGAAAGGTGTGTTTTTTGTTGTTGTTGTTGTTTTTTTTTACCCTGAAGTTTCCTGACTTTTTTTTTCCAGAATGTCTTCCTTGTAAACAGGCACCTAAAGCATCGGTCAGCAGAGTTCCTGATGACTGCTACCTCTGTGTGACAAGGACATTTGCAGCTGTCTTTGGAAGGCTATTCTCCACATTAATAAATGATAATAATGATGATAATATATTTTTTAAAAACTACCTATTGGGTACTATGCTGACTACCAAGGTGACAGGATCTGTATTCCAATGACAGCAGTAATGCAAACATACAATTCTGTAGCCACTTATATTTTAATAGCATTATACTCTTTTAACCATCCTCATCTTGTATATAATCTCATTGTATGTTAGAATACAGCTATTAGAGCAATAAGGAAGAATGGATAAATAATCAGGTTTTTGTTTTTGTTTTGTTTTGTTTTGTTTTTCTTTGAGACAGGCTCTCACTCTGTCACCCAGGTTGGAGTGCAGTGGTGAGATCACAGCTCACTGCAGAGTCGATCTCCCCAGATCAAGCAGTCCTCCAACCTCAGCCTCGCAAATAGCTGGACTACAGGCTGAATTGTCATGCCTGAGTAATTTTGTTGTTGCTGTTGTTGGAGAGACAGGGTCTCACCCTGTTGCCCAGGCTTCTCTCCAACTCCTGGCTCAAGTGATCCTCCCACCTCAGCCTCTAAAAGTGCTGGGACTATATATATATATAATATACATGTATATATGTATATTTTCTGTATCTATAATAATAGTCCTTGGAAAATTAGCTTACTGCTTGAAAAAATATATATGAATGACCGCTTTGAAATATATGTATTTTATATATATACATATCTATATACACACACACATATATATGCATATATATGCAACCTTCCAGTGACAGTAGGTACGCTTTTGGCTTCTGAGATGAACATATTCATGATGATAAATATTTACTATGAATTCAGCTAAACATGAAACTCAGCAATATTCATGTCTATTTTTCTCTATTTCTACCTAAATCTGTATTTGAAAAGTTGTGCCTAAGCCTTCCTAGTTAGTTAGATTTTTATCCTTTACCATTCAATGCGTGTGTGGCTTGGAGACTGTTTTCACAGATCAGGAAGTTGACAATTATGTCCCACATTCAGTGGACTAACAACTCAGAGATCCTCTCTGTCATTAAACTTGTAGATCAGAGTTACTCCTTATAGATGGAGTCAGCCTTTTTTAGACTTTGTCCTCAGCAATCCTCATTAAAGGAGGCATTATTTTCTTGCTTTAAATAAATTCAAAAAACACATATCAGAAACTTTTGATATGTTTGTTGTGTGCCATATTGTCAGTAATTAAATTAAATACTAGAAAATACACCATTAAATATGATATTTGATATACAGTTGGCCCTCCATATGATAGGGTTCTGCATCCATGGATTCAACTCATCATGGATTTAAAAATTTCAGGAAAAGAATTGAATGATTACGTTTTCACTGAACATGTGCAGACTTTTTTTTGCTTGTCATTATTCCCTAAGTCATATAGTGTAACAACTACTTACATAGCATTTACACTGCATTAAGTATTTTAAGTAATCTAGAGATAATTAAAGTACATTGGAGGATGTGCTTAGGCTACATGCAAATACTTCACCATCTTATGTAAGGACATCTGAGGATTATTAGCATCCAAGATTTTGGTATCTGTGGGGAGTCCTGGAATCAATTTCCAGTCGATACTTAAGGAAAGGCTTCATACCAAGTTAACATGACCAAAATATACATATTTCTGATAATAAGGATATTTTACTGCACATGTGTCTTAAAAATTTCAAAGACCTTAATAAATTTGGAATTTTATTAAAGTGTAATGAGGCTTCTGAGTATTCTGTATTTTCTGAAGCAAAAAGTGAGTCTTACTTTCTATTCTGGTAATGACATGTTCCCAGGTAACTGTCTGTAGGATGCCATCGGTGAAATTACTAAAACCTAACAGGTTTTCAGTCTTTTATCTGTATCATTGTCATTCTGTTAAGATCTGTGTCCATCAATAGTTTGTTCCTGAGCTAAAGAAAATTGACTGAGCCTATCAATTTGATAAGCATCCAATTTATATCTTCATTAAATAATATTTCTCAGTATCCCTGTTGATTTTGGTTACATTCAGTAGCCAAAATCAATAGTAATACAGGGGTAAATTTGGTAGCCTTTTAAATAGTTGTATCATATGTTTTCATCAATTAGTTTGTGCATTTATTCTTTTATTCAAACAGACAATTATTGAATATCAGTTATATCTTAACCATTGTCTACTTTCTTGGAATATAACTGTATGTAGTACAAACACAATCCTTTTCTTGTAATTTGAAAAGCAGAAAATAAGCCTACTATTACATTGTGAGTTTTACAAAGAAAAGTATAAGGTTTTCTGAGTCTTTAAAACAAATAGCCTAATCTAGCCCAGGAGCTAAAGAAAGAATTCCCTGAAGAAATATTGGAACTTACACTTGATGAAATGTGACTTAGCAGATGTGGAACAGAGAAAAGGAAATTCCGGTTCAAGGGGAAGAACCCCGTGCTCTTGCATTAACCCATCAGTTTGGATAAACACACGCAGGTATTCATTTACCTGGGCTGGCTTGGAAATCTAGGGGAAAAAAAAGATACAGCATAAAAGAAAAGACATGCACAGTATTCTAAGAGAGAGTAGTTTAATGAAAATCAAAACAAATGTATACCTCCGCAATTTAAAAATGGTACAAATTTTATAGAAACAGATAAAGAAAATCAAGTAGTCAGTAGGTTAGCATTTTCAGAAGATGGTGTTTCTGATACCTTTAGTCATGTTACTGACCTATCCCTGATTCTGTGAGTGCAAACGTCTAAGAGTGTAAGGGAAAGAACCTGAGAGGCTACAAATGAGAAACCTGTTGGCCACATTAACAAAGCTTACCATACCAGATTCATAATCTAGAAACATCCCTATCTGTCCTAGAGGCCTTTCTGTATACTGAGGTAATAGTGAGGAAGAGGTCTTGAGATGACACCAGTAGCCTTCTTGACACGAAATGTAGAAAAAAATTCTTGGAGTTAACCAGCATGTCATTTCTTATTGTCCAAGAATCGTTGCAAAATCCAACAGCCCAGTTCCAACACTGCCCAACATCCACCTCTCAGTAATATCTTCAAAAGTGAATGGCAGGGCTTGCCATCAAGAAAACAGATTTTGTTGGAGCTGGGGCAATGCTGAGATCATCAGAACCAAAGAGTAGCTGTCTCAGAACTTCAAACGAGGGGGATGCAAGAAGTGGTTATTTTATTATCCCGGGAAATATGTGCTGCAGGAATAAGAAAACAGTCACATGAAAACACAGTGTTATAAACTTCTAATGGAGGTGGGCTTTGCATAGTGTCTACATATGTCAGGTTGTCACTGGAAATATGGGTCAGGACAGCAGGAATACTCGTGAAGTTTACTGATGTTCAAGGGTTACTCCATATTCATAACAAGCAAATCCTGAACCAGAAAAATGGGGAAAAATTACAATATTTTTTGGAATCTATAAAGAACAGAAATTATTGCTAAGCTCACATGCCCTAGAACATTTAAATTTGTAGAATTTTTAATAATTCGAAGTGAGTAGCAAAAGCAGCTTGCTCTTATTCTCAGAAAAATAATGTAAATAATAACTCTTATTTTAAATAACCACTTTGTCTCCGATTTACGGATTTTTCACTGAAGCATGCATAGGTATAATAAAGTAAAAGAAAATCCACATATGCTTTTGAAAGATTTCTTTGTGAGAATTCTCTGCCAGAGTATCTCTTGAGAAAGGGATAAATCCAGTGAAATTAGTTGCCAGTTGACTTTGTGGCTGTTGTTATAAATATTCCTCTAATGATTTTAATATCGTGGATGATTATACAAACTATTTTGTGTATTGTTATACACCACTGTAATACTGAGTGTCAGTAACCACAAGCTGGGGCTTGACAAGCTTACCTGAGGCAGGCATCCTGCTTCCTCAGACCCAGCTTCCCTAAGGGCACCCTACAGCCTTTCCATTTGAAGTTGGAATCCACCATCTGCTACCTACAAAAGCCCCAAATCCTTGAGGGTCTTTTCTTTTGCTTCTTTACACCCTGCTTTCACCATACACTGTCAGAAATACTTACCCTTCCCCCATAAGTCCTGGCGTAATTTGGGGCTGTTATGTCAATTTCTTTATACACTTTGACAATTAAAATTGGAAATGGTAATTTTCTCTACGTGATTTCTCTATAGTTCCTTGAAAATAATAGCCCTGCCTAACAAACAAACAAACAAAATCTTTCTACCCTTTAAGAAGGGGAAGACTAAATATACTATGAAGGAGGGTACATTTTCATAAGAAACTATGTTCCCACTTCAGTATGAGACTGATCACTGTTACAGTTCTCAAAACTTGAATATAGGAAGAAATTTACCTTTCTAACACATTTCTAAAATTAGGTAAGAAAGAATAGAGAAAGTCTTAGCATTCATCACAAAATTCATAGTGAAGGCTTAATTTATTAGATTCCTGAGGATGGGTGAGCCCAAAGTTTATAGCAATTGGTATCCAGGAAATGGCCATCGAGGAAATATATTGCATGGATTCCCAAATTTCTAAATATCTGAATATATTTAAATACAAATTCAAAAAGCTTCAAATAAACTTTTTTACTGCAGTTTTTCAGCAATTGAATGAATTTTGAAAGGAAATTTTTTTCTGGGGTGTTTTCTACTGTTTTTGTTTGTTTGTGTTTTGCTCCTGGATCAAGAAAAACTGACTTTGTCTCTTTTGTTACTAGACAAGCAATTCACTTTCAAGCATCATGAAAGCATCATTCCAAACACATCACAGAAGGCAAAGAGAATGAGGTCATTTTTCCCAGTGGACTCTCTTGTTCTCAGTCCTAATCTGGAGCAGCTCCAGGTCTGGTTTATGGTACATTTCCTTCAGTTTCTTATACATTCCTCCTACGGCTTTCTCCTTTCATTTCATTCTGTCTTTACTGTCTTTACTTCTCTTTGCTTTCCTATTCCAGTCTCTCCAAGTGACATTCCTCTTCCTCATAAAGCAAATGACAAACTCTGCAATACACAGCATGAATCATCTTCCTCTGTAGATTCACATGACCCTGAAGTAATAATGAAATCATTGGAACACATAGTCTACTTTTATTCATGCCTTTTTATTTCTTGTTTTATCTTAAGATATTTAGCAATTTGTTGCAATGAATGAACCAAAAATTAGAGACTGGTTTCTCTTTCGTTTCTTCCTTTTCTTTCCTTCTTTTCTGTGTATGTATGTATATATGTATTTGCACCAGAAGTCAAAATCTGGCCTTCAACTCTTTGCCCTCAAGTATCTACACTTGATTTAAAAATGGTAGCTTATGATTTGATAATTAATTATCTTATAATACACAAAAACCTCATTACTAAATCCGTTTAGTTTCTTTATTCTCAAATATTTTACCTGTACGCTGATTCTTTATTCTCAAAAACAGTAGCGAATATTACTTCATAGAATGACATAAGATGTTTCCAAAATTTTTTCTTTTAGCAATTCAAAAACTACCTGCTAACCAGAGCCTGACCCCATTAGTGCAACTTGCTTCTTCTTTTCTAAGGCTTTGCCCTACACGTAGAAGCTGACTTCCATGCTATTCTCAGAGACATTATTCAACAGACAATCGCCTTCCAATATTAATTTCCTCTCTCACTTTCTTGTTCTCGCCTTCTCTTTGTTATTTTCTCTCAATTTTAAAACCTACTTTATTTACTCCCACTGTTTCGAAATAAAACTAAATAGCTACATTGACCCAATATCTTCACTTGATTTTTGTGCTATCTCCTTTGTCCATAACAAAGCATATTCCTGACCACATGAGTATGTTCGCTGTACTCATTTGTGAAACTTTCCATCTTTCTTCAACTCAATGAAATCTTTCATACCCAACAGTTTACACAAACCATGTTCTTCATCTCACCACCAATATCCTTTGAACTACATTCTTTATCTGACCACGAACTTCCTTTGCTAAACCCACATATTTTGATTCCCATTATTTCTAGTCCTTTCTTCTGTAAAACTCATACAAACTTGGTTTCTGAAAATTATTTTTAAAAATAAAATAAAACCTTCTCTCATATTTTTCTTCTATCAACTCATGTTTACCAGTTTTTCTTTCCTAGCCTGGCCCATTAATACATGGATTACAGAAGGTGTTTTATTTAACCCCACCCCTCCACTGCCTCCTTGGCACTTTCCTGATTAACCTGAAAGCTCCAGAACTGGGGACAGCTGGTTCCCCTTTCATTCCCCCATATGGAGGTTGGGTTGGGTGGCCTCGCAAAGCCCCAGCTGCCTTTACATATTTTGGTAGCGGTTCAATTGTCTTTCTGGAAAATAATCATTTCAGATCACTAATTTAACCCACCCACTTTCACTTACACATACAAAGAATGTGCAGGGAGGAAGCAGAGTTTTCTTTCATCCTGGAGCTGTGGATGATGGACAGAGAAGCTGACTGCTTTCTCTCTGCACACTCTCTGAAAAAGCCTTAGTTCCTCCTCCCTGCACTCCCTGCAGCCCCTCTCTTTACCCTCCCAAGACCTTTAGTGCTCACACTTTATCCAGCTCATGTAGATACTATTCCCAGTAACCAAAATCTCCCGCCATTATTAACACAAGAGGAATAGAGGAGAAATCCATCCCCCATCCCTACTCCTGTCAGAGCAAGACAGCCACCCCAAACATCCGTTCATCTCCAGAATTTTCCCACTACTAATAAGGAATGGTCAAGATCAACCCTTTGGGTGCCTTTTTCTAACCTCCTTTCCCAAGTGTAGCTGACTTAATTGAAACATTTTCTAAAGCCAAAAACTTGCACTTGAATTTGCTGATAGTTTGCTGGAGACACCTCATGGTCCACAGTACCATATCTGAGAGTAAACCACACAGTCAGGTAATTAGCCATTGTGAAAGATGGGGGTGGTAGCTGCTTGTTATTAGGGATTCTATACATTTCAGATCTCTCTCTCGTATATGCAATATATATATGTAATGTATTATATATGATACTGGAAGTAAACTACATATTAAACAATATATAACACATATATTCATGTATATGTATAATATACATATATATATTATATATAGCTAAAGACATAGATACATAGATATGTAGATAGATATGTACCTCTAGCTCTACCTATGGTATTTCTTTCTGACTCGTCGTCACTGTTGCTCAGGCTGGAGTGCAGTGCTGCTATCTCACTCACTTCAAATTTTGCCCCCCAGGTTCAAGCTATTCGCATGCCTCCGCCTCCTAAGTAGCTGGGAGTACAGGCATGCGTCACCACACTCTGCTAAT
This sequence comes from Homo sapiens, assembly GCF_000001405.40. Classification (NCBI taxonomy): domain Eukaryota; kingdom Metazoa; phylum Chordata; class Mammalia; order Primates; family Hominidae; genus Homo; species Homo sapiens. The sequence continues at coordinate 95,445,183 of NC_000002.12, forward strand.
CTTTGTATTTTTAGTAGAGAGGGGGTTTCACCTTGTTGGCTAGGCTGATCTCGAACTTCTTACCTCAAGTGATCTGTCTGCCTGGGGCACCAAAAGTGCTGGGATTACAAGTGTGAGCCACCACACCAGGCTTATAATACATTCCTGGATGAGGTGTTTTGGAGCAAGGATGGGCAAAAAGGCTGCTAGGTAGGGTCCTGGAGGGATACTGCAGGGACCAGGAGCAGTGCTTGGAGGAGGAGAGGATCAGGACATACTGCAGAAATTGACCTTCAGGAATAGCTGGAGGTGGCCAGGCACAGTGATGGAGCTGGATCCAGTGAGGTGGGGCGGAGATTTCTGCTGGGCTGGAAACCAAGAGGACTGCCCAGAGACACTTCTGTCAAGGTTGCAGCCAAAGAGTATAAGCTCACTGTATCCCTGGCACTAAGGTTCTTTTAAGAACGCTAGTTGTTACTTCATGAACAGTCATATCAAGGCATACTATTTTTGGAAAGGCATTTTCTTCCCTCTGCCCTCTCCTTAAATAAGAAACAAAGAACAATAACAACAACAGCATGTCCTATTGATGCTATTTGTATGGAACGAAACTTGAACTTTTATAAGGTAAAGATCGGTCAAGATAGCTTTCCTAGCATCCTGACTCTAGAGCTCTCCTGTTGATTCCATAAGGTATTCAATAATAAGAGCGTCGACTTTTTGCTCTGTCCTGGTTCTGCTTCTGTCTCCACTTACTTTATGGGGGCCTTCGCTTTTTTTGATCCTATTGTGTCAGCCTTGTTTAATATGTAGTTTACTCCCAGTATATTCTTCTCAGTATGGAATTTGATCCTGGAAGAGAATTTGGGCTGGTTATTTTAAGAGCTGTAGAAGCCATATGGTCCCAGCCGCTTTTTATCTTATCCTGCACTCTTGCTTATTGATGTGTGCAAACTCCCACCCTACTCAGTTTCAGCAGCTCTTTTTTAATTACCTTGCACACTTTCTAATGAATCCTCGTTGCTGACTTGGGGCGTTCTCAAATCTACATGTGTTCTGTTCACCCTCTCTGCTTCATCCTGAAAGGATTCTGATTCCTCATGGATATTGCTGTTGCACCTGATTTGTCTGTGACTATTCATATTTGGGATTTTTGTAGGGTACATTGTCACTCAGTGTTGTTGTAGATATTGTTCATGAATTTTGATTTTGTTATTCTAGATTTTACTGTTTTTCTTTAGAGGTTTGGAAATGGTCTGTAAGTATACTGCACCTCTCTAACTTTTCAGAATTTTAAGGTGCAAATTTTTAAAATGTGCAAACAAGGAATGCCTCTAAACTGGATCTCAATGTGTTTAGCAGGTTCCATGAGCTGTGTGTAACAGAAGACCAGAACAAAAGAATTGTAGAAGTAGCTTCTCCACAGGCATCACGGCCTTCTTCTCTTCGAGTGTTTCGGTATGCTGTTTCCTCTGTCTGGACGTCACTTCCACTTCCAATACTTCTTTTTTGAATTAATACTTGTTTTATCAAGGATAAATTTTGATTTAATTGCCTTGCAGAAACATTTTTACATTTAAAAAATTGTATTGTACTTTCTATCAATTGCATTGCATTCAAGGATCTCCCATTATTATGTACAAATATATATATAGTGTGTATACCTATACATATACACATACATATATATACACACACATACATATACACACACCCATAGAATCAACACTATTTTTTAAAATTTCTGGTACTTAGGTCAAAGTTGGGATCAAATTCTAGCAAGGGTGCAGGTCTTTATGCATTGCAGACAAATATCGTTCATTGAATTTTTATTTATTGAATGTAATATATCTTGTTATGTAATATGCATTACTTAAAGGTTTTGTTGGAATTAAATAAAGGAGAAATATGGATGATGAAAGGAATAAAGGAAAAAAAATGTGAAAATCAACCTAACATTTTCTGTAAATCTACTGTGAGATAGGTACTTTATAAGCATTAAGTGTAACCTTTACCTATATGTAATCTCACTGTAATTTTTTTGGTTTTTTTTTTTTGGTTTTGTTTTGAGATGGAGTCTCGCTCTGTCACCCAGAGTGGCCCGCAGTGGCATGATCTGGGCTTATTGCACCCTCTGCCTCCAAGGTTCAAGCAATTCTCTTGCCTCAGCCTCTTGAGTAGCTGAGATTACAGGCAAGTGTCACTGCACCCCGGTAATTTTTGTATTTTTAGTAGAGAGGAGGATTCACCATGTTGGCCAGGCTGGTCTCGAACTCCTGACCTCAAGTGATCTGCCACACTCAGCCTCCCAAAGTGCTAGGATTATAGGCATGAGCCACCATGCCTGGCCTAATCTCACTGTAATTTTATTCCCACTTCATGAATGTATAGATGAGGTAACAAAAGCGAAGAGATCATTATTTTAACCAATGATATTTTATTATAATAGCAAACTCAGAAGTTCAGTTTCTATTTGTCAGTACTTCTGCTTTTTAAACCAAATAATACCATCTTTAACTCTGAGTGTCACGAAGTCAAGAATTGTACCTTTCATCTGTGTGTCACACATAAGGAGGGCAAGACTTAAAAAAGAGTAGATGCTGAATGAATTTTAAAACGCTGTATTTAAAATCACAAGCAAAGCCCCAACTGCATTTGTACATCTCACCATCTAGCCTGAGCTATAGGCCTTACTACCACTTAGTGGCAAATGTGAATTATGGTATCTTCTAAATTGGAAGTAAAAAGAATCAGATCTTTAAAGTTAATTTTGCAAACTTGATGTTAAGAAGCGAAACAAGGGGCATAATATGCAAATACATTTTCTAAATAAATTCAACCCATCAGCCATCTAGAATTCATGAAAAAATGGTGAAAATGCCTAAATCCCCAGAATCTGTAAGAAAATGAAAGTGTGATAGTAAATTTTATGTGTCAGCTTGAATTGGTCTCTGTAAAGTAGGTTTCCCTCCCCAGTAGCTCCTGAATAGAACAAAGGGCAGATGATAGAGGAGTTTGACCCTTTTGTTCCTGCCTCACTTCTTAAGCTAGTACATCTCATCTTCTCTTCTCTTACCCTTGACCTGGGGTTTACACCATTGGCTTCCCTGGTCCCCAGGCCTTCAGACTCAGATTGAATGACACCTCTGGCTTTCCTAACTGACCAGCTTGCAGATTGCAGATCATGGTATTTTTTGCCTCCACAATTTTGTGAGCCAATTCTTCATCATAAAATTGGTCTTTCTGGGTGGGCGGATCACTTGAGGTCAGGAGTTCGAGACCAGCCTGGCCAACATGGCGAAGCCCTGTCTTTACTAAAAATACAAAAATTAGTCAGGCGTGGTGGCGGGTGTCCGTAATTCCAGCTACTTAGGAGGATGAGGCAGGAGCATCTTTTGAATCTAGGAGGCGGATGTTGCAGTGAGCCCAGATCGCACCACTGCACTGCAGCCTGGGCGACAAGACACCGTATCTGTCCCTCTCTGTCTCCTCTCTGTATTATTCTATCTCTCCCTCTGTCACTCTGTTTCTCTCTCTATGTTGGTGCTACTGTTTCTCTGAAGGATGATGACTAATACACTAAGGAAAAATTACATAAATATATGATAAATTTAACAAAATAAATTTTTAAAAATCGATATACATTATAAAGTTAACCAAATAATAATAACAGTAAATAGCAATTTTCTTTTTTTATAATTTATTTCAAATGTACACATCAGCATAATTTTCATGATTTTAAATTCTGTAAGCATTAGATTGAAAGTCAGAAGCAAGCCAAGAACATATTACTTTATTATTGCTTAACATTCTCCTGGATACTTTAATCTGATACATTTAGAGGTATAAAATGGTAAATATTTTCATTATTTTCTGAAACTTATTTACCTAGAAAAAACTTTTAAATAAAAATTTATTAAGATATCTAGGGACAAAATAAACACATGATAGTCAGTGGTTTTCATACAAAAAGTATACATCTACTTCTGTGATGCTTATATTCATGAGAACAAAATATGAAAATAGCCAGAAATGTTTAAGAGAATGAAGGTATACTGAGAAGGCACTAACCTCAGGTTGATTTTCAAACATATTAGTAAACCAAAAAAAATTAAAACAATGTTATATTGGTGCATGAATTCATAGAGCAGATAGTGAAACAGAATAGTGTATTTATCTATATGTGTCTTTCTGTGCATCTTTCTATCAATCCTGAGTGCTTAAGGTGAGATTCACTTGCACCTGAATCAGCAGAAAATATTTGGAGCTTCAAGAATAAATGCAGATGGCACTTAGAGATGCTGCACCCGATGTCATAAGGGATTCTGTGGAGGAGCTCATTCCAATGAAATAGGTAAGTTTTTATTTTGTATTTTCATTTTTTTGGAAATGAGAAAGAAAAGTCTCAATGAAAGCTAAGAGTCAGACATATATACGGAAATATTGCTGCCTACTCCCAGGCATGCGAGTGACCAACTCCCTACTTCAGGGAGTGGAGGAGTGAGATATCAAGAGTACAACAATTTTGTTAAGACACCTACCCCACCTTTCATCAAATATCCCCAAGCCTAGACTAAGTGCAGGAGTCCTGAAAAACATTTCCACAGGGAAGGTCGGGGTCCCAGGCTCATGGGTGTCTTCTTACTGCCTTTAGCAGAACAAAAATGAGTAAAGCAAAGCTTCTTGCTTCAGAAATATTCAGTCTAGTACAGTGTGTATCCTACATCTAATCATCGCTTCATTCCAGAAGCTTTAATTGCACAAAATTCACTGGGAAAGGCATGATATTTGTCTGTTTTTTAAGGATAAGGTTGGTATTGGCTCAAACTTATATTTATTCTCCGCAAAGAGTCCCTCCCAGGTTTGTAATCCTGATGTAAGAGGGTGCTGCACCAAGTTGCTTCTTTCCAACCTGTCCTACTTTGTGTAGAGGAGGAGAGCGGGGAAGGAAGAAAAGAGAAAAAAAAAAAGCAAAGAAGTAAAAAGAGGCAGAAGGACAGTCCCTTTTCCTTGACACGGATGGCATGAATGGGCTTTTGCGGAGAAACTCTGCCTGACCCTGGAGTCTGAGTCAGGCAGAGTCTGAGTCAGGTGGAGTCCCAGTTAGAAGTCCTCTGAGGAAGCTGCACTAGAGTCACTGCCCTCAGACATCAACTTCCATGTCTTCCCCACTGCTGCAGTCTAAAGAGTTACTGCTTTCTTCCTCTTCGCCATCTTTCTTCCTGTTCTCTTCTGGTTCCATGGAGACCTGACAGTTTACCCAAATAGTCTGTGATGCCTCTGTTCCTGCAGCCTGGAGCCCCTGCCCCTCCCCAAACCCTTCTTGCAGACCCTTTGCTGATGAGGACTGCGGATCTGTTTGTTTCAAGCTGGGGGCCGGGCCTCCCATCATCGCCATATTCTTACCCTTAGCATAGGTCGATTCTTTGTACGCAGCATAATCTTCAGGTGACAAAGTCTTGAGCCAGAGATCCAATTCCACTTTGTATTCCTTCTGCAGCAACTCAGCCTGGCTCTTGTAATGATCCTTCTGGCTCTGCGGGATGCGCTGCCAGCGTCTGCCAATCTCTACCATGCGCTCCCTCAGGGACAAATGTTGCAGCTCCTTACTTGACCAGGAATCTTGGTGAAACTTGTGGTATCCATTCATGGGGGGTTTCTGAGGCTCTCCATGAAATTTTACCTTCTTGAAAAATTGATCCGTTTTTGGAAGAGACGTCACTTCTTCAATATTTTTCTGAACTTTCTTTTGCACTTTGGTTTGAATCCTCTTGGAGATATCAGATTTCTTGCCCTTCTGGTCTAAATCAGGGTGCTCTTCCCTGAATCGAACAAGTTTTTCCTCAAATTCTTGCTTTTCCTTCTGGAAATCCTGAATATATTTCTGTTTCATCTGCTCTGGGAGCTCCTTGTATTTCTTTGACAGGATTTTGGTCAGTTCCTGGCTTCTCATCCCAGGGTACATTTGGGAGTACTGGGGCCAATTCTCCTTGAAGAAGCGGATATAAGCAGTAAGGGGCCTCTTTGGAAAGTCTGGATGGTTCCTGCCTTTTTGGCTTTTGTTTGTATTTTTAACACATTTCTTAGCTTCCAGGACTAATTTTTTCAAAGTGCTGAATTTTCTCAAGCTGCAAGAAATCTCTAACCATTTGAGTCTGCACATTTCACCAGAAAAGTTTTTAAAAGCTACTTTTCCCCAGTCCATGTGTGACTGAGTTGAGCTGAACGTGCCGTTGTCATCAGATGGGAGATTATTCTCCATGCATTCCAGTAACCTCAAGATGTCTGCGTTGGACCAATGGCCTTGGCTTCTAGGCAAAGCCATTTTGATGTCTTTGGCTTACTTATAAGATCCCAGTTATGCAAACACCAGAGTAAGAACACAGAGTTCCTTACTTTTAAGAGTCAGTGGATGATTTCTTTCTGGAAGTCCTGCAGTATGTGTGATTCTGTATTTCTGAGGAGAAAGAAAGGAAAGTTACTCTGCTTCATTGGGATTAATGAAAAAAATTACACCCTATTCGCCATATATCCCTTGTATAATTAATTTACTCTTAAGGATATAAATAAAATATAGCCCATTTCTGAATGAAAATCCATATTTGCCTTTCATATGCTACATGCGCAATATTCAACATCTCCGCACCCCACCCCAGCCTTCTTTCTGCCAGATCTCGCATGAACCGATCTTAAATTGAGTTGCATAAGGCAAACACCAGACCACTCATCACTTAAGAAGCTTAATAGAACAGAAATGCCCTGAAGACAGAGTCAAGAGCTAAAGTGGAAGGAGAAATGCCTAAACCGGAAAGACTGTTCATTCTACAGTGCCCTGAGTATCGCCATTTTCTAAGCACAGCCCAAATAGCCATAGCTAAAGGTGCAGATGAGAAGTTAAAGATGCAACAGGACAAGCCCAAGAGCTCCTCCAGACATGCATCCAACTGTTACCTTTTTATGAGGGAATGTGAACCTGTGATAAAAGACTGAATTAAAGATTCTCCAGGACCCATGCATGGGAATGAATGCTTTCTAGCGAACCATACCGCTTCTCCTTTTAAATATCAAGGATTTAATGACAATTATAAAACATTTCAATTTCAGTTGGTTAACTGTTCGTCATCTTTAAGCCTCAGTGAAAGTTTGGCTTCCTCCGGAAAGTGCCTCCAAAATACCTGGCATTTTCCATTATAGAACTTGAAAACATGGCAGATCCGATAACTACTGCTTATTTTATTTATTTATTTATTTTTACCAATTTTGTTTTGCCTAAAGTAATTCCTCTGGGACATGATTTCCCAACTAATTCTCCAAATTCTCATAACTCTTTCACTTGTCTTTTTAGGATAATCTTCTATTCTAAGACAAAGCCTAACTTCAGTAAAATTGTGTACAAACACATACAACATTAAATTAAACCAGATCTTAAATAGAGGGTGCATAAGGAGTGTAACATGGGGCCTTCGGGGGAAAATATGCATTAGAAGGGAAAGAGAACAGAGTTAAGATGTCAGTGGAGGTTGAAATTCTGAGAATGAGTTTCAGAATATGTGAGAATATTTTTGAGAACTATTTTTAATTCTCAGTAGAGTACAGAAGGATGTAGCCTTTGAATGACGTTAAAAATTCACTAGAAGTGTGAAGAATGTTATAATATCACATGCCTCAAAACACAAATTCCTTAATATAGAGATTAAAATGTTTTAAAATACTGGATAATAATTCAAGTCCATATTTGAGGTAGAAGATAAAATAAAGAATAGCTCATATATCAAATTTATTATGTGAAAAAGACTTTTGGAAAATTGTTCATAATAAATGAAAATGTAAATAAAAAATTAAAATTTATAATAAAGCATTAAAATAAACTGTGAAAAACTTAGAAGAGGGTAAACTTGAAAGTTATTGAATTTTTAACCTCAAAAATCTGAAAAAAAGTCAGTTCATTAGTGTCCTTAAAAAAAAAAAAAACTTAATAATATAACAGGAGAGTAATTAAGAAAAAAGTAACATTCACAAAGGAAAATAAAAAAATTAAAAAATATTTGATTCCATACTTTGTGTTTAAGATCAAAACATACTCTGAAATGGTTCAGGGATAAAAAGATGTCAAACTTCCAAATATATTGTAAGTGATGATTACAAAAAATAAATACATAAATAAATATAAGATGTATTCTAACTCAGAAAAAGGGGAAGTCACACAGACTTGATGTGGGAAAAGAGATGTGGAATACTCAGAATCTGAATTTAGGAAAAGAAGTACCGTCTTCCCAATTGTAAATGTTAGGATGATGCGTATAAAGCAGCGAAAATAAAAATACAGTTGTGTTTTTGTTGTTATGTGGCTCTTTTATGAGCCAGACATTTTTTCAAATTGCCAGTTAAAGAGCGTGGCCCCCCAAAATATGTGTCTAAGTCCTAACCCCTGAAACCTGTGAATATGACCTTTTGAAACTAGGATCTTTGCAGATGTAATTACCTTGGTAATCTCCTAATGAGATTAGTCTGGGTTTAGGGTGGGACCTAAGTCCAATGACTCGTATCATTATAGAAGAAATCAAAGGAAGATCTGAGACACATCGACAGCCATGTGGAGACAGAGGCGGAGACAGAGCTCACTGGAGCTATGCTGCCACAAGCCAATGAAAGCTAAATGTTCCCATCAGCCACCAGAAACCAGCAGACAGGGAGGGGCTGGATTTCTACTCAGAATCCCCAATGGGAACCAACTCTGTCAACATGTTGATTTTAAATTTTAGGTTTTCAGTATGTGAGAGAGCAAATTATTGTTTCATCTGTGATAGTTTATTACAGCAGCCCCAGCAAAGTAATACGCGAATGTTTTACACTTATTATTAATATCTTATTTTTCTCCTTGAATCTCTATGAGGTCATTTTATGCTTGCTGTTCTATTACTTCCATGATGAAACTGCGACCAGGTGTGGAGGCTCATGCCTGTAATCCCAGCACTTTAGGAGCCTAAGATGGGAGGATCACTTGAACTCAGGAGTTCAAGATAAGCCTGGGCAACAAGTGAGAAACCCCTGTCTCTTAAAAAAAGAAAGAAAGAAGCTGGGAAAAACTAAGAATTTATACAGGGCCCGGCACGGTGGCTCACGCCTGTAATTTCAACACTTTGGGAGGCTGAAGCAGGAAGATTGCTTGAGCTCAGGAGTTTGAGACCAGCCTGGGCAACATAGACAGACCCCATCTCTAGAAAAACAAAAATTTAGCCAGACCCACACTTGTAGTGCCTGTAGTCCCAGCCACTCTGGAGGCTGAGGTGAGAGGATGGCTTGGGCACAGGAGGGCAAGACTTCAGTGAGCCTTGATTGTATCAGTGCACTTCAGACTAGGCAACAGAGTGAGACCCTGTCTCAAAAAAATTAACCTTGTCAATTGTATGTGATTGCCCTCTTTTCTGTGTTAGAATACATCTTTTATTTGTTTACTTTTTATTTTTTATCATCATCACTTGTAAAATACTTAGAAGTTTAAGACATCCTTTTATCCTTGAACCATTTGAGGGTAAGTTTTGATCTTAAGTATAATGTATGGACTCCTGTGACTTTGTGAAGCTGTATGAATTCTTAATTTTTAATTTTTATTATTATTTTTTAATTTTTGTGACATAAAAAGTAAAAAATAAAAATAAATTAATAAATAAAAATGTATAACCTTCACAAAGTCACATGTTTTCTATTTTATAGAGTAAAAATATCAAAAAATAAAAAGAGGCTTTGAAAAGAACATTCAAACAACAAAACAGATTTTGTAAATTAAAAATACCATTACATAAATAAAAACTTCAGTGGAATATTAGGAAAATAAAAAAGTGCCTTTGAGCATTTTGGAAACTTTGCAGACGACCAAGGCTGCATGCAACCTGAAGTTACGGACAACATAGAACTTTTCATATTCTACAATAAATGTTTCCAATTAAATTCTAGATGTCATGTTACAGATAAAACTGTAAAATATCCAGGACTTTCCGTCCAGAAGTTCACAATTTTTATACCCAAAGAAAAAAATTAAAGGAAATACTCACCTGAATATTCTATAACTGGTCTGAACAGTGCTTGCAGGAAAATTCATGCATTTGGCTCAGGAGTTGGGTGTCCTCTGGGCTTTCTGGATAACAGATGTTATTCTCTGAGATTTCCACAGTCTAGCAAATTCCAAATGCCTCTATAAATAATAAGCCTTGCTTTTTGGAGGCCAATGTATTATAGGATCCTTAAAGCCCCTCCCTTATTAGGTTTCTGCAGTACAGAGGACCAATGAAAGGATTTACCCTTCCACCATTGTTTACATCAGCTCAATTTCTAATCTCTGTAAATAGCCCTCTACAAACACCCTCTAGTTGTGGTTAGTGCTGGTTTATCTTGTCATTTATTTATTTATTTATTTATTTTGAGAGGGAGTCACCCTCTGTCATCCAGGCTGGAGTGCAATGGCCTGATCTCGGCTCACCGCAACCTCTGCCTCCCAGGTTCAAGGGATTCTCCTGTCTCAGCCTCCCGAGTTGTTCAGATTACAGGCATGTGCCACCAGGCCCGGCTGATTTTGTAGTTTTAGTAGAGACACGGTTTCACCATGTTGGCCAGGCTGGTCTGGGACTCCTGACCTCTGGTGATCCGCCCGCCTTGGCCTCCCAAAATGCTGGAATCACAGGTGTGAGCCACCATGCCTGGCTTTTGTCATTGATTATTAAACAACACCCACGTGGCAAATTCATGTTTGATTTTCTGGGGCCCCAAGTCTACTTTCATTTCTGCTCCCACGTCTGATAGTATTTTTATATGATATTTGAATACATCATTCCATTCTTTGATAATTTCTGCCCTTTCTTCACTGAAATCTAGGATCTGCTACCATCTCACCTGGCTCATCGACAGGTAAATCCCTTCAGTACTGATCAATTTCTACCAGTCTTTAGATTTGAAGATCAAAATGCTAATGACCATGATGGATGGTTTTGGAAAAAGACAAGTAGAGCCTCAATGTCTGGCACCTATGGCTGATTTAATTTTAAACTCAGGGAAATGAAATAGGTACTGTGCATAAAAAATATTCAGGTGATTTTATTTAAAGCATTTTTACTAAATTCAAACTAATCAAAAAAACCTTTATTTAAATGACAACTTATTTGAATAATTTTTAAATTTTTATTTTTAATCAATATATAAAAATTGCACATATGTATGACATACAATATAATATTTTGATACATGTATAAATTGTGCATTGATCAAATTAGGGTTTGACAACCTCAGGCTTCATAATTTATAAAATAGACTTTTGCCATTTAAAAACTTTATATCTAAAGTTACCAACTAGTAATTAACTGAACATATCAAATAATAAGATATTACTTAAAAGAACCTAAATTAATAAAATGTTTAAATACATTTTGAGCTTTAAAATACAATAAATAAATATGACTTATTTTAGAAAAATTTCTAAAAAAGTATAGACAAAGGTGGATTTAGACAAAAACATGTACAGAAAAATATCAAAAGGACTAAACCCCTTGGAGATTTTAATGGTAAAAGCTTGCTGATATTATTTTTAAAATTATCATCTTTTAAAAAAACATTTTATGGCCATTTGTTAATGAGCATAAGCTTCTACTGAAAATGAAATCTTTGCTTCTATAAGAATATACTCTCAGATATGCATCTCTTATAGAGCTAACATAAATAATTATTTAGATGTCTGTAGTTACAATAAGCTTTATATGATGGGGTTTAGAAATATCTAGAAAGCAAGCCCTGGGGATAATTCTAACACATGCTACAGTTTGGGAATGTAAGCTCAAACTGTCATCCATCTAGTGACTTAAAGTTTGTCTTCTACTCTAAAATACATCAACACACACACATATATGTGCACATGTAAATATATACAAATAAAATATTGTAGTGAAATAAAATACCTTTTTTTGTTTGTTAGTTGGTGTTGAGAAAAGCTCTAGCTCTGTTGCCCAGAATGGAATGCAGTGGAACAATCATGGTTCACTGCAGCATCAAACTCCTGGGCTCAAGTGATCCTCCCGCCTCAGCCTCCTAAGTAGCTGGAACCAAAGATGTGTGCCACCATGCCTGGCTAATTTTTTAAAAAAACATTTTTATAGAAATGGAGTATCTCAGTGTTGTCCAGGCTCATCTTGAACTCCTGGATTCAAGCCTTCCTCCTACCTCAGCCTCCCAAAGTGCTGGGATTAAAGGCATAAGGCACTATGTCTGGCCTTGAAAGGAATTTTTATTCAGTCTTTTCCAGATGTTTTTGCTTTTTTCTGGTGCTAGTCCTAAGAAAATTAAGAAGTCCTAAGAAAACTCTTCCCAACATGTAAAACATGCATTCGTTGGTTATTATGGCAATATTCCCTGCATGAGTAATTTTGGTGGTTAGCTTCTGTCTCATCATTTCTAGAAAAAATTTTATTTCTGTCATAACCCCTAATGCTTAGTAAAAAGGCTCTTTCTTTGTATGTTGGTCTTCTTCTTGCAAATTAGACACCCAGTATCAGCTAGTATTTCATTGTTGAGGACCAGCCCTGTGCTGGAGAACTCTGGTTTCAGGGCCGCTACTTACCATGGTAGCTCATGGCTGTGCTCTTTCTTTCTTCCTTGTTCCACTTCACAACATCTCACACAGGACAAAAACAGAGCAGATATGTTCAGATCCTCTGATGTTAATTGAGGCCACTTTGCTTTTTGAGAAATACAAAATTTGACCCCAAAACATCCATCCAGATTGTATACAGAGTCTATAGTGACCTCTCCAATATGACCTCCTGCTTTAACAGAATCAGTTCAGGTTCTGGATATTCTCACCAATCTCAAGTTAGCTGCAACTGCTGGAGTTTTCATCAATTCAGATACAAAACCATTTACTTTCTTTGATTTCAACAATAAGAATCACAAAACTAGATCTTACATACAAAGTACACCTCACTAAATTGGGGGATTGGTAAATAAATTAAATTAAAAGTGGTTATCATCTATTGCTATTTATATATTTCCTTGTAACCATTTCCAGTCTTGGTACCCATCCCTCATCCGATGGTGCCTGGCGCTCCTCTGTGCAAATGTCCTCTCTCCTATTTCCACAAAGGCAAAATGCTGTTTTCTATATTTAGGAATACTATCAACTTGTTGTTACTGTTGCCATTACTTCATAGTCACCTACTCATATGTACAGTTTCTAAACTAAAATATGGCAAGACACTTGTCAATGAAGACAATTCCATGTGAAATTTTAGGCGTGTTTCTTTTTCTGCAGAGTAATTGACTGATTCTCAAATTTTACGGGGCTAGTTTAGGCACAGCTCTTCCCTCTGAGATCTTCATTTTCTGAGAAACTAACTCTGAATCTGTGTCCTGATGAGGATCTGCCGTCACACATACCACAAAGTGCCACCCGTGTCAATCATGAAAGTCCGCACTCAAACTGACACCCACAATTGATATCACAGCAGAGAAACAAGGACATAGAGCACAACTGAGAGGAAGAGCTGTCTCAGCCATGCAGCCAAATGCTTAGGACCAAATAAGGAATCCACGCCTCACACTCTCTGGGTTGGAGAAGATGGGACCGCATTAGATAAGTTGGTTTTTCGTTTGTTTGTTTGTTTGTTTGCTTGTGAGATGGACTCTTGCCCTGTTCCCCAGGCTGGAGTGCCCTGGCACGATCTCGGCTCGCTGCAACCTCCGCCACCTCGGTTCAAGCAATTCTCCTGCCTTAGCCTCCCAATTGGCTGAGATTACAGGCACCCACCAACACGCCCGGCTAATTTTTTATTTTTATTTCTAGTAGAGACGGGGTTTCACCAGTTGGCCAGGCTGGTCTTGAACTGATGACCTCAGGTGATCTGCCGCTCTCAGCCTTTCAATGTGCTGGGATTACAGGCGTGAGCCACCGCGCCTGGCCTAGATAAGTACTTTTGAGGGATAAGATGGTAATACCTGAAATATTTGGCTAGAGATGTTCCTATATTGTTTTTCCTTCCATCTCTCTGTCTGTTACTTGTATCCTAGACTAACAACCAAGGCTCCTTTCCATGGAAATTATTCTACTCTCTTAGCCGTTGCCTCTTTCTGCCTATAGAACATCTTGCACACCACTACCTGACCAGATTTTATAACTCAGCATTCAAGTGAAGCTCCTATTATAGTCCAAACTCTTCCTTATGGTATCCTTGCTTTTTCAGTACTAATCTGAGATACTCCTGCTGCTTTTCTTCAGAACAAATAGCTCTTTCAATAAAGCTAATGTCAGGAAACTTGCCATGCAAATAAACACAACAAATACATTGAAACACAATCTATTTTATTTTTTTCCGTAACAAACCTCTTAAGTGAATTTATGTCCTTAATGAAAGAGTTGTTTGCTTTTCCAAGTTCTGCATTTTCTTTTCTAAATTGTTCCCATTTTCCTTATACTTTCTACAATATTCTCATGATGCTTCATTGTTTCTTTTTGGGCCAGCCTCTCTCTCTTCTCCACTGCCTTTTGAAAAGCTGAGCAGTTGGACCTGGGAAAGATGCCCTACCCGCTCCAGGCACAATGCTGATAGAGGATGCCAATCTGGGATGATGGCACATTTTCTGTGACAGCTGGTACCACAACCTGGTTACTGGCTGCTAGCATTCTCTGCCCATCAGTGGTCTCTAGATAGTGCACTGTGTACGTCACCAGCAATAGAGTGGCTCCTCTAATCCGTTATCTTTTCTGCAGTCCTTGTGCACCAAGAGTATCATTACTAGTTAGTTCTAAAGCTCCTCACTGAGTAATGGCAGTATGCTGCCCACTGATAGTTTGGTAAGCTGGAGCTTGTACCATCACTGCAACAATAGCAGATGACACTGCTTTCTCATCTTCATACTTTTCTCTAATTCCTGGCTTTCCAGGTGCATGGAAGGATACACTACTCAATATTATCCTGTTGGAAATGCTCTTGGACAGTATCTGTCTTACCTGTTAAGAATCAGATATCCATGAACTGTATTCTGAGAATCTTTACCCTTCATACTTATGAAGATATGAGTTGCAGAAAAACACTTCTTAAATCTTTGGTAGAATTCTTCTGGACCACTCTCGATATAAGAAGCTTCCCTGAATGACTCCAGCTCTGTGGAAACCATGTGGATCCTCCATGCACGATGCTACAAAAAAAAATCACAGAAATTTGTCTTGATCATCCTTTTTGATTCGTACAGGCTTCTTCCTTCCTATTAAAGTGATTGTTTTATTAATAGGATTAGGGTAATGTAGTGTTCTCTGTGCATGTTTCCCGAATATGTTTGGAAATAAACTACAGGTGAGGGAAGAGACTCACAAGGGAATTCCAAGTGGCTGGGATTAAAGAATGGGTGAGTGAATAAATGATCTGTTTCCAAGATTGGATTAAAAGAAAAAATTGCCACTGATCTCTTTTCCACATTGTGATTATATTGCCCTCTTCTCTCAGTTGTCTCTAGATTTTCTGCCTATCTCCCAGATTATTCTGCCTACTTCCCAGAAAATTCAGAAAGAAAGATATTTTCTTTCTGAAATTTTCAAGTAATAAAGTAATGAATTTAAGCTCCCCCTATAAAATAAGCTCATGTGTATTCCTAAAAGTTAGAAAGGTTAGAAGTATAAAATTCCAGTATGTATTAGGTGACTGTCCTCAGACATTTTAAGGAAACCTCAGATGAGTATCAAGGATAGAAAATTAAATCCTAAAATACTATAGAAATATGAGATAAATGTAAAAACATTCTGTTAATTCAAATTTTTAAAAATTCCATTTATTTGGACTGTGCCCCAACAGACCAAATCAAAATGCAGCTATTCATGCTAAAGTTCTGCATCCCTGAGTTTTTAATTACATTGTTTACCTGACTTAGTAAAAAATCAGGACGGATGCATAATAGCCAAATGCCAAAACAGGCCAGCTTTAGCCAGCATGATAAGGAAGTCCTCTATTCTTTCATCTATGCAAGAAGAGTAACCTGATGTTAACCATTTCGTTTGTTGTATTATTTTGTTTCTTTGTTCCTGTTCAAGAAACCTTACAGAAACTGGCTCTTGTCCCATACCCAGCACAGAAACTCTCTATTTTTGGATGAGATATTTTCTTATTTTTGAATCACAGATAGAAGCCAATTTGATCATTTAGCTAAATTTGCAAAAATTTTGTCTTTTCATATCTTCAAATATACAATGAGAAAACCTGAAGAGATATGAGAAAATCTGGCCAAAATTACACACACACACACACACACACACACACACACACACACACACACACACCAGGAGTTGAACTGAGAACAGAAATAACATTTTCTGATTTGAAGGCAGTAGAATTTTTATTGTCTAATAACAGTAACTTTATTTTACATAATCTTGAATTTTTGGTTACTAGCAATGAGTCAGAGGAAAGCTCACGGGAGGACACCTGGGTAGACATTCCTCTCTGAGTCTGCAGCATCAACAGCTATAGTTAGTTGAAATGATAAATTAAATTATGCTGGCTAAATTGAGAACACAAGACAAGAACTCTATGTATGCTACTATTATGCATTTGCTTTATTTTGCCACAAACAACTTTCCTTTCTTTTCTTTTCTTTTCTTTTGAGACAGAGTCGTACTCTGGCACCCAGGGTGAAGTGCAGTGGCATAATCTCAGCTCACTGCAGCCTGCACCTTCTGGGTTCAAGCAAGTCTCCAGCCCCGTGTCTCAAGTAGCTGGGATTACAGATGCCCACCACCATGTCTGGCTAATTGTCGTAATTTTGGTAGAGACAGGGTTTCACTATGTTGCCCAGGCTCGTCTCGAACTCCTGACCTCAAGTTATCTGCCCGCCTCAGCCTCCCAACATGTAATTTTCTTTTTTTAAGTATATGGTTAACACATCTTAGTTCCTTCCTGGGCTCATATTCCTTGATGTGATCTTTATGCTACGGCTTTCCCAGAATTTCATCATAGACTGTGATCTCTTCGCATTTTGTATACTCTTCCTTAAATTTCATATCACTTCTCTGGTTTGAACTACACACATACTATGTTTCCACATCAGTTTTTAATTTTATTTCTATGAAGAATTTTACTTCTGCCCCCCAAAATGTGACAAGGCAAATGGATCAATAACCTCTTCACGAGGTGAGAAGGAATCTTAGGTTTCTGATATAACTGGCAAGGTTCCCAGTGTCTTACCTTAATTTTATTTCTGAATTTTAGGAATGTCCCAGGTGATAATAATTATAATAGAAGTTATCAAAACAGAAGAATGTAATAAATTTTTGGTTTAATGGCTGAGAAAATTTACCAACCTATATCTTAAATGTCCTTAGTGGCTAATACCACCTGTATGTACAAGTAAATCTAAGCTAAATAAGATTAGCTACAAAATTTTCTTTGAATAAATGACAAACAAAATTGGTAACAAGGTAATTGAGAGTGTAATGGCTGCTGCTTATGGAAATTTTAGTGTCAATAGAGAATGCTCAGGAACTTTAGGTGGAAACAGAAAGGAAAATTGGGTTGAAAGCCCAGAAGGTAAAATTCCACAATGTGAGATCACTTGGAGAGACACAAATTTCAGAAGGTGATAGAATTTTCCTGTTGCCGAGTAAAGTGCTACAAAACATGTGTAGGAGGAGAAGAGAGAAAGTTAACTAAGCAGTCTAGGTAGTACAGACAGAAAGAATAAGGAAGCATTGCTGATAAGTATTTTCATAATTTGGATAATCACCTTGATTTAGCCACCAATTTAAGAGATTAAAAGACACATAAGATCCTTCTTGCCATATGATCCTCAGTTAGCCAGTTGCTGAATGGGGAAACACTGGACACCTCGACAGTGGTGAAAAGCAGAGTTTACTTATTCCTGAATACTCATTCCCGGTTCGAACTAAAAGCAACTCTTTAGTAAAGGATCACCTGATTTTCATTGAACACAAGCTCTGGGTATTTCTTCTGCTCTGTCTGTCATTGAATTTTTTTTTTCTTCTAAATCAAAGAAAAAAAAAAGATAAAGAAAAGGCCAGACACAGTGTCACATGCCTCTAATCCCGATGCTTTGGGCGATTGAGGTAGGAGGGTTACTAGATTTCACGACTTTGAGACCATCATGGGCAACATAGCAAGACCTTGTCTCTGGCAAATAAAAACAAAAATAAAAAATAAATAAAATAAAATAAAAATAAATAAAATAAAGGAAATAAAAATAAACATTTAATGTGTATTCAGCATTTCCAGATACATCTGGCAGCTCAGTGTGCTGCATGCCTAAGCTTGAAGGAAGAGGATGGGAACAGAAGTATTGTAGAAAGCACCACGTCATTTCCTGACATTCAGGTCCTCTTGCTCAGGATGCTTTTTCAGTTTTCTCGCTGAACAGGAGATGGCAACAAATTTCACTTTCTTGCAAATAGAGATGAAATCCAGTTGTTGAAAGTAACAGTCGTTTTTTTTTGATTACCTCCTCTATTTAGATAAGTAGATGTAAAAAATAGCCCCCATTTACTTAAAATTGGGATCTTTATTAGAGTAAATTAGCCTGTGCCCTAACTGATCCCATGAGAGGTTTTTGCTGATTCTGGGTATCTGTGAGAAATGTACCCTCAGGTTTATGAGACTGAATGAATTACAGATGATACAAATTCTTTACATATTAGTCATAATTGATCCCTTGTTTATAATCCAAGATATTTTCTTTCCTTTTTTTGTTTTAACATAGGTTTCTCAATTTATTATAAAAATATGCACTCTCTATCATCTGTATTCCTCTTTATGATGTAAGTGTGTTTTGTATATTTCTACAGTAAATGAGATGGAAATCATTTTATTCTTAGTGAGTAGCTTAATATGTATGTCAGTTTAATTCCCGACAGTCTCCATCATTGTAAGTCCTTTTTTATATTTTCTTATCACTAAGAATCTTCGTATTTTCCTGGTACATGTTGGCCATCCTCAGAAAATTTCACAATCAACCTTATAGAATAAAAATAAGATACAATTGTTTCAAATATATAAATAATGAAAGTTCATTAGCATGTGAATCTTGACACTTCATTAGCATGTGAATCTTGACACTAATCTTCTTACGTTTTTTGACATTATCCTTTAATATTTTCTATCATATTATGCTACCCATATTTTGGGAAAATTTCCTAATTCTATTACAGAAAAATATTTGTTTATATTAATTCTTTTATTCTTATGTAAGGAGAATATTAAGAACTTCATATATCCAGAGCACAACAATCCATGTCTAGAACAAAGCAGGCATTTTTGTAAACATATATTCACATACAACTTTTTTTTTTTTTTTTTTTGAGACGAGGTCTCATTCTGTCACCCAGGCTGGAGTACTGTGGTGCAATCTTAGCTTATTTTAGCCTTAAACTCCCAGACTGAAGGGGTCCTCCCATCTCAGCCTTGTGAGTAGCTAAGATTACAGGTGTGAGCCACCACGTATGGCTTATATATACATATATATTTTGTAGCGATGGGGTGTTGCTGTATTGCCTAGGCTGGTCTCAAACCTCAAGCAATCTTCCTGCCACGACCTTCCAAAGTGCTGGGATCACAGGCATGAGCTGCCATGCCAAGCCATAAAAAACTTTAAATTGTGTTTTTGTGTAAACAGTTGAAATGCGGTGATGAAGGGTGCTATTAAGGTTATGAAAAAAATGGCTTTGAGCCTAAATGTAAAAGATTACATAAACTCCATTTTATTGACAAGATGAGATGCAAAGTCATCTCCTGAGAAAGAAAGAGAAGGTGGATTGGGCTTGATGTTGCAGTAAAGTTATAGATTATTCAGTGATGAGATGGAGTGAAAGTGGTAAATTATGTGGTAAATATTATTTTTATTAATATTTTAATATTACAGCAGATATTTATTTTTTATTGTGTTAGGTATTATAATAAACTCTTTAGTGGCACTGAGAAATGACAACATGCTAGCAGCCCTCGCTCGCTCTGGGTGCCTCCTCAGCCTCGGTGTCTACTCTGGCCGCGCTCCAGGAGCCCTTCAGCCTGCTGCTGCGCTATGAGGGACCCCTCTGGTGCTGGCCTAGGCCAGAGCTGGCTACCTCTGCTGAAGGGGAAGTGTGAAGAGAGACGCGCCAGCAGGAGCCTGGGCCGCACGCATCTCTTGCGGGCTAGCGAGGGTTCGGCAAGTCCCGCACTCAGCGCAGCCCGTCGGAGCCTGCTGGGCTTGATAGGAGGCTCAATCCCGTGCGTGGGACCCCTGTTCCCTTTTCGCGGGATCGTTAGCCACGTTAGTAGGTCTCTGTCTCTTTCTCGCTTCCCCTCTTTTCCTCTAGATTGTCTGGGACGAGATCCCTCTGGGATGCCAGAGTGCCCGGGCTAGGTGCCACAAAGTCCAGCGGCAAGTGCCAGTGAGAGGTGAAGCCAGTTGGGCTTCTGGGATGGGTGGGGACTTGGAGAACTTTTCTGTCTAGCTAAAGGATTGTAGACGCACCAATCAGCACTCTGTGTCTAGCTAAAGGTTTGTAAACACACCAATCAGGGCTCTGTGTCTAGCTAATCAGGTGGGGACACAGAGAACTTTTCTGTCTAGCTAAGGGAGTGTAAAAACTCCAATCAGCACTCTGTCAAAATAGACCAATCAACTCTCTGTAAAATGGACCAATCAGCTCTCTGCAAAATGGACCAATCAGCAGGACGTGGGTGTGGCCAGAGAAGGAATAAAAGCAGGCCACCTGCGCCAGCAGGCGCAACCTACTAGAGTCCCTTACCACACTGTTACACTGTGGAAGCATTGTTCTTTTTGTTATTTAAAATAAATCTTGCTGCTGTTCACTGTTTGGGTCCACCCCGTGTTTATGAGCTATAACACTCACCTCAAGGTCTGCAGCTTCACTCCTGAAGTCAATGAGACCACGAACCCACCAGAAGGAAGAAGCTCTGTACACATTTGAACATCTGAAGGAACAAACTCTTGACATACTGTCTTTAAGAACTGTAACACTCACCGCCAGGGGCCGTGGCTTCGTTCTTGAAATCAGCGAGACCGAGAACCCACCAATTCTGGATACAGCATGATGTGACCTGACTCTCAACCAGTGGTCGTTGGAATGTTGGTCTATTACCCACATTTCACTGGAGACGGCAACACACTGCAAAATGAAGAGTACAGATGTGGGAGACTAGTTGCCTTAGTTCAGATCTGTTAAATTTCCCACAGTTCAGTTTTTTATTGTAAATATTGGATTATAGAGGTTTTTATATTTGAAGCATTTAAAACACATGCGTACCACATGATAAGTTCTCAATAAATGTAAGCTTTGTAAGCTCTCATCACTAGGCTTGATAATTGACAACACTTTGGCAAAGTGAGTTAAGCTCAATGCAGGGAAGCTGAGCCTCAAAATGGGGCTTAACCTTTGAGAGTCCTTGACTTTGCCCAGGAAAGGATTCAAGGGCAAGCCAAAGGTAGAGGTAAACAGCTTTATTGAAGCAGTAGCGTTTCAGCTCTGGTGATGTTACAGCTTTGTGGCTGCTCCCACAGAGCAGGGCTACTCCATGGGCAGAGATTAGCAGCTCACAGCAGTTTTGCAGTCATGGTTACACCTACTTTTAATAGCATGTAGACTAAGGGGTTTATGCAGAAATTTCTAGAGAAAGGGTAATTTGGGATGTCAAGTCATTGCCATGGAATGGGTGATAACTCCTGGGTGTTGCCATGGCAATGGTAACCTGCTCTGGCACACTGGTGGGCGTGTCTTTTGGAAAGCTGCTTCTGCCTGGTCCCTGTTTTAGCTAACCTCAACTTGGTTTGGTGTCTGAGCCCTACCTCGAAAGTCAAGTTTAGCCTCCTACCTTGAGGAGACTTGTTCAAGACCCCACAGCAACACTCATTCCCCGGTATGGAAGACAGTGATGTTGACCAAGCTTTAGGTTTTGTTTTTTTTCTGTTAACAAGCATTTGTTAATTTCCACAGTATACCGAAGAAGTACGTTTGATAGTGGAAACACACTAGTGAATGTGTAATTAACTGTGGCAGAACAATTATTAAAACAAAAACCAAGGGGATATTGTATGATGGTGAAATGAGAATAGAAAGAAGGGAGTATATGTCTACATTTTGTTCTTCTATTCTCCC
This sequence comes from Homo sapiens, assembly GCF_000001405.40. NCBI lineage: Eukaryota > Metazoa > Chordata > Mammalia > Primates > Hominidae > Homo > Homo sapiens. The sequence goes on from NC_000002.12 coordinate 95,467,294, forward strand.
ATCTCTTCTCTTATGGCCTGGGGGATGACCTCAAATTAAATTAAAATGAAACAAACTGCCAGGAATGGTGGCCAGCTCCTATATTCCTGACTACTCCATAGGCTGAGGGAGGAGCATCCCTTGAGCCCAGGAGTATGAGTTCAGCCTGGGGAACATAGTGAGACCCTATCTCCATTTTAAAAATTCAGTCTATCTCTCTATCCAAATATATATAAATAAAATGAATAATGAATAACTGCCATGACTTTATCACACACCCACACATTAGGCTTCTGTGCTAATACACTCTCTATACTCCCTGCATCCCAACAAACAGGAATCTTTCTAAAAAGATGAAAAATGGATGAGGTTTAAAATAAGCTTCTAGAATTTAATTGGTTTTCACATCAACCTAAAATCCTAAAAAACGCAAACCATTAAATTAATGCTCCTATCTTTAACATCAAAGTTTTCAAATCTCTCTTATGCATTTTTAAATTTAATTATTCAAATATTTGTTACATTTCCATTATGTCCTAGACGTTATATTAACTGATTGTTATTATTTCCTGGAGTGTAGTCGTAAATAAAACTGACATTTCTTTAAGTTTTAGATTTTATACTATTAGAAAAGAAAAGCACCAGTGGGCTTGTGTTTCATTGTGCTCTTTTAGCTTACCTTTCCACAGCTGGCTGGTGTTAACCAGCTCAATTAGACCCTCTGCCTTTTTGCAAGGACAGAGGGCTTTCTGTATCCTGGGGTTGTTGCCTGAGTGTACCAGAGAACTCGGATCATATGTGGGCTTGGAGAATGAGTGCAAGATTTATTGGTTGGTGAAAGCAGCTTTCAGCAGATAAATGGTGTGCCAGAAGGGGGATGGAGTGGGAAGGTGGTGTTCCCCTGCAGTAAAACGTCTCAGCAGCAGGGCTCGCCTCCAAGAGCTCTCAGCTGATTTCCATGTCATTCTACCATTAATGGCTGCCAGCATCTGCTGGTGCCTGTCAGTGTGCTCTTCTTCTTTAGTGCCAGACTTCTCTAGAGGCTTACAGGCTTCTAACCCTTTACAGTTTGTTTAATCTATTTTTCAGAGCATCAACTGATTATATATATGTGTATGTGTGTGTATATATATGTGTGTGTGTGTGTATATATATATAATGTAAACAACAAATCATCCACACTTTCTCACTTCTAAAATAGTTTCCCCTTCTCTCTCCTGCTGCTTCCCCTGGTGATTTTCCCACCATCCAGGAAACAACACTTTATCTTTCACCTATCCAGGATTTGGAGGTATAAAAAAATCAGAAATTGAGATGCTTGTTTTCTTTCATTCTTCTTTTGTTTATTTATTTATGTATTGGTGTTTGCTTTTTCTCCTTTTTTTTCCCAATACTTTCTTTGCATCTGTCCAGTAAAATCACTGAGTATGGTGACATAATAGATGACTACATAAGGTGGGGGAGCAAAAGTAGAACCAGGAAAAAGTAATATTAATATCTTGATCATGTATGCCTTCGCTTTAGTAGATCCTGTTTGATATTTGTGGAAACTGAAAGAACACCTGCTAAAATCCAGGTACACGTGCACCTGTGTAATATGTCTCCAAACACCTGTAAAAAAAAAATAGAAAGGGTTTGTGCTTTCTACAAGATGAATCTTCCACTAAGTTCAGTGTGAGATCTGGAGGCAGTTTCTGAAAATATTATTTTCCTGCCATTTTCCCTTCTGGAAAGCATTTTATATTTCTTCTCTAATGAAAAACATAGTCTATCATATTGTTATGAATTAATGTCCTAGTGAAGTCAGAGTCTTGAAGACATTCTTTATACAAGTGAAGGGAGAAAAGGCCCAGAGTCTATCTTCTGCAGTAACCATGAAGAACCTATCCAGTCATCTTCCCTAGGCCCTATTATAAAAGTGAATGGATGAAAAATAATATTTAGATTCCCCAAACTCCCAGTCTTGCCATGTCTCCAAACTGACCTAATGTAAATGAATTTCTCACTATTTTATAAATGTTCAAAAAGCCAAATATATTATTGACCGTAGATGGGGAATATTTATTAGGGCTGTTACCTTGACCATTCCACAAAGTTTTGTTGCTGGTGGATAAAGTAAGAGGGACCTTTTTTTCTGGTAAAATCCCTGGGAGGGGCTATACTCTACCCACAAAGTAGCATGAGTTATGGAAATGTGTTTCTGGAAAGAAGTCGTGGAAATACAGGGAAGAAGGCATTTCAGGAAAGAGGAAGAACACCTGTGCACATGAATGTTCCACATCCTGATACCCCATGGTCAGTCAGTACCTGGATTAGCTCCACATCTGGTTTATGGGACTTTTCCTTCAGCTCCTCATACATTCCTTTTAAAATCTCCCTCTCATGGGCCATTCTGGCATCGCTTTTATGGAGTTGCTAAAAATTGTCTTCGTCCTCCTTTTGAAGCATCTGCAAGTGATGTTGCTGTTCTTCATGGAGAAATGCAGGCATCTTCTGATATTCAGCTCTGATTGCTTCTATCTTTAAATTCACATAATCCTGCAGTAACAACGGGTTAGTCAAAAACAAAACCGACGTACTCATCTCCTATTGAATCTCACTGGTTCCTCTTTGTCTCTTGAACATCCCATATTTTAACTCTTAGTCTTGCCAATTCTCAGACTATACGAAATTTTACTCTGTTTTCTTTTCTGCATGAAGATCAACGAACATAGATGTATCTAACCAAATATATTCACTTTATTCGTGATAAAGTGTTTTTTCTAAGATAGTCATAAAGAAGAAAAACAAATTGGATTCCTCTTTTCCAACTCATATTTATAGAAAAGTAAGACAGTTCGGGCTTAATAGTTAGACTCTAGAGCTATATTGACTAGAAAGGGAATAATTATTTTCATTTCTGAAATTTGGGGCAAGTTATTTAAATTCATTATGTGTGAAATAGCCTCAGACTAGCATGCTCAACTCAATGCATTTCACCAAGCAAAACCTATGCTAATAAGGCTTCATTTATGATCTGGCCTTCTTTGTCTATCTAATCTCATTTCTTTCCATTGTTTTTCATACTGACTTTAACATAAAACATAAACTTCTTTGTGGTTCCTCAGCCCTCAAAATAAACACAAACTCAATATTACTGCACATGTTGTTTTCTTCACCTAGAATTCTCTCTGCCTCTCTTTCTCTCTCTAAGCATACACACACACACACAAACACACACACACACACACACACACACACACACACACTTGTGTTTGCCTTCCTCTTCAAGACGTTGTCTCAATATGAATTTTTCATTGAGGCATTTTCTGACCACCCTGTTTAAAACTCAAACTCTCGTCTCCAGTCCATGGCCTCTGTTCTCTTTTTCTAAGACCTTGGTATTTCAAATGAGCTAAGGATTCTTCATTTGAAATTGTCCAGTTGGAAGTCCTCTCTGACAGAGTTTCCCTTACTTGTGATTCAGAAATCCATCCACAGTCTCCTTTTAAAGTTACTTTTTGGATTTATAAAAAGTTGCATTCCACAAATACACTTTTAACCCCTCGGTTTTTCTGGACCATCAAAGCATTGCTCATCTGCCGAGAATCACAGGTATTGAAAACCACCTTAGACAGCAAATTCTCCCTTATGCAGGCATTTTTCTGAACCTGGACAACTGTTACTGTTTATTCACCCGGAAAATTTCCATTCATTCTTCAAGACTCATGCAAACGATTTGATCTTTGATTCTATATGTCCAATAGATAGATATTTGTGGCAGTTTCCATGTTGTACTGGGATTGTTGCTTTACTAGTGTGTCTGTTACTTCTACTAGATTGTGAGGTCTGGTTGAAAGAACTTCTCCTTTATTGTATCTCTGCCTCCACTTTCATGGCCTGACCTGGATTTTACCATTATAGAAAACTGCTAATCACAAAGTCTGCAATCACAAAGTCAAGAATCTCGCTTTATAATCAACGTTTCTTTTCTTTTTAGATTGGTTTTTCTGTATATGAGTTTAAATCTGTCTGATTACCTTTGGACCACAGTTTATTACTCTCTGTGGTTCTTGCAATTTGGGGGCTTCATCTTTTTTAACACTTCTCTTACTTCGGATCTTCTAGTGCATAATTTCAAAAATTTAGCACGAAAGGTAAGAAAGCAGAGTGCAGTTGATCATGCCTGTAATACCAGCCATTGGAAGGCTGCAGTGGGACGTTTCATGATTCAAGAAGTTTGAGACCAGCCTGGTCGACACTGTGAAACCTCATCATTACAGAAAAAAAACTTTACCCGGGTGTTGTGGCAAGCACCTGTAGTCCCAGCTACTGGGGAGGCTGAGGTGGGAGGATTGCTGGAGCACAGGGTGTTGAGGCTGCAGTTAGCTGGAATGCCCATCTCTGCATGCCAGCCTGGGTGACAGAGGAAGACCCTGTCTCAAAACAAACAGATAAACAAAAAAGTAACAATACAAAATATCTTACTAACGTTTGTAATGTTAATCGTGTCGAAACCTATTGGATATATTTGGTTAACGATTTTTATTAAAATTAATTTCAGTTGTTTCTTATTGTTTTATAATGTAACTAGAAAATGTATTCCCACTATGCAGCCATAAAAAATTATTAGATCATGTCTTTTGCAGGGACAGGGAAGGAGCTGGAGGCTATTATCTTTAGCAAACTAACACAGGAACAGAAAACCAAATAGTGCATGTTCTCACTTATAAGTGGGAGCTAAATAATGAGAACATATGGACACATAGAGGGGAACAACACACGCTGGGACCTATAGGAGGGTGGGGGATTAGAAGAGGGAGAGGATCAGGAAAAATAACTAATGGGTGCTAGGCTTGAGACCTGGTTGATAAAATAATCTATACAACAAACCCTGATGACACAAGATTACCCATGTAACAAACCTGCGCATGTATTGCTATACTTAAAATAAAGGTTTAAAAAAGTATTTTCTTCTCTTTCTTTTACAGTGTCTCTGTAAATGCATGAATTAAAGAAAAGCAATGAATATATTTTTCATGGGATAATATTCAAGATATATAGAAACAAAACTTCTGAGATTTAATTAAAACAATGTTAAGAAGAAAATGTATAGCATTATATTCATCTGTTATTTAGAAATAAAGCATTAAATTCATCTGTTATCTATCCCAAAGAGCCAGATAAACAAGAGTAAATTCATGCCAAAATCTAAAAAAAAAAATTGTAGAATATTGATTAAAAAGCATACAGTAGATAAAATCAATGAAGTAGGCTTTTTTTTTGTTTGTTTGAGACAGAGTCTCACTCTGTCACCCAGGCTGGAGTGCAGTGGTGCGATCTCGGCTCCTTGCAACCTCTGCCACCCAGGTTCAAGTGATTCTCCTTCCTTAGCCACCCGAGTAGCTGGGATTACAAGCACGTGCCATCACGCTTGACTAATTTTTGTATTTTTAGTAGAGCTGGGGTTTCACCATGTTGGCTGGGCTGGTCTCAAACTCCTAACCTCAAATAATCCACCCACCTCGGCCTCCCAAAGTGCTGGGATTACAGGTGTGAGCCACCACACCCACCAAAAGTAGGCTCTTTAAATAGATCAATTAAATTGATAAATTCTTAGTGAGACTCAATTAAAAAATGGAGAAGAGGAGTTCAAATCAAAAATAAATAGGCCAACACTTAGGTCATCCACAAATTAATATGTTAATAAGAAGATTTTAAGATGACTTTTATGTTCATACACTTGATGATTTAGATGAAATGAGAAATTTCCCTGAAAAACATATCTGACAAAAACCAACAGAAGAAACCATAGACAAATCTAAGATATGATTTAGATTCTAAAAATTTACCCTATTATTTAAAAAACAAAACTTCTCCCAGCGAAAAACCTGGTGATCTTTTTCAGTGAAATATTCACAACATTTAAGAAAAAAAAATCACACGCTTTTAGACAAACCCTTCTAGAGAACAGAAAAAAGCAGTAATACTTCCCAACTTGTAACTTTGGTTTTCTGTTGTGTTTTCTTTTACTTTTTGTAAACAGCTTCTCTCTCTGTTGCCCAAGCTGAAGTGCGATGGCAAGATCATAGCTCACTGAAGCCCAGAACTTCTAGGCTCGAGTGATCCTCCTGTCTTGGCCTCCCAAAGGGCTGTGATGACAGGCTCTAGCTGCTGTGCCAAGCTCCAACATATAATTTTGATATTCGATCCTGAAAAGTGTGTTACAAGAAATGCAAATTGCAGTACAGACTCTAAAATAAATATAGGTGCAACAATTCAAAAAAGCTAGCTAGTCAAATCTTGTGAGAGATAAACTCATATCATCTCCAAGTGGAGCTTATTCTAGAAAGGTTGACTAATGTAACATCAGAAAATGAAATAAGTAATCACGACATGAACAGGATGAAATACATATCATTGTTCCTGTAAAAAGAGGAAGAAAATATTTGATACAATGAAATGGTCATTTATGATTTTGAAAGCACTATTAAAAACAAATAGCCATGAACTTTCTCTAATAAGAATGTAATAACTTAGAGCCAGTACCATATTTAATGGAGAATTTGAAAGCTTCTACCCAGGAATGGGAATGAGATATAAATCCTGTTATCATCACTTGTGTTCAACACCTTGCTTGATCTCCTTTTCAATGCAACTAGACAAGAAAAAGAAGTAAATAATGTGAGGGTTGAATAGAAATAAAGATATCATAATTGCAAAACGTGACAGTTCAGTTAAAAAATAACTCTCTAAACCATTAGATATATTCGTGAATTGAAAAACAAATTGAGTCATGCATGCTTCTAAGACAATAGTTAAAAGTGAGAGTAAGCCAGACGCATTGGCTGACACCTATAATCCCAGCACATATATATACATACACACACACACACACACACACACACACACACAATTACTGTGAATATACAACTGCTATATTATATAAAAATATGCCTAACACACCCATACACCCCACACCCACACACAAGGCTTTGAGAAGGGCACTTTGTTCTGGGAAGGAGGCTTATGAGCAGTGAGTTTGGGAATCAAACCCAGGCAATTTAGCTTCAAGACATTGCTCTTAACCATGATACCATATTACTCTCAGCTGACTTTTTCATAGTGGGTGATAATACACAGTAGCCTCACAGCAATTCCAGGAAATGTAAGCACTCAAGAATTATTTTGAAATCTGCAGGAAATGTTGCTTGCTGTCTTCTTTATCCCTTGTTCTCTGCAACTTTGGTTTTCCTCACCAAGGGTTATTTTTCTGACACATTTATGGGTGCATTCCATTAAAGAAAGAGTTTTACTTGGTGTCAGGCACTGACAGAAGCTCTCTTTCTCCATATATGCCTGAACTTGACTGTCCTCCTTCTGTTCCAATTATTTAACCCTGAATACCTTTTACCCTTTTAGATGTCACAAGGATGTGACTGAGCAGTTTCAAGGACACCAACTTTTGCTTTCTCCTCCTCCCTTAGAATCCTGCATCTGCATTGCTGGTCTCAGACAGAACAGGGAACCCCTATTTCCCATTCTGGGATATTTTAATGATCAACTCTTCTTATGTTGTGAATTTGAAGGGCATGGACAGATCATTGCAAAGCGGACAGACAGGGACCTGCGTTCTGAGAACTGGGCCAGAAAACTGACAGAGGGACAGAAGAATTTCAGAGTGATTCTGGCAGGCATCATGGTTCAGTACGGGCCAGAGGAGTGGAACATATGGGCACAGGTTGAGAGGACTGCGACAAGACAGGGCCTATCTCCTTTGCAGCAGAATGTTAATAGATATTATATTTTAGTAAACAGAGGACATTTCTCTGAGTCAGCATCAAAAACTTTCACAGTCTGGAAGAATGAACAGTCACAGGACCGAGCCTCACCTTTCCTTCTGAGTATGAGAGGCTACAAGGCAATGAGAATGGAACAGCTTTTATCTGAGGTTAAAGCCAGTGTCTCTCTCTTCAGCCCACACTTACTGGTAAGGTCCAGTGGATGACTCAGCTACAGGTTTCTGAATTTCTGGCTTTTGAGGGAAAGACTTTGTCACCCTCTATGCTGAAGGTATTCTACGTACTATGAACCCCAGTCAGTGGTTCTTAACATCAAGAAATCTTGGGAAGTACAAGGCATTCAGAAGGCCTACATGAATAGTTTGCAGCCGCGTATAGACATCAGAAGGCGGTTCCTGACAAGGATGCCCTGACCTTTTTCATCTCATTGACATAGAATTACTGTGTCTCTCCCTGGTCATCTTGAAGGAGATGGACCACCCCTTCCCCCCCTCTACTCCAGTGTCATGTGCATCTTCCTCAGTGATTTTGCTGTGCTGTGTTCATAATGATTGTCCAGTTGATACCAAATCTTGAAGAAAATTTCCAAAAGAATATTTACCTGGTCAATTGTCAATTGCCCTTTTCCAGGAATCTGGAACTTGAATGGTGTTTCTATAAGGGGCTCGTTGGATCTCATGTTTTACAGGACCCCCAGTCTCTGGATATAGATCCTCAGTGTCCACTTCTTAGGAAGAGTAGGTGTAGTAGGTTATATTCCTCCCCCACTCTCTCTAAAAGAGTGCTAAAATATATATTCCATCCCACATTGTTTTTCTATGATGTAACTTCAAGACTGCTACTGCTGTGTGTGTGTTCTAGTCCCTTTACTTTGTGTAGGGTTGTGGCTACAGCTGATGTTTTACTCTCTGGAATAATGGTAGTATACAATTCTCCTGACTCTATGGGAATCTTCACTGTGGAAAATTATCTACCATGCTGTGAGCAAGCCCAGGGAGCTACCTGGAAAGGCCGTTTGAATATATTCTAGGTAACAGCCCCAAGCAATGAACCTCAGACATCAGCCAGGATCATCTGCTGGACTGGAAGTAGAATGTTTCCATTATTTAATCAGTGATCATGAAAATGACCATCTGGTGGCTAGACAGACTCAATGGACTCACTATAAACTGGGTTTTCATCAGAACTGGGTTTTGTTTGTTTCACTTTTTGTTTTGGTTTAATTTAGTTAGTTTGTTTATTTATTTATTTATTTATTTTTACCTGATACTAATATGTTTCCAATGTAACATGAGGTGTTGGTTATGTCTGGTCTCTAGGTTGTCAATGAGAATTCACAGTCTGTGTGAATTGGAAATATAAACACATTTTAAAGCAGACAGTCTGCACATCTATTATTCCCTGGATGATGCTGTTTGCTTTATTAAACAGCTGCAGAATTCAATGTGGGTTAAACCCTTTTGGTTCTTGCTCAGACATCGCTAGCAAATTCTCAGAAAAGCAATAGGCTGTACCATTAGCCTATGTCTGTAGATGAATATACTATCTAGGTTTTTGTAGTGTGTTCTGATGTTCACACAATGATGAAATCGCCTAATAATGCATTTCTCAGAATGTATTTTGTTGCCATAGGATGCATGACTGTTAAATTCCTGTTCTAGCCCAAAGATTCAGTGACAACTTCTGTGTGAAATAAATTTTTCCCCCCAAAGGGATGAGGTGTAGAATTTACTGTATTAATAGGAGGGAACTCTCACACTTACAAGTGCATTGTACAAAACCCCGTCTGCCCATGATGTACAAAAGTTGTTCCTGAATGAGATCATTAAGTTGGAATCACACACCCACATATTTCCAGAATTCCATCCAATAAATTCACAAACACTTGAAAATCACAATACGTATTTTAGGTAATGGTCCATAAGAGATTATTTTAATTGTAAGAAAATGTACAAAAAGTTTTGCCTTTTACAAATTTTTTATTTAATAGCAATAAAAATGAAGTGACACTAAAGTACAAAAAAGCCTGAACAGTATGATTTCTTTGTATCAACAGTGAAGGGCTCCCTTGTATATGGAGTTCCCAAACAGTAAGTTTTCTTAATCCTGATCATCTGTGGCCAGTGTAAAAGAAAGGCCTGACAGGAAAAGTTAAGGAGCCAG